>NC_000003.12:49100909-49403939 GCF_000001405.40 Homo sapiens | reverse complement strand
CCTAAGATTTCTTGGAATAAAACAGGGCTTACTACTTGGTTCCTGGTACTTAAGAACAGTGGTTCCTAGACTCCACTGTTCCCAAACTTGGAATCCAGTTCCCCAAATTGGAATCACCTGAGGTTTAATTACCTTCATGGAGGTTTAATTTGCATACAATAAAATGCACATACTTTAAATGATAGTTTGATAATTTTTTTGTTCTTATTTTTTTTAGACATAGGGCCTTGTTCTGTCACCCAGCTGAAGTGCAGTGTCGGAATCATGGCTTACTACATCCTCGACCTCCTAGGCCCAAGAATTCTCTGCTTTAGCCTCCCGAGTAGCTGGGACTGCAGGTGTGCACCACCACGCCTGGCTACATTTTTATTTTGTAATTTTTTTTTTTGTAGAGAGAGGGGTCTCACTATGTGCTCAGACTGGTCTTGAACTCCTGGCCTTAAGTGATTCTCTCGTCTCAACCTCACAAAGCCCTGGGATTATAGGCATGAGCCACCACAAACCGCCAGTTTGATAAATTTTGATGAATGTGTATACCCAAGTAATTGCCACTCAGTCGAGTTAAAGAGCATTTCCTCAAGGCTTTAAATTTTTATTTTTATTTTTGAGACGGAGTCTTATTCTGTCATCTAGGAGTGCAGTGCCGCAATCTTGGCTCACTGCAGCCTCTGCCTCCCGGGTTCAAGTGATTCCCCTGCCTCAGCCTCCTGAGTAGCTGGGACTACAGGTGCGTGCCACCACACCCAGCTAACTTTTTGTATTTTTAGTAGAGATGGGGTTTCACTCTGTTAGCCAGGATGGTCTCGATCTGATCTTGTGATCCGCCTGCCTCTGCTTCCCAAAGTGTTGGGATTACAGGCGTGAGCCACCGCGCTCGGCGGGTTTCTTTTTTTTTTTTTTTATGAGATGGAATCTCGCTCTGTTGCCCAGGCTGCAGTGCAGTGGCACGATCTCAACTCACTGCAACCTCCGCCTCTCGGGTTCAAGCGATTCTTCTGCTTCAGCCTCCCGAGTAGCTGGAACTACAGGCACCCGCCACCACGCCCGGCTAATTTTTTGTGTTTTTAGTGGATACGGGGTTTCGCCATGTTGGCCAGGCTGGTCTCAAAGGCCTGACCTTGTGATCCTCCTGCCTCGGTCTCCCAAAGTGCTGGAATTACAGGTGTGAGCCACTGCTCCTGGCCTAAAGTTTTTTAGACTAGTTTTTTTGTTCATTCGTTTTATTTGCTTGGCTTCCTAGAATATGACAAGTTTTGGTTTGTTTTTGAGACAGAGTCTTGATCTGTTTCCCAGGCTGGAGTGCAGTGGTGCTATCGTGGCTCACTGCAGCCTCTAACTCTTGTGCCCAAGTAATACTCCTGCCTCAGCCTCATGAGCATCTGGGACTACAGGCAAGCACCACCATACCTAGTTAATTAATTTAATTTTTATAGAGATGACGTTTTGCCATGTTGTCCAGGCTGGTCTCTAACTCCTGAGCTCTGGCCTCGCAAAGTGGTGGGATTATAGGTGTGAACCACTGCACCCGGCCTAGTTTTTTATTTTAAGAAATATATATACTTGGTAAAAGTAAACTCCTGCAATAAGGTTTACAATAAGCATATATAAATTCTTAGCCAGCTCACTGGGAGGTACCTAATGGTTCATTTTTCTTTGTCAGTTTTACTAGATACGCATTGTCTTAGAGGCAATGTAAGTTTGGAATTAGGCCAAACAAAGTCAAATCCTGATTCTGTGCATCCATTGAAGGTTAACCTTATAATATTTACATTTTGAGATAAATGATTTCATGCTCTTATTTAGGAAACTTGACGGTATGTTACCTCAGGGATTGTTCCTTGCCTGTCTTTCCCCAAAGAACTTGAGTTTGAAGTGATTTTCACTTGGCAGTAAATTGAAGGTTTTCTTCATTGCTTACCACCATGTGCCTTATTCCTGCTGCTCTTGATCTCCAAGTGCCCTTACTGCTACAGAAAGGAAAGCTCTTGAACTAAGAGCTTGGCAGCCACTTGATCAGGATGGCCAAATAATGGCAGTACAGGTTGAGCATCTGAAATGCTTCAAGATGGGCGCTGGCATGACATTCAAAGGAAATGCCTAGTGGTGCCTTTCAGACTTTCAATTTTTGGATTTGGGATACTGAACCAGTAAGTATAATGCAGATATTCCAAAATCTGAAGAAATTCTGAAATCTGAAACACTTCTGGGCCCAAGCATTTTGGATAAGCAGTACTCAACCTATACCAGGCTCAAGTTCATTATGGACAGATGGATGGATGGTAGTTTGGCCCTTTCATCAGGAATTTCCCATGCAGTCAGTAAACAAAATAAACAGCTCTATGTTTTCAACTTCATTTCCCCAATTTTTTTTTTTTTTTTTTGAGACAGAGTTTCATTCTTGTCGCCCAGGCTGGAGTGCAGTGGCCCGATCTCCACTCACTGCAACCTTTGCCTCCCAGAGGTTTCGCCATGTTGCCCAGGCTGGTGTCAAACTCTTGGGCTCAAGTGATCCATCCGCCATGGCCTCCCAAAGTGCTGGGATTATAGGCATAAGCTACCTTGCCTGTCCGTTTTCATATTTTTTTGAGAGATGAGGTCTCACTGTATTGCCCAGACTGGTCTCCACCTCTTGGCTTCAAGCAGTCCTCCTGCCTCCCAAAGTGCTGGGATTGCAGTTGTGAGCCACCACACCTGGTCAGGAGTTTTACATACTATGCGTTGTTACTTGTAGGTCTTGTTTGGAAAGAAGTAACTTCCTAAGGTCAATTCAGAAAAGAAGGGTAGTAACTTAGAGGAAGTAAATTTGAAGGCCCTAGTGTCTAATATTAGTAATTTGGGCTTTTGAAAGTTTCCTTTCTAAAAGGTAGGAAATTAACTCTTTTTTTTTTTTTTTTTTTTGAGACGGAGTCTCTGTCGCCCAGGCTGGAGTGCAGTGGTGCAATCTCAGCTCACTGCAAGTTCTGCCTCCCGGGTTCACGCCATTCTCCTGCCTCAGCCTCCCGAATAGCTGGGACTACAGGCGCCCGCCACTATGCCCGGCTAATTTTTTTGTATTTTTAGTAGAGACGGGATTTCACCGTGTTAGCCAGGATGGTCTTGATCTCCTGACCTCGTGATCCGCCCGCCTCGGCCTCCCAAAGTGCTGGAATTACAGGCGTGAGCCACCGTGCCCGGCTGGAAATTAACCCTTTTATATACCATCCCCCCACCTCACCTTTTTGGCTACAATCTTGCTCTGTCACCCAGGCTGGAGTGCAGTGGCATGATCATAGCTCACTGCAGCCTTGAACTCCTGGGCTCAAGGGATCCAGCTACCTCAGCCTCCTGAGTAGCTAGGATTACAGACGCATGGCACCAAGTCCTGATACAGTCTTCTCTGTACCAGAACAAAGTATTCAGTGATTCAAGCTCACATAGGCATGAAACAGCACTGAAAGACGAAGTGCTGTAGGAGTTCAGGGATAAAGAAGAATTTAGAGTAGCCAGGAAGCCACTGAGGCCTCTGGTGGTGAGGGTGTAACTCTTGGCCTTTAAAATGAGGTTTAGGGGAAATGTTATGAGTAGTGGGAATCAACCCTTGGCCTGAACACAGATAATCTTGTTTTATCTCCTTATAGAAACAGGAGGTGGTGGGGGGTGGCCAGTTTTGGTTAGACTAGGGAAGATGTTGGGGGAGAGGGGGGCAGTATGCTTCTGTAGTTTCGTTTTTTTTGTTTTTTTTTTTTTTTGAGATGGAGTCTCGCTCTGTCACCCAGGCTGGAGTGCAGTGGCGCGGTCTCGGCTCACTGCAAGCTCCGCCTCCCGGGTTCAAGCGATTCTCCTGCCTCAGCCTCCCGAGTAGCTGGGATTACAAGCACGTGCCACCATGCCCAGCTAATTTTTTTGTATTTTTAGTAGAGACGGGTTTCACCTTGTTGGTCAGGCTGGTCTCGAACTCCTGATTCGCCCACCTCGGCCTCCCAACGTGCTGGGATTACAGGCGTGAGCCACCGTGCCCAGCCGTTTCTGTAGTTTCTTGAGTTCAGATTCCAAGATGGATTTTTGCATATGTATTGCTTTATTTCTTACCCCCTTGATGTAATCTACTATATAAATCTTTTAAAGTCCCTACATTTAAAAATTTATCTTGTTCGAAAACATAATAGTTTTATTTGGTAAATTCAAACAGTGCAAAAGGATATATGGCCCCTAGAGGTACCTGTTGTGTTTCTTGTAGACCAGTGCATGTAATCCCAGCACTTGGGGCAGCTGAGGGGAGCCCAGGAGTTCTAGGCCGCAGTGAGTCATGATCACTCCACTGCACTCCAGCACTGCAGCCTGAGTGACAAAGCAAGACCCTTTCTGGGGGAAAAAAAAAAAAAAGCTCCTGTGTACTATTCTAGAGACAGTCTATACATATACCAGTGTCTATTGGTGAATATTGTACACCTCTGTCAAGCCCTGTTTTGTATATCTATGTATCCCGCCATTACACTATGGTATGATAGCATATGACATATTTGGCACATCACTTTTTTCATTTAATAATCTTGTCTCAGAGATCATTTGTTAACACACTTTTTTTTTTTTTGAGACAGAGTCTCGCTCTGTCGCCCAGGCTGCAGTGCAGTGGTGCGATCTCGGCTCACTGCAAGCTCCGCCTCCCAGGTTCACGTCATTCTCTTGCCTCAGCCTCCCGAGTAGCTGGGACTACAGGTGCCCGCCGCCACGCCCAGCTAAGTTTTTGTAGTTTTTAGTAGAGACGGGGTTTCACTGTGTCAGCCAGGGTGGTCTTGATCTCCTGACCTCGTGATCTGCCTGCCTCGGCCTCCCAGAGTGCTGGGATTACAGGCATGAGCCACCGTGCCCAGCCTTTTTTTTTTTTTTTTTTTTTTTTTTTTTTTTTGAGACGGAGTCTTGCTCTGTCACGCAGGCTGGAGTGCAGTGGCACAGTCTCAGCTAACTGCAACCTCTGCCTCCCGAGGCAGCAATTCTCCTGTCTCAGTCTCCCAAATAACTGGGATTACAGGCGTGAGCCACCAGTATTAAAGCCCTGTAATAATACTGTAATACTCAGACAGCAAAATTCTTTTTTTTTTTTTTTTTTTTTTTTTTTTTTTTGAGACGGAGTCTCGCTGTGTCGCTCAGGCTGGAGTGCAGTGGCATAATCTCGGCTCACTGCAAGCTCTGCCTCCCGGGTTCACGCCGTTCTCCTGCCTCAGCCTCCAGAGTAGCTAGGACTACAGGTGCCCGCCACCACGACCAGCTAATTTTTTGTATTTCTTTTTTTTTTTCTTTTAGTAGAGACGGGGTTTCATGGTGTTTTAGCCAGGATGGTCTCGATCTCCTGACCTCGTGATCCACCCGCCTTGGCCTCCCAAAGTGCTGGGATTACAGGCGTGAGCCACCGCGCCCTGCCAGCAAAATTCTTTAAGCCCCCACTGGGGCTTAACATCTATTGATGCTACTGCCTACCCTTTCACTGCTCCTTACCTTTAGTTTATCACTGTAATTACCCCCTTTTATGTATTCTCCATTTCTTGTTCTGTCTCTCATTTTATGTTACCTGGCAAAATCTCAGCCCTGGTTTAGATCTTACTTTTTTTTTTTGACAAAGTCTTGCTCTGTTACCCAGGGTGGAGTGCAGTGGTGCGATCTCAAGGCTCACAGCAACCTCCGCCTTCTGGGTTCAAGCAATTCTCGTGTCTCAGCCTCCTGAGTAGATGGGACCACAGGAGCGCGCCACCACACTTGGCTACTTTAGTAGAGATGGGGTTTCACCGTGTTGGCCGGGGTGGTCTCAAACTCCTGACCTCAAGTGATCTGCCCACCTCAGCCTCCCAAAGTGCTGGGACTATAGGTGTGAGCCACCACGCCTAGCCTAAATCCTACTCTTTACCTATTCTGTGCTTTTGACTGAATGTAGCGAAAGAAAAAATTCACTGACTTGTCTCTCTTTGAACTCATGGACCCTTGACCTCAAAGGTGGCTGCTTTTAGCACTGCCTAGCAGTCCCGCTAAGATTCCTTAGTCCGTTTATTCTCCTGCTTTTAGGATAATATAGCACCATGTCCTTTGGCTCAAATCTCCTGTTCCCTTTCCTTGCCTCTATCAGCTGTTATGATCTTGCTTCTTACTTATTTTTCTATTCCTGTGGATCAGTCCCTTGGGAGTCCATTGTTCTATCTAAGGTCAGCCCTTCCACTTGCAAGCGAAATCTCGTTCCCCTCTAATCTCGTAATGTTGCTCTAGCAGTTCTCTGCTCTCCTGCATCATCATTTTCTGCATACAGTCTGTTGGTCAG
This sequence comes from Homo sapiens, assembly GCF_000001405.40. NCBI lineage: Eukaryota > Metazoa > Chordata > Mammalia > Primates > Hominidae > Homo > Homo sapiens. Next base: position 49,397,656 of record NC_000003.12, on the reverse strand, counting down.
ATCTTAATACCCCACCTAGCTGCAGTGAATGCTGGGAAATGTAGTCTTTATAACTGGCAGCCATGTGACTATGAAGGGGAAAGCTATTGAGGCAGATAAGCAGGCAGTCTCTGCCATACTTTCAACGCTTATTTTTTTTAAAAAAACAAAAACCAACTCTTTTGGTAACAATTTTACTGAGATATAATTCATATATCACACCATTCATTTGAAATGAACAGTTTGGTGGGTTTTAGTATATTCACAGAGTTTTACGTGTATCACTACAGTCAATTTTAGAACATTATTATCACCTCAAAAAGAAACCCTATGTTCTTCAACTGTCATCTTCAATCTCCCTATCACCACGCCCAGCCTTAGGTAACCACTAATCTACTTTGTGTCTCTATAGATTTGCCTATTCTGGATATTTCGTGTAATGGAATCATATATTGTCTTTTGTGACTGGCTTCTTTCATTTATGCAATGTTTTAAAGGTTCATCCATGTTGTAACATTTATTTTCTGACTTTTTTTTTTTTTTTTTTTGAGACAGGATTTTGCTCTGTCACCCAGGCTGGAGTGCAGTGTCTCGATCACTACTCACTGCCACTTTGCCCTCCTGGGCCCAAGCGATCCTGCCACCTCAGCCTGCAGAGTAGGTGGGACCACAGGTATATGCTACCACGCCTGGGTAATATTTTTATTTTTTGTAGAGACAAGCTCTCACCATGTTGACCAGGCCAGTCTTGAACTCCTGGGCTCAAGTGATCCTCCCACCTCAGCCTCCCAAAGTGCTGGGATTATAGGCATGAGCCACCAAGCCCAGGCTGACTACTTTAAAAAAATTTTTTTTAGTAAAGATGTGGTCTCACTATGTTGCCCGGGCTGGTGTTGAACTCGTGCTTAAGCAGTTCTCCCACCTCAGCCTCCCAGAGTGCTGATAACTGCACCCGGCCTGACTTTTTTTGTGTGTGATGTTTTGCTCTTGTTGCCCAGTCTGGAGAGCAGTGGTACGATTTTGGCTCACTGACACCTCCACCTCCCAGGTTCAAGCGATTCTCCTGCCTCAGCCTCCCGAGTAGCTGGGATTACAGACGTGTGCCATCATGTCCGGCTAATTTTTGTATTTTTAGTAGAGGTAAGGTTTCACTATGTTGGCCAGGCTGGTCTCGAACTGCTGACCTCGTGATCCGCCCACCTTGGCTTCCAAAGTACTGGGATTACAGGTGCGAGCCACCGCGCCCAACTAATTTTTTGTATTTTTAGTAGAGTCAGGGTCTCACCATGTTGGCCAGGCTGGTCTCTAACTCCTGATCTCAAATGATCCATCCTCCTCAGCCTCCCAAAGTGCTGGGATTACAGGCGTGAGCCACCAGGCCTGGCCCCGGGCTGACTTCTTGAAAGAACATTTTCCACCACATATCTCAGTGCCCACGTTTTCTCAATTCACTGCCATCTACTCTTGCCTGTGGCTATATGAAAAGGTTTTCTCCTGTTGCTGGACACCTCCTCATAGACCTGTGTTCTTTTTGCAAGCATGTAGTTTGGACTCTTTTCTTGTAATGTGTTCTTCCTTTTTTCTTGGTGTTCATTATCATCATACCTTTTTGAGCATTTCAGTTATTTCTGGCTTCTTCATGACCACCACTTCCTTTGTGTTGGTGGCACTCTTTGGCTAGATCACTGCCCCTCTCCATTCCATACACTGGAAGACTATGCTGTTTTTACCTGTAATAACAGCTTACCTGGGCACTGATATTTTTCAGCTGACTGTGGGGAAATGTTTGTGAGGTTTGGAAAACGCCTCCTTAGATTGTGCCCATTCCACCTCCCCTTCCATTAGGGTTCTTTCTTTTGGGCACCCTCATACCCTTGCCATAGTTTTCTCATCCCTATCCAGTTAACCACTCAATCACTTTTCGTGCCCTGCCAAGGCTCTGTTTCTTCCTCTTCTTTTTTTTTGGAGACAGAGTCTCGCTCTGTTGCCCAGGCTAGAGTGCAGTGGTGTGATCTTGGCTCACTGCAACCTCCGCCTCCTGGGTTCAAGCGATTCTCCTACCTCAGCCTCCCGAGTAGCTGAAATTATAGGCGCCCACCACCACGCCTGGCTAATTTTTGTATTTTTAGTAGAGATGGGGTTTCACCATGTTGGCTAGGCTGGTCTTGAACTCCTGACCTCAGGTGATCTGCACCCCTCTCAGTCTCCCAAAGTGCCGGGATTACAGGTGTGAACAGCCGTGCCCGGCCAGGCTTTGTTTCTCTATTAATTACAGACCTGATTGTGCTGGTCCAGTGGCTTTCCCTTCCTTACAGAATAGAATGCAGATTGCTCTGCATGACATACCATATCCTCTGGTCTAACCATCGCCCCATCTTTCCACCCTTATTTTCAAAAATCTCCTTTCTGAATTCTTTTTTTTTTTTTGAGACGGAGTCTTGCACTGTCGTCCAGGCTGGAGTGCCGTGGTGCGATCTCGGCTCACTGCAAGCTCCGCCTCCCGGGTTCACGTCATTCTCCTGCCTCAGCCTCCCGAGTAGCTGGGACTACAGGTGCCTGCCACCACACCCGGCTGTTTTTTTTTGTATTTTTAGTAGAGACATGATTTCACCGTGTTAGCCAAGATGGTCTCGATCTCCTGACCTCGTGATCTGCCCGCCTCGGCCTCCCAAAGTGCTGGGATTACAAGCGTGAGCCACCGCGCCCGACCGCCAAATTCTTGTGTTACTGGTCATTGAGGTTATTTGCTCAAGCTGTTTCCTCACCTTAGAAAGTATTCCTGAACCATCGTTACCGCTCTTTCCAGGGGACTTGTCCTCCTTCTTCAAGGTCCATCCAGGTCAGATATCATCTTATCTGAAGCTCTCTGGCAGAATCACTTGCCTTTTCTCTGAGTTCATACCAGAGAAGATAAGCTTTTGTTACAGCACTTAATTACATTGTGCTGTTTTCCCTGAGTGTTTTCCAGATAAAGCTGTATCTCTAGTAGCTAGAACAAGGAATGGCCCATAGAAGACAGTGGTTTGTGGCCGGATGCAGTGGCTCACGCCTGAAATCCCAGCATTTTGGGAGGCCGAGGCAGGTAGATCACTTGAGGTGAAGAGTTTGAGACCAGTTTGGCCAATATGGTCAAACCCCATCTCTACTAAAATTACAAAAATTAGCTGGGCATGGTTGTGCGCACCTGTAATTCTAGTTACTCATGAGGCTGATGCAGGAGAATTGGTGGAACCCGGGAGGTGGAGGTTGCATTGAGCCAAGATCATGCCACTGCACTTCAGCCTGGGCAACAGAGAGAGACTCTATCTCAGAAAAACAAAAACAAAAAAGTGGTTTGTATGAGACCAGTCGGGGCAATAAGAATTGAGACAAGGAGCTGGATGCAGTGGCTCACGCCTGTAATCCTAGCACTTCGGGAGGCTGAGGCAGGCAGATCGCGAGGTCAGGAGTTCGAGACCAGCCTGACCAACATGGTGAATCCCTGTCTCTACTAAAAATACAAAAATTAGGCCGGGGGCGGTGGCTCACACCTGTAATCCCAGCACTTTGGGAGGCTGAGGCAGGCAGATCACGAGGTCAGGAGATTGAGACCATCCTGGCTAACACGGTGAAACCCTGTCTCTAATAAAAAATAAAAAAATTAGCCAGGCGTGTTGGCGGGTGCCTGTAGTCCTAGCTACTTGGGAGGCTGAGGCAGGAGAATGGCGTGAACCCGGGAGGTGGAGCTTGCAGTGAGCCGAGATCATGCCACAGCACTCCAGCCTGGGCAACAGAGGAGACTCCATCTCAAAAAAAAAAAAATTAGCCAGGCGTAGTGGTGCATGCCTGTAATCCCAGCTACTCAGGAGGCTGAGACAGGAGAACTGCTTGAACCCGGGAGGCGGAGGTTGCAGTGAGCCGAGATTGCACCACTGCACTCCAGCCTGGGCGACAGAGCGAGATTCTGTCACACACACACACACACACACACACACACACACACACACACACACACACACACAGAGAGAGAATTTGAGACAAGGGACCTGTGGTCCTAACTGTTCTTGAGGCTGAGCCTCTTAAAAAAAAAAAAAAAAAAAAAAGCCAGTGCAGTGGCCTACACCTGTAATCTGAGCACTTTGGGAGGCCAAGGCAGGTAGATCGCTTGATCCCAGGAGTTGGAGACCCGTCTGGCCCATATGATGGAACCCCATCTCTACAGCAATTAGCCAAACGTGGTGGTGTGTGCCTGTGGTCTCAGCTACTTGGGATACTGAGGTGGGAGAACTGATTGAGCCTGGGAGGTTGAGGCTGCAGTGAGCCATAATTACGTCACTGCACTCCAGTCTGGGTGACAGAGGCAGACCCTCTCTGGAAAAAAAAGTTGACACAAGGCCACTGGGCCTGGCAAGGAGAAGATCACCATTATACTGCAGTAGTAGGTGGCAGAGTGACTAAGAAGGAAGCGTAAAAGATGGATGGGAGCACTTAGAATTTATCTTTAAAATACCTGATTTTTTTATTTTTTGAGACAGAGTCTTGCTCTGTTGCCGAGGCTGGAGTGGCGCGATCTTGGCTCACTGCAGCCTCCGCCTCCCAGGTTCCAGCGATTCTCCTGCCTCAGCCTCTCAGGTAGCTGGGATTACAGGCACGCTCACCATGCCTGGGTAATTTTTGTATTTTTAGTAGAGACGGGGTTTGACCATGTTGGCCAGGCTGGTCTTGAACTCCTGACCTCAGCTGATCTACCCCCCTTGACCTCCCAAAGTGCTAGGATTACAGAAGTGAGCCATCACGCCTGGCCTCTAAAAGACCTGATGTTTGTGGTGACCATTTTCTGGAAAAATTTGTGACATTAAATTGTGGATATGTCTTCTTTGACCAATCCAGCAGCTGTGGGAGACATGTTTAGAACAGCGTTGTCTTTCTGTGATGGTGGACGTGCTGTATATCTGCACTGTCCAGTACCATAGCTCCCAGCCACATGTGGCTATTGAGCATTGAATATGGTCAGTGTGGCCAAGGAACTGAATTTGAAAATGAAAAATTTTAGGCCAAGTGCAGTAGTTCACACCTGTAATCCCAGCACTTGTGGAAGGCTGAGGCAGGCAGATGACTTGAGCTCAGGAGTTTGAGACCAGTCTGGGTAACATGGCAAGACCTGTCTTTTATTCAATACTTTAAAATTTTTACTTACTTGATAAAAAGGAAGAATATTTTAAAATTTAAACATCAGTTTTTTGTTGTTCTTGTTTTTGACACAGGGACTCACTCTGGCACCCAGGCTGGAGAGCAATGGTATGATCATGGCTCACTGTAGACTTTACCTACTGGCTGAAGCTGTCCTCTCACCTCAGTTTCCCACCCTTACCCACCCAGTAGCTGGGATTACAGACACTCACCAACACGCCTGGCTAATTTTTATTATTTGTAGAAATGAGGTCTCACTGTATTGCCCAGGCTGGTCTCGAGCTCCTGGCCTCAGACATCCTGGGATTACAGGTGGGAGTCACTGTGCCTGACCAGCATTGTTTTTTTGTTTTTGTTTGTTTTTTTAAAGATAAATTAATTGGCCATGTGTGGTGGCTCACGCCTGTAATCCCAGCACTTTGCGGGGGCTGAGGCTGGTGGATCACTTGAGATAGGAGTTCGAGACCAGCCTGGCCAATAAGGCAAAACCCTGTCTCTACTAAAAATACGGAAATGAGCCGAACATAGTGGTGGATGCCTATAATCCCAGCTACTTGGGAGGCTGAGGCGGGAGAATCACTTGAACCTGGGAGGCAGGATTGTAGTGAGCTGAGATCGTGCCATTACACTCCAGTCTGGGGGACAAGATCGAAACGCTGTCTCAAAAAAAAAAAAAAAAAAAAAAGATAAATTAATTAGGCCGGGCACAGTGGCTCACGCCTGTAATCCCAGCACTTTGGGAGGCTGAGGTGGGCGGATCACCTGAGGTTGGGAAGTTCAGACCAGCCTGACCAACATGGAGAAACCCCGTCTCTACTAAAAATACAAAATTACCCGGGCATGGTGGTGCATGCCTGTAATCCCAGCTACCGGGGAGGCGGAGGTTGTAGTGAGTTGAGATCGCGCCATTGCACTCCAGCCTGGGCAACAAGAGCGAAACTCTGTCTTAAAAAAAGAAAGTCACAATGTGGCTAGTAGCTACCACGTTGGGCAGTGAAGCTGTGACATTACCAGTTGTAGGATTGAATGCAATCCAGACTTTTTGTCTGTTGTGTTCACACTTGAAGCAGTGACTCTGCTGCCTAAGTATGTATAATTTTTACTTTTTTTTTTTTTTTTGACGGATTCTCACTCTGTCGCTCAAGTTGGAGTGCAGTGGTGTGATCTTGGCTCACTGCAGCCTCTGTCTCCTGGGTTCAACTGATCTTCCTGCCTCAGCCTCCCTAGTAGCTGGAACTACACGTGTGTACTACCACACCTGGCTAATTTTTGTATTTCTTTTTTTTTTTTTTTGAGACGGCGTTGCTCTGTCACCCAGACTGGAGTGCAGTGGTGCGATCTCGGCTCACTGCAACCTCTGCCTCCCGGGTACAAGCGGTTCTCCTGCCTCATCCTCCCAAGTAGCTGGGACTACAGGTGCATGCCACCACGCCTGGCTAGTTTTTTGTATTTTTAGTAGAGACGGGGTTTCACCGTGTTAGCCAGGGTGGTCTCGATCTCCTGACCTCGTGATCCTCCTGCCTCAGCCTCCCAAAGTGCTGGGATTACAGGCATGAGCCACTGCATCCAGCCTAATTTTTGTATTTTTAGTAGAGACGGGGTTTCACCACGTTGGCCAGGCTGGTCTCGAACTCCTGACCTCAAGTAATCTGCCCGCCTCAGCTTCCCAGAATGCTGAGATTATAGGGGAGAGCCACCACACCTGGCCCCGTACTCTTTTATATTAATATCCATGACGCCTTTTACCTTTTCTGAAATAGATTTTTTCAGTTTCTCTACTGTCACTCTATCAAAATTTGTAAATTTTCCTTGGAATATTAGACAGAGGATTAAGCCACGTGTTTTTCCAGTCCAACTTTTGTTACATCTGTATTTTCCTTTTACATGTTGACTGGTTCAAACTGGCTAGCATCCCAAGTAAGGTGTGAATTAAATCCTGACATGGGGCTGGGCGTGGTGGCTCATACCTGTAATACCAGCACTTTGAGAGGCCAAGGCAGGCGAATTACCTGTGGTCAGGAGTTCAAGACTAGTCTGGCCAACATGGTGAACCCGTCTCTACAAAAAATACAAAAATTAAGGCTGGGTGCAGTGGCTCACGCCTGTAATCCCAGCATTTTGGGAGGCCGAGGCAGGTGGATCACAAGGTCAGGAGTTCAAGACCAGCCTGGCCAAGATGTTCCCCGTCTCTACTAAAACTACAAAAATTAGCTGGGCGTGGTGGCGGGTGCCTGTAGTCCCAGCTACTCAGAAGGCTGGGACACAAGAATCGCTTGAACCCGGGAGGTGGAGGCTGCAGTGAGCTGAGATTGTGCCACTGCATTCCAGCCTGGGTGACAGAGTGAGACTCCATCTTAAAGAAAAAAAAAAAATTCCTGACAACGGACTGTCAAAGCTATTTGCTTCTCACAGTCTGTGGGTATTATAGATGGACGGGGACCCGCCAATAAAGGAGGGGAAGGCTCCTTTTGTGAAACTGATTTGCTTCTGTCTTCTAAATCAGTATGTGTACTTGGGCCTACTAATCAAGTCTTACTGTTTTGTCTGTAACTTTTTTTTTTTTTTTTTTTTTGAGGTGGAGTCTCACTCTGTTGCCCAGGCTGGAGTGCAGTGGCACCATCTCGGCTCACTGCAAGCTCCACCTCCTGGGTTCATGCCATTTTTCTGCCTCAGCCTCCCAAGTAGCTGGGACTACAGGCACCTGCCACCACGCCCGGCTAATTTTTTGTGTGTGTGGTAGAGACTGGGATTCACTGTGTTAGGATGGTGTCAATATCCTGACCTCGTGATCCGCCTGCCTCGGCCTCCCAAAGTGCTGGGATTACAGGCGTAAGCCACCGCGCCCGGCTTCTGTAACTTTTATTTATTGTAAGTTGTTAGCTATTGGAATTCTGGACAGAACAGAGCTCCTGAGTCTGTTCACTGCTGTAAGAAGTAAGAAGTGTCATGACTCTTTTTCAGCAGAGGAATTAGTCTATTAATGACATGTGGCTGGAAATAGACCTGCCGCTCAGAACCTGTTCTGGAGTTAAGTCCTTCCAAGATGGGCCTAGGGAATCTGAGAAGCACAGCAGGTTCCTCTCAGCAAGTGCTGCTGAACCCCAAACTAAGCTCACACATTCTTCTTGGGTTCTGCCTGGAGAGTCCCTATTAGCCTCATCCCTAAGCAACCACTATGCTCCTTTTTTTTTTTGGAGATGGAGTCTCGCTTTGTCGCCCAGGCTGGAGCGCAATGTCACAATCTTCACTCACTGCAAGCTCAGCCCCCCGAGTAGCTGGGATTACAGGTGGACGCCACCAGGCCTGGCTGATTTTTTTTTTTGTATTTTTGTAGAGATGGGGTTTCACCAGGTTGGCCAGGTTGGTCTTGAACTCCTGACTTCAGGTGTTCCACCCGCCTCGGCCTCCCAAAGTGCTGGGATTACAGGCGTGAGCTACCACGCCCAGCAGCTGCTTTCTGTCTCTGTAGATTTACCTATTCTGGATATTTCATACAAATATGGTATGAAACATGTGGTTCTTTGTGACTGGTTTCTTTTACTGAGCATAGTATTTTCAAGATTCATCCATGTTGTAGCATGTTTCAGTACAGTACTGTACTTCGTTCCTTATTGTTGCTGAGTAGTACTCCACTGTATGGCTATAACACATGGTTAGATATGTAGCTTAGATAGGATTGTTTTGTTAATTAAAAGCTAATGAACAAAGATTTCAAAGTGTGAGATATTAGTCATTAGTAGGCTGGCCATTGAACAGCTCCACATTTCAAAATGTGAGATACTAAATTAGTTATTAGTGGGCTGGCCCATTGAACAGCTCCAGAAGGCCTTCAGGAAGTTGTCCAGACAAATGTGAGTAAGCATCATGGTCACACAAATGTGAGAAAATTACCAAAGACTGCTATGTGAAATGCGGAGAGTTGCTCATTAATGCATGGTTTTAATTTACCTACTGAAGCATAGTCAGTAGCCACTGTAGCATCTGAAGAACATATGATGGACACACCACTCCCACACTCAGCACCCAGATAAGCAAGGCAGGCAGCAATGCAGATGAGCTATAGTTATCCCAGGAAATCACTTTGACTTGTAAAGTGTGAAAAGGACTGGCCTTCACCTATCATTCTTTCTATAGCAGAGCTCCCTAAAGCTCAGAAAGCCACAGCTGGCTGGATGTCATGGCTCCACCTATTATAATCCCACCACTTTGGAAGACAGAGGCGGGTGGGTCACTTAAGCCCAGGAGTTCATCACTGAGCCCAGGAGTTTGAGACCAGCCTGGGCAACATGGCAAAACCCCGTCTCCACACACACACCCACACAAATAGAAAAAAATTTAGTCGGGAATGGTGGCACACACCTATAGTCCCAGCTACTCGGGAAGCTGAGGTGGGAGGGTCACCTGAGCCCAGGAGTTTGACGCTGCAGTGAGCCTTGATGACAGCACTGCACTCCAGCCTGGGCAACAGAGTGAGACCTTGTCTCCAGGAAAAAAAAAAAAAGAGAAAGCCATCCCCTTCCTTGACATCATCTGTAATGAGTAAACAGACATTAAAACAGTAAGAGTAAACAGGTGTAAGACATGCTAGAACCAAAGAACCAAGAGTTGATGATTTCAGAGTGACTCAAACATATGTGACATTGTTATTATTTCTTCCTCTGGTGTGTACAGAAAAAAGATACACACATCTAAAAGAAATGTATGCAAAAACATCATAAAAGCATAGAAAACAAACATAATAGGGTTTTTTTTTTTGTTTTTTTTTTTTGAGACCTGGAGTCTCGCTCTGTCCCCCGGGCTGGGGTGCAGTGGTGTGATCTCACTGCAACCTCTGCTCCCGGGTTCACACCATTCTCCTACCTCAGCCTCCTGAGTAGCTGGAACTACAGGTGCCCGCCACCACGCCTGGCTAATTTTTTTTGTATTTTTAGTAGAGACGGGGTTTCACCGTGTTAGCCAGGATGGTCTCTATGCTGACCTCGTGATCTGCCCACCTTGGGCCTCCCAAAGTGCTGGGATTACAGGCATGAGCCACCGCGCCCGACCCTTTTTTTTTTTTTCCCCCGAGATGGAGTCTCGCTCTGTCACCTAGGCTGGAGTGCAATGGCACGATCTCGGCTCATTGCAACCTCTGCTTCTCAGGTTCAAGCAATTTTCCTGCCTCAGCCTCCCAAGTAGCTGGGACTACAGGTGCGTGCCACCATGCCTGGCTAATTTTTTGTATTTTTAGTAGAGATGGGGTTTCACCATATTAGCCAGGATGGTCTCAATTTCCTGACCTCATGATCCGCCCGCCTCGGCCTCCCAAAGTGCTGGGATTACAGGTGTGAGCCACCACGCCCGGCCTGTTTTTTTTTTTTTTTTTTTTTTTTTTTTTTTTTTTTTTTTTTTGAGACGGAGTTTCTCTCTTGTTGCCCAGGCTGGAGTGGAATGGCGTGATCTCGGCTCACTGCAACCTCCGCCTCCCAGGTTCAAGCGGTTCTCCTGCCTCAGCCTCCTGAGTAGCTGGGATTACAGGCACCCGCCACCATGCCTGGCTAATTTTTTTTTGTATTTTTAGTAGAGACGGGATTTTGCCATGTTGGCCAGACTGGTCTCGATTTCCTGACGTCAGGTGATCCATTTGCCTCGGCCTCCCAAAGTGCTGGGATTACAGGCGTGAGCTGCCACGCCCGGTCATGTAACAGTTTTAAAAAGCCCATACGGTCATACTGAATATAGACATAGACAGAGTTAATCAAATACATCAGAGACTGAGTTTGTGAAGTTAAGGAAAAATATTCAAACTAGTTAATCGCCCTAAGTTGCATATTAATTAATCGAGTCTTTCAGTGTCACCAAGGTTTGCCTGAGTAGGCAAAGGAGAATAATACGCTAAAGCTGTAGAATCACTTCTCTTGACACGGGGAAGGAAGGAGGGTAAGACAGTGGAATGTTTAGAAATGTGTACTCTGAAACGGATTGCTTAATTTACTTCAGTGTCCAATTCTGCCTCTTACTGGCTAGCAGTGCGACTGACGTTGAACAAATTAGCCTTTCCATACTCAGTTTCTTCATTTGTAAATGAGAGTATTAGAACTTACAGGAGGACTGTTGCGAGGATTGTTTGTTTAAAGTTTATAACTGCATTATTTGTTAGCTGTTTCTTATATTTTTCCTCTTCTACAAAGTAGTGGTGGGAGACAAGGCTTCCCTACATTTAGTTTGATGCCTGTGGTTCTAAGTATAAGGAGAAAACGGAAGGGAGGAAAGAGGAAGTAAAAAAATGAAAGATGACCTAAATAAATGGAAAGGCGTCCATGTTCATATGTCAGAAGACTTAACATTGTAAAGATGACAGTACTCCCCAAATCGATCTGTAGATTCAGTGTAATTCCTATCAAAATTCCAGCTGGCTTTTTTGCAGAAATTGACAAACTGTTACTAAAATACATACCAAAATTCAGGGGACCCAGAATAACCAAAATAATCTTGGAAAAAAACAAAGCTGGAGGACTCACACCTCCAGATTTTAAAACTTACTGCAAAGCAACAGTAATCAAGACTGTGGTACTAGTATAAAGGTGGACAATATAGACCAATGGAATAGGATTAATCCAAAGTAAACCCTCAGTTGCTAATTAGTTGATTTCTCAAGTGTGCCAGGACCATCCAGTTGGGGGGAAAATAGTCTTTTCAGTAAATAATGCTGAGGTGACTAGATTTCCAAATGAAAAAGAATGAAGTTGGACCCCTTACCTCATATCATGTATGAAAATTAACTCAAAATGAATCAAAGGCCTAAAGTGTAAGACTTAAAACTATAGAAAGAAGCATATATATTTTTTTTACGACCTTGAATTTGGCTGTGGTATTTTAGATATGCCACCAAACCATCAGTAACCAAAGGGAAAAATAGATAAATTTGACTTCAACAAAATAAAAAACGTTGTGCCCCAAAGGGCATCATCAAAAAAATAAAAAAAACAACTGAGTTTAAAAATGGGCAATGGGGGCTGGGTGCGGTGGCTCATTGCTGTAATCCTAGCACTTTGGGAGGCCGAGGCAAGTGGATCACCTGAGGTCAGGAGTTTGAGACCAGCCTGGTCAACATGGTAAAACCCCGTCTCTACTAAAAATAAAAAAATTAGCCAGGCGTGGTGGCAGACGCCTCCCAGCTATTTGGGAGGCTGAGGCAGGAGAATTGCTTGAACCTGGGAGGCGGAGGTTGCAGTGAGCCAAGATCGCGCCACTGCACTCCAGCCTGGGCGACAGAGTAAGACTCTGTCTCAGAAAAAAAAAAAAAAAGGTAGGGGGGCAATGGACCAGGCGCAGTGGCTCACCCCTGTAGTCCCAACACTTAGGGAGCCAACACGGGAGAATCACTTGAGGCTAGGAGTTTGAGACTAGCCAGGGCAACACAGCAAGACCCTGTCTCTACATAAAAGATAATTAAATTTGTTTTTCCCCCGAGACAGTCTTGCTGTCACCCAGACTGGAGTGCAGTGGTGCCATCTCAGCTCACTGCAACCTCCGCCTCCCAGGTTCAAACAATTCTCCTGCCTCAGCCTCCCGAGTAGCTGGGATTACAGGTGCCTGCCACCACGCTAGGCTAATTTTTGTGTTCATAGTAGAGAATGGTTTCACCATGTTGGCCAGGCTGCTGGTTTCGAACTCCTGACCTCAAGTGATCTGCCCATCTGAGCCTCCCAAAGTACTTGGATTACAGGCGTGAGCCACTGCACCCAGCCAAGATAATTAAATTTTTAGAAAGTGGGGGCATCACTTGAGCCCAGGAGTTTAAGACCATCCTGGGCAACATGGTGAAACTCCATCTTTACAAAAAAAACACAAAAATTAGCTGGGCGTGGTGTGTGTGCCTGTACTCCTAGCTACTTGGGAGACTGAAGTGGGAGGATTACCTGAGCCTGGGAGGTCAAGGTTGTGGTAAGCCATGATAACACCACCTCACTCCAGCCTGGATGACAGTGAGACCCTGTCTCAAAAAAAAAAAATTAAAAGTTGTAAAAGAAATACTGTTATTTGTGTATTGTTACTGGTGACTTAATTAGATATAACTGACTTTTGGTTAAATAAACCTCTACTCCAAACTTATAAGTTATTTCTGAGACTAAACCTAGCCTGGAAAATGACACGTCTGGGAGAGCTAAGCGTGATTTCCTTTCTTGACAAACCATGTACTTGTAAAGAATGCTGCATTATAGCAAAGTGGAAAGGAGAGATAATTCTGCAAAATTTCTCCTGCGTTTTTCAAGGAGAAAACAGCAAGTTTGATTTTCTGTGCTTGTACTTTTTACTTCTCAACTTCTGTGTATTGCCGCACTCCCAGTATCCCAGAAATCACTTAGGCTTTCATTTTGTCCGATAATCACTTGTAATTTTTGTCTTTGTCACCATTAGTGGCTAAATGATTTTATTCTTTTTCTGGGCCAAATGTTCTTTATCAGATATTTTTCTTTTTCTTTTCTTTCTTTTTTCTGAGACACAGTCTCACTCTGCCGCCCAGGCTGTAATGCAGTAGTGCAATCTCGGCTCACTGCAACCTCCACCTCCCAGGTTCAAGTGATTCTCGTGCCTCAGCCTTCCAAGTAGCTGGGATTACAGGCAGATGCCACCATGCCCGGCTAATTTTTGTATTTTCAGTAGAGACGGGGTTTTGCCATGTTTGCCAGGCTGGTCTCGAACTCCTGACCTCAAGTGATCCGCCTACCTCAGCCTCCCAAAGTGCTGGGATTATGGGCGTGAGCCACCGTGCCTGGCTGGACTAGGGTCTTTAAACGTGAATTCCCTCCCTATAAGCAAAGGTGGAGACAGAGTCTGGACATTCTAGGAAGGGAAGGCACAAACAGAATAGAAGACACATGCAGTAATCTCAGACACACCAGAGCACCCGGAAGGAATGGAGTGCAGGCTGAAAGTGCAGAGGGGAAGGTGGGGCTGGAGAGGGCCCAAGGACAGGCAATGATTTATTCCCCATCTATAAGGAAACTTTTCAAACCATAACAGAAGATTTAAGTCAATACTGGAACAAATATTGTGGGCATGTTGAACTATAAACAAAGCAAAGATAGCTCTTTTTTTTTTTTTTTGAGATGGATTCTCGCTCTATAGACCAGGCTGGAGTGCAGTGGTGTGATCTCAGCTCACTGCAAGCTCCACCTTCCGGGTTCACGCCATTCTCCTGCCTCAGCCTCCCGAGTAGCTGGGACTACAGGCGCCTGCCACCATGCCCGGCTAATTTTTTGTATTTTTAGTAGAAATGTTAGCCGGGATGGTCTCGATCTCCTGACCTCGTGATCTGCCCGCCTCGGCCTCCCAAAGTGCTGGAATTACAGGCGTGAGCCACCACACCTGGCCGAAAGAGATTATTTCTCAAGAATTGAATGTCTTCTAGGTAGGGTGCTACGCAAAGGTGGCAGCCTTTTCTTTTTCTTTTTCTTTTTTTTTTTCTGATACGATGGAGTTTTGCTCTTGTCGCCCAGGCTGGAGTGCAATGGCGCTAACTCGGCTCACTGCAACCTTTGCCTCCTGTGTTCAAGTGATTCTCCTGCCTCAGCATCTCAGTAGTTGGGATTACAGGTGCCCACCACCACGCCCACCTAATTTTTGTATTTTTAGTGGATATGGGGTTACACCATGTTGGTCAGGCTTGTCTCGAACTCCTGACCTCAGGTGATCCACCCACCTCTCAAAGTACTGGGATTGCAGGCATGAACCCCAGCACACTCGGCCAAAGCAGCCTTTTCTTGAACTGGGGAATTCCTGTTGACGTTTCTTTGCATCCCATAGGGTCCTGGTTGTTTGACTTTGGGCAAAAGCCCATGCAGATTAGGCCTTATGAGAGATGTAAAGTTTATTAAATCTTTATTTGGTGAGACAGGGTCTTACTGTGTCACTCAGGCTGGAGTGTAGTGGCATGATTTCAGCTCACTGCAACCTCTGCCTCCTGTACTCAAGTGATCCTCCCATCTTAGCCTCCTGAGTAGCTGTGACCACAGATGCGCACCACCACAGCCAGCTAATTTTTTGTATTTTGGGTAGAGATGGGGTTTCACTGTGTTGTTTAGGATGGTCTCCAACTCTTAGGCTCAAGCAATTTGCCTGCCTTGGCTTCCCAAAGTGCTGGGATTACAGGTGTGAGCCACCACGCCCAGTGTCTATTTTTTTATTTTATTTATTTATTTATTTTTGAGACGGAGTCTCTCTCTGTCACCCAGGCTGGAGTGCAGTGGCACGATCTTAGCTCACTGCAAGCTCCACCTCCTGGGTTCACCCCATTCTCATGCCTCAGCCTCCTGAGTAGCTGGAACTACAGGCGCCCTTCACGACGCCTGGCTAATTTTTTGTATTTTTAGTAGAGACGGGATTTCACTATGTTAGCCAGGATGGTCTCGATCTCCTTACCTCGTGATCTGCCCACCTCAGCCTCCCAAAGTGCTGGGATTACAGGTGTGAGCCACCATGCCCGGCCAATATTTTTTTATTTTTATGAGATAGGGTCTTGCTATTTTGCCCAAGCTGGTCTCAAACTCTGGACTCTAGCTGTCTTCCCACCTCAGCCTCCTGAGTAGATGGGATTACAGGCATGAGTTGCCACACTTGACTCTAACTGGGGAACTTCACTCTCTGTCTTTTTTTTTTTTGAGACGAATTTTCGCTCTTGTTGCCTAAACTGGAGTGCAGTGGCACGATCTCAGCTCACTGCAACTTCCTCCTCCCGGGTTCAAGTGATTCTCCTGCCTCAGCCTCCTGAGTAGCTGAGATTACAGGTGCGGACCACCATGCCCGGCTAATTTTTCTATTTTTAGTAGAGATGGGGTTTCACCATGTTGGTCAGGCTGGTCTCGAACTCCTGACATCGTGATCCACAGGCCTCGGCCTCCCAAAGTGCTGGGATTACAGGCGTGAGCCACCATGCCAATCCTTTTTTTTTTTTGACAGAGTCTCACTGTGTTGCCCAGGCTGGAGTGCAGTGGCGCGTTCTCAGCTCACTGCAACCTCCGCCTGCCTAATTCAAGTGATTCTCATGCCTCAGCATCCTGAGTAGCCTTTCAGGGGTTACAGGTGCCTGCCACCAACCCAGCTAACTTTTTTTTTTTTTTTGAGACGGGGTTTTTCTCTTGTTTCCCAGGCTGGAATGCAATGGCGAGATATCGGCTTACTGCAGCCTCTGCCTCCTGAGTTCAGGAGATTCTCCTGCCTCAGCCTCTCGAGTAGCCGGGATTATGGGTACATGCCACTACGTCCAACTTATTTTTATATTTTTTGTAGAGACGGGGTTTCACAATGTTGGCCAGGCTGGTCTTGAACTCTGGACCTCAAGTGATCCGCCTACCTCAGCCTCCCAAAGTGCTGGCATTACAGGCATGAGCCATTACTCCTAGCCTTGACTGCATGCTCTTGTTTGAAGATATGCATTGAGCACATTTCCCTATCATCGATATGCTTCTTATTGTGCTTTCATGATTAGTAGTATCTTCAATTTACTCCCTTTTTGCAAAAAAAAAAAAAGTTACTAGATTTTGTAGATTTGGATAAAATTCTATAATATCTGTATCTATATATATACACACACACGTATTCACTGCTGTATGTAATATTGTCCTGAGAATTCACAAATGAGTAATGGCAGCACTGTCAGCCCTCTGAGTTTTTTTGTTTTGTTTTCATTGTTTATTTTTGTCGTTGTTTGCCCTCTGAGTTTTCTTCTGGTACCCCTGTGGATTGTCTTATCCATTCTGGTTGGGGAACATACCCTTTAGACAATATAGTTTTGATAATGAGTATTTATTATTATTATTATTATTATTATTATTATTATTATTATTATTATTTTTGAGACAAGAGTCTCTGTCACCCAGGCTGGAGTGCAGTGGCATGATCTTGGCTCACTGCAACCTCCACCTCCCAGGTTCAAGCGATTCTCTTGCCTCACCCCACCACGCCTGGGTAATTTTAATATTTTTAATAGAGATGGGGTTTCATATGTTGGCCAGGCTGGTCTCAAACTCCTGACCTCGTGATCTGCCCGCCTCGGCCTCCCAGTGTGCTGGGATTACAGGCGTGAATCACCATGCCCAGCTGAGTGTATATAATTTAGGATTAGTTTGACTATAGGTAACAGAGACTTGAAAAATACCACCTTAAATAAGACAGTCATTTATTTCTCATTCATATGGAAGAAACATGGAAGGTAGGCAGTCTTGGGGCTGAGATGGTGGCTCCCAAGATCACCTGAGATCCAGGCTCCTTTTTACCTTTTGGTTCTTCCAGCCCCACGGTATGGCATTCATTCTCACATACCAGGATGGCTGCTTAGAAACCAGCCCTTACTTTAGATTTAAGCAGCAGGAAAGGAGGAGGATAATAAAGACTTCCCTTTAAGAAAGACTTTCTGGAAGTCCCACAACATACTGCTGATTCTCACATCTCATGGTACATGGCCATGTCTCCAAGGGAAGCTAGGAAGTGTAGTCTACAACAAAGTACATAGCTAAAAATCGAAGTATGGTCTAGGAGGGAAGGGCGGGAATTGGGATGGTTGACCATCACTGTCTGCCAGATGGAAGGAATCTGCAGATTTCTCTCTTTTTTCCCCCCACTGGGGGCGAGAGTGGTGGTAACAGCTTTATTGAAATATAATCCACATATCTTACAATTCACCTTTTTAAAGTGTGAATTATATATACTGTGGGCTGGGTGCGGTGGCTCACGCCTGTAATCCCAACACACTGGGAGAGACAGGCAGGAGGATCGCTTGACCTCAGGAGTTTGAGAGCAGCTGGGGCAACGTGGTGAAACCCGGTCACTACTAAAAATACAAAAAATTAGCCGGGTGTGGTGGCATGCACCTTTAGTTCCAGCTACTTGGGAGACTGAGATTGGAGGTTCACTTGAGCCTGGGGAGGCTAAGGTTGCAGTGAGTGGAGATCGCACCACTATACTCCAGCCTGGGCAACAGAGTGAGACCCTGTCTCAAAATAAATAAAATGTGTGAATTATATATACTATAATCAATAGTTTATAGTATATTCATAGAGTTGTGCAGCCATCACCACAATAATTTTGGAAAAATCTTTTTACCTGAGAAACTCCAGTATTCCATTAGTCATTTTCCATTTCTCTCCACCCCCAAGTCCCTGCCCTAGGCAACTACCAGTCTATTTTCTCTTTCTGAATTTGTTTATTCTGGACAATTTTATATAAATGGAATCATGCATGTTGGTTTTTGTGACTGGGTTCTTTCACTTATATAACATTTCCAAGATCTATCCATACTATAGCATATATCAGTACTTTATCCTTTATCGCTGAATAATATTCCATTCCATTGTATGGATATATTATATTCATCAGTTGTTGGATATTTGGGTTCTTTACATTTTTTGACAATATATTATGAATAATCCTGCTATGAATATTCATGTAGAGGTACAAGTTGTTATGTGGACATATGTTTTTGTTTCTCTTAGATATATACCTAGGAATAGAATTGCAGGGTCATACCTACTCACATCCTTTGCTCATTTTTTAATTGGATTAGATTATTTGTCTTTTTATTATTGAATTGTAAGAGTTCTTTATTTTTTAATTTTTTCTATATACTGTATTTAGGCCTGGGGAGGTGGCTTATGCTTGTAATCCCAGCACTTTGGGAGGCTGAATCGGGAGGATTGCATGAGCCCAGGAGTTTGAGACCAGCCTGGGTAATATAGTGAAACGCTATCTGTATAAAAATTAGTCAGCTGTGGTGGCAGGAGCCTGGTAGTCCCAGCTACTGGAGAGGTTGAGGTGGGAGGATCGCTTGAGTTGAGCCTGGGAGGCAGAGGCTGCAGTGAGCCAATATTGCACCACTGCATTCCAGCCTTGGTGACAGAATGAGACCCTTTCTGAAAATAACTACATAATAGAGAAACACATAGATAGGTTAGATAGGTACATAGATTGGATAGATGCGTAGATAGATGGGCAGTGGCTCACGCCTGTAATCCCTCAGCACTGTGGGAGGCCGAGGCGAGTAGATCACTTGAGCTCAGGAGTTGGAGACCAGCCTGGGAAACATGGCAAAACCCTGTCTCTGCCAAAAATACAAAAATTAGCTGGGCGTGGTGGCGCATGCCTGTGGTCCCAGCTGCTGGGGAATTTGAAGTGGGAGGATCACTTGAGCCTCGGAGGTGGAGATTGCATTGAGCCAAGATCACGCCACTGCATTCCAGCCTGGGTGACAGAGTGAGACCTCATCTCAAAAAAAAAAAAAAAAAAAAAAAAGATAGATGGATAGATAAATAGCGTACTTCATGTCAGAAGGAGTTCTCTCTTTTTTTTTTTTTTTTTTTTTAAGACACAGTTTCACTCTGTTGCCCAGGCTGGAGTGCTCTGTTGCCCAGGCTGGAGTGCAGTGGTACAATCTGGGCTCACTGCAACTTCTGCCTCCTGGGTTCAAGCGATTCTCCTGCCTCAGTCTCCCGAGTAACTGGGATTACAGGTGCCCACCACCACACCCGGCTAAGTTTTGAATTTTTTGTAGAAACGGGGTTTTGCTGGGTTGGTCAGGCTGGTCTCGAACTCCTGACCTCAAGTGTTCTGCTTGCCTCAGCCTCCCAAAGTGCTGGGATTACAGGTGTGAGCTACCGTGCCCAGCCCAAAAAGAGTTCTTTATGATTTCAACCTTGCAAGAGATCCTGAGCCAGACCACCAACCTAAGCTGCTTTTTTGTAGTTGAGTCATAAGAGTTTGAGACAAGGTTCCACTCTGTCACCCAGGCTGGAGTGCAGTGATGCAATCATAGCTCACCACATCCTCCACCTCCTGGGCTCAAGCAATCCTCCCACCTCAGCCTCCTTGGTAGCTGGGACTACAGGTGCATGCTACCACAACTGGCTGATTTTTTTTTTTTTCTTTTCCTTCTTTTTTTAGAGACAGTGTCTCACTGGGGTTCCCCAGGCTGGAGTGTAGTGATGCAATCTCAGCTCACTGCAGCTTCCACCTCCAGGGCTCAGGGGATTATCCCACCTGAGCCTCCCAAGTAACTGTGATTAGCATGCACCACCGCTCCTGGCTAATTTTTTGTATTTTTAGTAGAGACAGGGTTTCACTATGTTTCCCAGGCTCGTCTTGAACTCCTGGACTCTCAAGCAGTCCACCTGTTTCGGCCTCCCAGATTGCTGGGATTATAGGCGTGAGCCACTGCGCCCGGCCCTTTTCTTTCTCCCCTCCCCTCTCATGCTTCCGTCCGTCCTTCCTTTCTCAGTGTCTCACTATGTTGTCAGGGCTGGTCTCTTAACTCCTGGGCCTGAGCATTCCTCCTGCTTCAGTCTCCCAAAGTGTTGGGATTACAGACATGAACCACTGTGCTCGGCCTCAATTGATTTTTCTTTTTTGAGACGGAGTTTCGCTCTTGTTGCCCAGGCTGGAGTGCAATGGCATGATCTCGGCTCACCACAACCTCTGCCTCCCGGGTTCAAGCGATTCTCCTGCCTCTTGCTCCTGTGTAGCTAGGATTATAGGCATGTGCCACCACGCCTGGCTAATTTTGTATTTTTGGTAGAGATGGGGTTTCTCCATGTTGGCCAGGCTGGTCTCAAACTCCTGACCTCAGGTGATCTGCCTGCCTCGGCCTCCCAAAATGCTGGGATTATAGGCGTGAGCCACCGCGCCCAGCCAAGAATGCTGTTTCTTTACAAACAAATCTAGATTGGTAAAAGAAGGAATATCCAAACTTAGAAAGATTGCAGAATGTCTACCCAAACAACCTGCCGATGACTTTTTTGGTTCTTTCCTCCCTTGGGTACTCCCTTTCATCAGTCCTTTCATTGTTTTTACCCTGCTTGACAAATTGTTTCCTTTTTTTTTTTTTTTTTTTTTGTGAGATGGAGTCTTACTCTGTCCCCCAGGCTGGTGTGCAGTGGCCCGATCTTGGCTCACTGCAAGCTCTGTCTCCTGGGTTCACGCCATTCTCCTGCCTCAGCCTCCCAAGTAGCTGGGACTACAGGTGCCTGCCACCATGCCCGGCTAGTTATTTGTATTTTTAGTAGAGATGGGGTTTCTCCGTGTTAGCCAGGATGGTCTCGATCTCCTGACCTCGTGATCCACCCGCCTCGGCCTCCCAAAGTGCTGGGATTATAGGCGTGAGCCACTGCGCCTGGCTCAATTGATTTTTTAATGTTAATATTGTATCCTGCAACCTTACTGAACTTGTTTATTCTAAAAGTTTTCTTTAGGATTTCCCACATTACAAAATCATCTCATGTGTGAATTGAGATAGTTTTACTTCTTCCTTTCCAATTTGGATGTCTTTTATTTCATTTTCTTACCTTATTGCCCTGGCTAGGACCTCCAGTATCCTGCTGGATAGAAGTAGCAAGAACAGGCCAGGCGTGGTGGCTCACGCCTGTAATCCCAGCACTTTGGGAGGCTGAGGCAGGTGGATCACCTGAGGTCAGGAGTTCAAGACCAGCCTGGCCAACAAGGTGAAACCCCATCTCTATCAAAAATTAGCTGGATGTGGTGGTACGTGCCTGTAATCCCAGCTACTTGGGAGTCTGAGGCAGGAGAATTGCTTGAACCCGGGAGGCTGGAGGTTGCAGTGAACTGAGATTGGGCCAGTGCACTCCAGCCTGGGCGACAGAGTGAGACTCCGTCTCAAAAAAAAAAAGAAGTGGCAAGAACAGACATTCTTGTCTTGTTCCTGATCTTAGGGGGCAGACCTTTTTTTCAGTCTTTTACCATTAAGTATAATGTTAGTTACGAGTTTTTAATGTATAACCTTTTGGTGCCAGGTGGATCGGCGTACTAGAAGTTTGAATTTGAGTATGCTAATAGAGGTTTATGCCCCATGGTTACCAAAGCATGTGTCATCCTGTAAGCTACCTATGACTTCTTGTGCATTGCAGGTAATATCTGTGTTTTGTGTTTCAGCAATGGCTGCCATCCGGAAGAAACTGGTGATTGTTGGTGATGGAGCCTGTGGAAAGACATGCTTGCTCATAGTCTTCAGCAAGGACCAGTTCCCAGAGGTGTATGTGCCCACAGTGTTTGAGAACTATGTGGCAGATATCGAGGTGGATGGAAAGCAGGTGAGTATACTTTTCATAACAACTGATGCCATTTTCCATGTTAGAATATTTATGGAGCATGTAGAGAATTAGAGCTTTTTGCCTCTTCAGTATACCATATAACAAAAATGTTGGAAAGAAGAATCCATTCTCATCCTGCCATCTTAGTCCAAGTTTGTTCTTTTTTTTTTTTTGGAGACGGAGTCTCATTCTGTTGCCCAGGCTAGAGTGCAGTGGCTCGGTCTTGGCTCACTGCAACCTCTGCCTCCCAGGTTCAAGTGATTCTCCTGCCTCAGCCTCCCAAATAGCAGGGATTACAGGCATGTTGCCACCATGCTGAGCTCATTTTTCGTTTAGTAGAGATGGGGTTTCACCAGGCTGGTCTCAAACTTCTGACCTCGGGTGATCCACCCACCTCAGCCTCCCAAAGTGCTGGGATTACAGGAGTGAGCCACTGTGCCCAGCCTTCCCCCAGGTTTAAAGGATTCTCCTGCCTCAGCCTCCCCAGTAGCTGGGATTACGGGAATATGCCACCACACCTGGCTGATTTTTGTATTTTTAGTAGAAATGGGGTTTCACTACGTTGGCCAGGCTGGTCATGAACTCCTGACCGCAGGTGATTGGCTGTTTTTTCATTTTTAACTGCTACTCATCCAGACTTTGTTTACATTCATATGTATTTGACATGGTGTCCTTAGCATATGTGTTTTTTTTTTGTTTTGTTTTGTTGTTTGAGACAGAGTCTCGCTCTGTCGCCCAGGCTGGAGTGCAGTGGTACAATCTCAGCTCGCTGCAACCTCCACCTCCCGGGTTCAAGCAATTCTTTTGCCTCAGCCTCCAGAGTAGAGTAGCTGGGATTACAGGCGCACGCCGCCATGCCTGGCTAATACTTGTATTTTGTAAAGATGCAATTTTGCCATGTTGGCCAGGCTGGTCTCAAGCTCCTGACCTCAGATGATCCACCTGCCTCAGCCTCCCAAAGTGCTGGGATTACAGGCGTGAGCCACCTTGCCCAGCCATATGTGCTCTTTTCAAGTTTACGTATATTTGAAGTTTAGTTCATTGCCATATAGATAATGCTCAGATGAACTTCTTTGTATGCTTGGACTTTGACAAAAATTCTGTCAAAGTATTTAATCAGATGTCCCAGTATTAGATTACTAGTTCAAGCTCTGCCTCCTGGGTTCACGCTGTTCTCCTGCCTCATCCTCCCAAGTAGCTGGGACTACAGGTGTCCACCACCAGACTGGCTAATTTTTTGTATTTTTAGTAGAGACGGGGTTTCACCGTGTTAGCCAGGATGGTCTCGATCTCCTGATCTTGTGATCTGCCCGTCTCGGCCTCCCAAAGTGCTGGGATTACAGGCATGAGCCACTGTGCCCGGCCAAAAGATTTTTTTTTACTTTAACATAAAATAGCCTGCCACAGTTGTTTTATTTTATTGTCATTGATGGTGAGAACAGTGCTTCCCCATTTCTGTCCTAAAAGCCCTCTGGCAAGACTGGAACAAAGCTCTTGTGAAATTGGAGGGTTTTTTTGGGTTTTAATTTTGGTTTTGGTTTGTTTTTGTTTTTTTTTTTAATCTTCTGCTTCCTTTTGTTGTCTAAGTAATGCTTTGCTTGGCCTCTCATACTTTTTTTTTTTTCTCTTAAATAAAGAGACAGGGATTGTACTTTGTCTCCCAGGCCTGCAGTGCTGTGACATGATCATGCAGCCTTGAACTCTTGGGCTCAAGTGATCCTTCCACCTCAGCCTCCCAAATAGCTGGCACTGTAGGTATGTGCCACCACACCTGGGTAATTTATGTTTTTAGAGATGAGGTCTTGTGTTGGTCCAGCTGGTTTCAAACAACTGGGCTCAAGTTCTTCCATCTCAGCCCCAAGTGGCTGGGCTTACAGGCGCAAGCCAGCGTGCCCAGCTCTCCTATACATCTTTTGAAGTGGGTCAGCTGAAAGGAAAAAACCCCTAAAACTAGAATGAGGTGCTCTTCTCCAACATTCTCATTTTTCTTGAGCATTCAGTTATATGTCTCATATGCTGCTAACACTTGATATATTAGCTTCCATTCATCCCCTTTCTCCTTTCTTACTTTGTTTTTGTTTGTTTGTCTAGAGACAGAGTCTCCCTCTATCACCCAGGTTGGAGTGCAATGGCATGATCTTGGTTTACAACAACCTCCGCCTCCTGAGTTCAAGCAATTCTCCTATCTCAGCCTCCCGAGGAGCTGGGATTACAGGTGCCTGCCACCAAGCCCAGCTAATCTTTGTATTTTTAGTAGAGACGAGGTTTCGCCATGTTGGCCAGGCTGGTCTCGAACTTTTGACGTCAGGTGATCCGCCCGCCTTGGCCTCCCAAAGTGCTGGGATTACATGCATGAGCCACCGTGCCTGGCCACTTCTACTTGTCCACATTACTTATTTCTTTCTGTCCTAGGGCCACCTAGCCTCCTTTTGTGGCACTGTGTGAGGAATGTGGGTTAGATCAGCTGCTCAGAACTCCAGGGTCCCTCATTGTAGGGCTTCCTGATAGTTGTTTGACCATCAGTAAGCTCCTGACCTTTGAGCCTTCCTCATTTGTAAAACGGTTTTTATAGGTGACATCAAGGTTCTGTGAAGTAACGGAAAATGTTTGGCAGCACCAAAGCGCTTTCTAAGAGATGAATACTGCCATGTTCAAAACCCTCTTTCATAGTTTGTAGTCCTTTTTTTTTTTTTTTTTTTTGAGACAGAGTCTCGCTCTGTCGCCCAGGCTGGAGTGCAGTGGCGTGATCTCTGCTAACTGCAACCTCTGCCTCCTGGGTTCACGCCATTCTCCTGCCTCATCCTCCGGAGTAGCCGGGACTACAGGCGCCCGCCACCACGCCTGGCTAGTTTTTTGTATTTTTAGTAGAGACAGGGTTTCACCGTGTTAGCCAGGATGGTCTGGATCTCCTGACCTCGTGATCTGCCTGCCTCCCAAAGTGCTGGGATTACAGGCGTGAGCCACTGCGCCCGTCCTATAGTTTGTGCTCTTTTTTATTCAAATACAGAGTGAGCCACGATGATTGCTCTTATGCTAATAGGAACTCTAAGATACTTTCTGGCCCAAGTATAGATGGAAAAAATACAACAAATACCAGCCTAACAGAATTTTGGGATGTACCCTGAAGGTGGCAAACCAATACAGAGGGTGTTAATTCAGCCTCAGCCAAGCATGGATGCTTGGACATAGGTGTTTTTGTGGTCCTGATAGGAAAACTGGTTTTATATGGACACAGGGCCCAGTTGTGACAAACTAGGTAGAAATGTGATGACATCTTCAGGATTGGTGTCAAGTTATAGCCCTCTTACCTAACTTAGATTGATGCACCATACATAGAAAGATCCATTGGCTTGGGGAAGCAATGTCAGGTTGGCATTTTCATAGCTTATTTCTCAAAAGCCTAGTAGTGAATGTATATTACTGGTTGTATCCTAACATTTTCTCCAGAGAGTGGCTGTTAATTGCTGCATGTCTGTAAGCATGAACTGGAAGGGTCTTTTCCATCTGTGGCAGTATGTATGTTTTGGAAGCAGCTCTTTGGTTCTCTTGGAAACATTATTTCTGCCTGGGCATCTTGGAACAACCAGAATCTTGCCCATAAGAAATTTAGAGACCTTGACTTAAAACCTTGAGGCATGGTCTGTGAGTATTTTTCTTGTGCTGCAAACCTTGGACATCACTGACCCTCGCAAGATAGGGGGAGGTTCTCACTTGAGGAGAGTCCCCTGGAATAAAAGTGTTTGATTGAAGAGCATATTACAGGCTACCTGCCTGCCTCAGAGCAACTCAAGAGTCCCCAAGATGGGAGAGGGTACTGTGTAGGAATATTCATTTAACAGTATGCAATAGTATAAGGCCAGACGTCGTAGCTCACACCTGTAATCCAGCACTTTGGGAGGCTGAGGCAGGAGGATCACCAGAGGTCAGGAGTTTGAGACCAGCCTGCCCAACATGGCAAAACCCAATCTCTACTAAAAATACAAAAAATTAGCTGGGCGTGGTGGCAGGCACTTGTAATCCCAGCTACTTGGGAGGCTGAGGCAGGAGAATCACTTGAACCTGGGAGGCAGAGGTTGCAGTGAACTGAGACTGCGCCACTGCACTCAAGCCTGGGCGACAAGGGCGAAACTCTGTCTCAAAAAAAAAAAAAAACAGTAGGCAATAGTACAGCCTAGGGAACCATACAAGATTGTAGGTGATCATGGTACCAAGAGTAGGCCTGCTCACAATGAAAAGGCCCCTTTTGATATGAGACAGACTCAACATCTTGGAAGCATTTTATCAAGCGCCAATAGAGGCTGGATATATGACTAAACACCGTGGGGTGGAGGGGGCCGGGAGAGTGGGATTTGCCAGGGAGTAAATGAGCTCCATTATTGTGAGGGCAGACAGATTGTGATAATTGGGCATCAGTATATCTTAGTTACACATGCCAGAATGATGGTTTGCATGACAGAAGTACAGTGGGCCTTGTGGAGGTTATTTGTGATGCATCCTGGGGCAAAAGTTCGGGGGTGGAAGAGCCATCAATTTTAAGGAAGAAATCATTTAGAAACTGAAATTTGGGCTGTGAAGGTGCTAAGAGAAGAAAGATGTGTTCCAAGTATTGGAGGGAGACCTCTTGGGCCTCAAAGGGCCTCTGTACAGAGGATGTTTAACATGGAGTCTGGTGATAAGAATGGGGTAGCAGAGCTGGGTGCAGTGCTGGGCAGTGTTGAATGGGACTTGTATTCAGAGCCCAGGCATCAGTTTACCCTTCTACCACAGGAGGGTGAGGATGTACCCGGATGTGAAAGGAGTACTCTCTCACCTTACGTGATGCATTATTTCAGACATTTCTTGAGTAGTAAAGGCACAGCCAAAAGGGCTTTCCTGTCATCTCAGGCCTTGCCTAACAGCCAGCATGGTGTCTTTTCCTACCTACCAACTCAAAATACAGATTTGTTTCCATGGTTTCCACATTATAGCAGAAAATTTACTTAGTCTTGTATCTTCCTCTCTCGCCTGTATGCCTGGTAGGATGTTATTTAAAATTTGATTTCTTCCCTCCTGTCTGCTTTCTTTCCTAGTAGAATGTTATTTATAATTAAACACTTTTATAAGCTACAGAGTTATTTTTGACTTGACATTTTGAATTATGCCACTTGGTTCAGTTCTAGTATCTGTTTTGTTTTTTTGTTTTTTTCCTAATTGAGTCAAGGTCTCACTGCCTAGGCTGCAGTGCAGTGGCACAATCTCTGCTTACTGCAACCTCCGCCTCCCGGGCTCAAGCAGTCCTCCCACCTCAGTCTCCCAAGTAGCTGGGACTACAGGCGTGCACCACCACAGTCAGCTAATTTTTTTTTTTTTTTAAATGGAGTTTCGCTCTTGTTGGCCAGGCTGGAGTGCAGTGGTGCAATCTCAGCTCATTGCAACCTCCACTCATTGCAACCTCCGCCTCCTGGGTTCAAGCGATTCTCCTGCCTCAGCCTCCTGAGTAGCTGGGATTACAGGCATGCTTCACCACGCCCAGCTAATTTTGTATTTTCAGTAGAGATGGGGTTTCTCCACATTTGTCAGGCTAGTCTCGAACTTCCGACTTCAGGTGATCCGCCCGCCTTGGCCTCCCAAAGTGCTGGGATTACAGGCGTGAGCCACCGCACCCAGCCCACACTCAGCTAAGTTTTATTTTATTTATTTTTTTTTTTTTTAGAGATGGAGGCTCGCTTTGTCGCCCATGCTGGAGTGCTGGAGTGCAGTGGCACGATCTTGGCTCACTGCAACCTTTGCCTCTCGAGTTCAAGCAATTCACCTGCCTTAGCCTCTCCAGTAGCTGGGACTACAGGCGCACGCTGCCGTGCCTGGCTAATTTCTTTCGTATTTTAGTAGGGACGGGGTTTCACCATGTTGCCCAGGCTGGTCTCGAACTCCTGAGCTCAGGCAGTCAGCCCGCCTCAGCCTCCCAAAGTGCTAGGATTACAGGCATGAGCCACCGCGCCTGGCCACACTCAGCTAATTTTTAAGGTGTTTTTGTAGAGGTGGGTTCTCAGATTTTCAATTTTGAGAAATTTCAACCTAAAATAATTTAAATATACTCTCATTTGAGCTTGATGCTCATAAAAGTGAATACTCGGCCGGGTGTGGTGGCTCATGCCTGTAATCCCAGCACTTTGGGAGGCCGAGGCAGGCGGATCACGAGGTCAGGAGATCAAGACCATCCTGGCTAACATGGTGAAACCCCGTCTCTACTAAAAGTACGAAAAATTAGCCAAGCGTGGTGGCGGGCGCCTGTAGTCCCAGCTGCTCAGGAGGCTGAGGCAGGAGAATGGCATGAACCCGGGGGCAGAGCTTGCAGTGAGCCAAGATCTTGCCACTGAACTCCAGTCTGAGCAACAGAGTAAGACTCCGTCTCAACAAAAAAAAAAAAAAAAAAAAAAAAAAAAAAAAAGGCCAGGCGCGGTGGGTCACGCCTGCAATCCCAACACTTTGGGAGGCCGAGGCGGACGGATCATGAGGTCAGGAGATCCAGACCATCCTGGCTAACACAGTGAAACCCCGTCTCTACTAAAAATACAAAAAATTAGCCGGGTGTGATGGCGGGCACCTGTAGTCCCAGCTACTTGGGAGGCCAAGGCAGGAGAATGGTGTGAACCCGGGAGACGGAGCTTGCAGGGAGCAGAGATCGCGCCACTGCACTCTAGCCTGGGCGACAGAGCAAGACTACATCTCAAAAAAAAAAAAAAAAAAGAAAAAAGAAAAAATGTAAATACTCCTGTGTTTTACTGTTTTAGACCGTCTGCCATTTCAATGGTCTGCCATTTCAATGTACTATGGTAAGTGTCACTTTTTCTAAAAGTGGGTGGGGGGATTAACCTTGCACTCTTGTGGTTGTTTTTCCCATTACAGGTAGAGTTGGCTTTGTGGGACACAGCTGGGCAGGAAGATTATGATCGCCTGAGGCCCCTCTCCTACCCAGATACCGATGTTATACTGATGTGTTTTTCCATCGACAGCCCTGATAGTTTAGGTGAGTGGCCCTGCACCCTGATATTTGTCACTGCCTGTGTAGCTAGTTGGCATCTGGTTTCTGGGCATCAAGTGGCTGAAAAGCAGACATGAACTTCAGAGAAGCAATCATCGTCAGTGGCCGGAGTCCTGGAGTTTGGGATTGTAGAGCGTGGGCCTTGGGTCCCTTTCAGCCTAGGTCTCCCATGGGTACTGTATTTAAAATGTATCCACCTAGGCAGGGCACGGTGCCTGACACCTATAATCCCTGCGCTTTGGGAGGTCCAGACGGGTGGATCACCTGAGGGTCAGGAGTTCAAGACCAGCCTGGCCAACATGGTGAAACCCCGTCTTTACTAAAAGTACAAAAAAATTAGCCAGGCATGGTGGTGCACGCCTGTAGTCCCAGGTACTTGGGAGGCTGAGGCAGGAGAATCGTTTGAACCTGGTAGGTGGAGATTGCAGTGAGCCGAGATTATGGCACTGCATTCCAGACTGAGCAACAGAGCAAGACTCTATCTCAAAAATAATAATTATTATTATTATTACTAAATAATATTAAATGTTATTTAAAAATCTAACTGCCTTGTAAACTAGATGAATTCCAGATACAAAGATGAGTAAACTAAGGCTGGTGCGGCGGCTGACACCTGTAATCCTAGCACTTTGGGAGGCCGAGGCTGGCAGATCACCTGAGGTCAGGAGTTTGAGACCAGCCTAGGCAACATGGTGAACCCCTTGTCTCTACTAAAATACAAAAATTAGCTGGGTGTGGTGGCGTGCACTTGTAATCCCAGCTATTCCAGGGGCTGAGGCAGGAGAATCACTTGAGCCTGGGAAGCAGAAGTTGCAGTGAGCCAAGATCATGCCACTGTACTGCAGACTCCATCTCCCAAAAAAAAAGATGAGCAAACTAGATGAGTTCCAAATGTAAAGCCATCTCTTTTGGGGAAAGACTTTCTTTTTTTTGGTTGCCCTGTCTTAGCCTTTTTCTGAAGTGTCTTAGCTGATAGAAGCTTGAATGTGATCATTTCATTAGCCTAAACACAGCCACATAATTCAGAAGTCAGTAAGTCAGTATTCTTTTTTTTTTTTTTTTTTTTTTTTGAGAGGGAGTCTTGCTCTGTCTCCCAGGCTGGATTGCAGCAGCTTGATCTCAGCTCACTGCAAGCTCTGCCTCCTGGGTTGATGCCATTCTCCTGCCTCAGCCACCCAAGTAGCTGGGACTACAGGTGGCCACCACCACGCCCGGCTAATTTTTTGTATTTTTTAGTAGAGATGGGATTTCACCACGTTAGCCAGGATGATCTTGATCTCCTGACCTCGTGATCCGCCTGCCTCGGCCTCCCAAAGTGCTGGGATTACAGGCGTGAGCCACTGCGCCTGGCCCAGAAGTCAGTATTCTTTAGAAAAAGACTGAAGAATGCTAACCTGACATTCTGTGAAACCAGGCTTGAAAAAACTTGCTTTAGGTTTGTGCTGAAGATGATGAGGTATCTATTAATAAACTTGTGCTGCAGCCCTCCCTGTCATGACAGGGCAGCAGGTGGGTCAAGGATGTTGTCGTCATTACCACAAACAGCCTTTGAGGGTCTGCTTGTGGCCTCGGGTTGCCTGGATAGTTAGTGTTAGAGTGATTGTGTTGTTATGGTTGTCCCTACCTTAATGATGATAACTGGGGTTGCTCCAAGATATTGAGCCACTTGTTTAAGGTCATGCTGGCCCAAGGAGCTGAGCTAAGATTGAGTCCTCTGTGCAGTATGTCCCAGGACAGAGAAAGAGCACGTATTCCATGCCGTTGGTTCACTTAGATCATTTTCAGCAGTTATGATTGATTGATTGATTTAGAGGCGGGGTCTCGCTCTGTTGCCCAGGCTGGAGTTGAGTGGCACAATCTTGGCTCACTGCAACCTCCGCCTTCCAGGTTCAAGCAAATCTCCTGTCTCAGCCTCCCAAGTAGCTTGGACTACAGGCATACGCCCCCACGCCTGGGTGATTTTTGTATTTTTAGTAGAGACCGGGTTTCTCCGTGTTGGCCAGGCTTCTCTCAAACTTCTGACCTCTGGTGATCCACTCACCTTGGCCTCCCAAAGTGCTGGGATTACAGGTGTGAGCCACCACACCCAGCCTAGTTTTGGTTTTCAAACTAATATGACTTCCTTTTGTGAAGCTGCTGGAAGGCCCTGGAGGCTGGGCAGAGCTTTAGGCCACAGAGAAAATTTGAGCTAGTTGACACTCTCCTATCAGATACACACATAAATAACTTCACCTAGATCCTATTGGAATGAGAAGGACTGTGTGCCTTTGCCCTCGTTATCTAGTGTATAATTCTTGAGGGAAAAAACTGCCTCCAGAGCAAAACATTTTGTCTCTTCAGTCTCACTTTTTTCTTTTTGAGACAGGGTCTCGCTTTCTTGCCCAGTCTTGAGTGCAGTTGCAGATTCAGTTTACTGCTGCCTCGACCTCCTGGGCTCAAACAATCCTCCCATCTCAGTCCCCACCCAGTAGTTGGTACTACAGGCACACACTGCTGCGCTTGGTTAATTTTTATATTTTTTAGGCCGGGCATGGTGGCTCACGCCTGTAATCCCAGCACTTCGGGAGGCTGAGGTAGGCGGATCACCTGAGGTCAGGAGTTCGAGACCAGCCTGGCCAACATGGTGAAATCCTGTCGCTACTAAAAATACAAAACTTAGCCAAGTATGGTGGCATGTACCTGTAATCCCAGCTACTCAGGAGGCTGAGGCAGGAGAATTGCTTGAACCTGGGAGGCAGAGGTTGCAGTGAGCCGAGATCGCATCACTGCACTCCAGCCTAGGTGACAGAGTGAGACTCTTGTCTCAAAAAAAAAAAAAAAAAAAGTTTGAAAATTTATTCACCAAAAGTGGCGACAGTCAATTTATTCAAATTCTATGTACCTCAAACTCCAGGAAGGGGGTAGACTATTGGTATAATTTCACATATTCAGGAAATAACTACAGCACCTACTAACAGAACATCTATTCTAGGCCAGGCACTGTGGCTCACACCTGTAATCCCACCACTTTGGGAGGCCAAGGTGGGTGGATCCTGAGGTCAGGAGTTCAAGACCAGCCTGTCCAACATGGTGAATCCCTGTCTCTACTAAAAATACAAAAAAATCATCCGGGCGTGGTGGCGAGTGCCTGTAATCCCAGCTACTCGGGAGGCTGAGGCAGGAGAATTGCTTGAACCCGGGAGGCAGAGGTTGTAGTGAGCTGAGATTGCGCCACTGCGCTCCAGCCTGGGCGACAGAGCAAGAGTCCATCTAAAAAAAAAAAAAAAAAACTTCTGTTCTAGATGAGGGAAGACAGAATAGGCTCCCCTCAATGCCCCCAAAAAAGTAAATCAGAAAATAACAACAGTAAACCCAGTAACAGTAAATATTACAAATAACATTTGTAGAGGTGGGTCATGGTTGTATGCTGTTTTGTTTTATTTATTTTTATTTTTGTTTTTTTGAGACAGACTTTTGCTCTTGTCACGCAGGCTGGAGTGCAATGGTGCGATCTCAGCTCACTGCACTCCGCCTCCCGGGTTCAAGCACTTCTTCTGCCTCAGCCTCCCAAGTAGCTGGGATTACAGGCATGCACCACCATGCCTGACTAATTTTTGTATTATTAGTAGAGACAGGGTTTCAACATGTTGGCCAGACTGGTCTCAAACTCCTGATCCACCTGCCTCGGCCTCCCAAAGTGCTGAGATTACAGGCCTGATGAGCCACTGCACCTGGTCTATTTATTTTTATTTATTTATTTATTTATTTATTTTGAGACGGAGTCTCGCTCTGTCGCCCAGGCTGGAGGGCAGTGGCACGATCTTGGCTCACTGCAACCTCCACCTCCCTGGTTCAAGGAATTTCCCTGCCTCAGCCTCCCTAGTAGCTGGGATTACAGGTGTGCACCACCATGCCCAGTTAATTTTTTTGTTTTGTTTTGTTGTTTTTGAGACGGAGTTTCGCTCTTGTTGCCCAGGCTGGAGTGCAATGGCACGATCTCGGCTCACTGCAACTTCCGCCTCCCGGGTTCAAGCGATTCTCCAGCCTCAGCCTCTCAAGTAGCTGGGATTGCAGGCATGTGCCACCACGCCCAGCTAATTTTGTATTTTTAGTAGAGACGGGGTTTCTCCATGTTGGTTATGCTGGTCTCCCAACTCCCGACCTGAGGTGATCCACCCGCCCCGGCCTTCACAGTGCTGGGATTATAGGCATGAACCACTGCGCCTGGCAATCTTTTTGTATTTTTAATAGAGATGGGGTTTCACCATGTTGGCCAGACTGGTCTCGAACTCCTGACCTAACGCGATCCACCTGCCTCAGCCTCTCAAAGTTTTGGGATTATAGACGTGAGCCACTGCGCCCAGCCTATTTATTTGTTTTTAAGAGATGAAGTCTCACTTTGTCACCCTGGCTGGAGTGCAGTAGTAGCGTGATCATAGCTCACTGCTACCTTGAATCCTGGACTCCAGTGATCCTCCCACCTCAGCCTCTCAAGTAGGTGGGAATGCAGGCACATGTACCACTGTAAACTGCTAAGTTTTTGTATGTTTTTGTGGAGATGGGGTTTTTGACTTTTTTGATACAGAGTCTCACTCTGTTGCCCAGGCTGGAGTGAGTGTAGTATTGCGATCTCGACTCATCACAACCTCCACCTCCTGGGTTCAAGTGTTTCTTCTGCCTCAGCCTCCCAAGTAGCTGGGACTATAGGTGCACACCACTGCGCCCGGCTAATTTTAGTAATTTTAGTAGAGATGAGGTTTCGCCATGTTGGCCAGGCTGGTCTCGAACTCCTGACCTCTGGTGATCCACCCACCTAAGCCTCCCAAAGTGCTGGGATTACAGGCACGAGCCACCACGCTGTCTGGAGATGGGGTTTAGCCATGTTGCATAGGCTGTTCTTGAGCTCCTAGGCCCAAGCTGTCTACTTGCCTTAGCCTCTCAAAAGTGCTGGAATTACAAGTATGAGTCACCACGCCCAGCCTCTTTTGGTTATTTTCAAAAGTCACTTTTTTTTATTTGAGACGGAGTCTTGCTCTGTCGCCCAGGAGTGCAGTGGCGCGATCTCAGCTCATGGCAAGCTCTGCCTCCCGGGTTCACACCATTCTCCTGCCTCAGCCTCCTGAATAGCTGGGACTACAGGTGCCCACCACTACACCCGGCTAATTTTTTTTGTATTTTTAGTAGAGACGGGGTTTCACTGTGTTAGCCAGGATGGTCTCGATCTCCTGACCTCATGATCCGCCCACCTTGGCCTCCCAAAGTGCTGGGATTACAGGCATGAGCCACCGCTCCCGGCCAAAAGTCACTCTTCAGCCATTTGAAATACCAGTAAACCCCATAGGGTAGAAGTTATGCTGAGAGTTGATGAACAAGTTAGAAAAAGAACATGTGGACCCTGGGTCAGCTGCTGCCCTAGAATGGGGACCCCTTCTGTAAGCTATGTCAGAATCATCTACCAGCAGTGACAGATGTCCTGTAAAGTGCCTGCCTTTGTGGGGCAGGAAGTGCCCCCCGTGAAACTACCTTGTGTTGTGGATCTTTTGCTCCTCCAGAGCCCTTACTCGGGCCCCACCTACAGAGATGCTCAGCACCACTCTTGGCTGGACTGAGAAAAAGCTGTTGGTTCTCTGTTTAAAGGAAAGGGATTATATTTCCTTTTTATGGTTTTGAAACTAGTGAGTTTCATTAAATGTCTAGCATTTTTCTGAAGCCACAAAGAAAGTGTCTCTGCAATTTCACTGAGGTTCTTGGAAAGTCTTCAAGATAGAATTGTATGTATCCCCAAATTCTCTACATTTTTCTTTCAGAAAACATCCCAGAAAAGTGGACCCCAGAAGTCAAGCATTTCTGTCCCAACGTGCCCATCATCCTGGTTGGGAATAAGAAGGATCTTCGGAATGATGAGCACACAAGGCGGGAGCTAGCCAAGATGAAGCAGGCATGATCTGGGGCAGGACTGTCTTGTAGTATTCTTGAACTAGGGCCCCAAGTTTGGAGGTTTGGGGAGCCCAGCAGGAACCTTCACAGGCCAGGTTGTTTTAGAGGCTCAGAAGCCCCTCTGTGGCCCTCTGACCCTCATTAATTGGGATCTTCACAGAAGATCCCTAAGATAGTTCACCAGTCCTGTGAGATGGAATGTTTTTTTATGAGGTAGTGCTATGCCCATAAGGACTGCTGGCCTGAGAATGAACCATTTCATTAGTAGCTAGTAATCAGTGGCTCTAGATGTAGGAACTTTCTTTTTTTTGATATGGAGTCTCATTCTGTCACCCAGGCTGGAGTGCAGTGGCGCAATCTCAGCTCACTGCAACCTCCGCCTCCGGGGTTCAAGCGATTCTTCTGCCTCAGACTCCCGAGTAGCTGGGACTACAGGCACCCTCCACCATGACCGGCTAATTTTTTTTTTTTTTAATAGATGGGGTTTCACCCTGTTGGCCAGGCTGGTCTTGAACTCCTTACCTCAAGTGATCTGCCCACTTTTGCCTCCCAAAGTGCAGGGATTACAGGTGTGAGCCACTGTGCCTGGCCTCTGTTAGACTCTTTATTTTTATTTTTTGAGACACAGTTTTGCTTTTGTCACCCAGGCTGGAATGCAGTGATGCTATCTCGGCTGCAACCTCAGCCTCCAAGGTTTAAGTGATTCTCCTGCCTCAGCCTCCCAAGTTGCTGGGATTACAGGCATGTGCCACCACGCCTGGCTAATTTTTGTATTTTTAGTAGAGACGGGTTTTCTCCATGTTGGTCAGGCTGGTCTCAAACTCCTGACCTTAGGTGATCTGCCCGCCTTGGCCTCCCAAAGTGCTGGGATTACAGGTGTGAGCCACCACGCCCGGGCCTGTTAGACTCTTGATTGCCTTCCCCAGCTATTACTTTGGTACATGTGAGGCCAAAGATAAATTAGTGGCAACTGAAAGATAAGGAAATCTTGAAGGCTGGGAGTCCAGATAGAAAGCCCTAATGCCTTCCCTCTCCTCCACTCCCAATGCCTTTTTAAAAGTGATGATGGATGTGGCATCTTGGCCTCTCAGAAACCAGCTGGCCTAATGGCAGGGCTTCCTCACTGGAGGAGAAGCATTGAGATCTTCAACCTAAGTTCTCTTACTCAGGTTTCTCTGTCTGAATGTCAAGGGTAGGCTTTATTTCCTTCAGGGCATTTAGTCCTGGATTGGTAGCTTGAGTAATTTTGCTCTTGATTGACTCCTTAACCTTCCAGGGCTCCTCTGACCTCTTCCCTCTACTTCCCAGTGAATACCATGTTTATTAGAGATTTTATGTTTGGTAGGGGGTAGTTACCATATGTCAGTTTAAAAATTTCATAAGTTTAGCAGTTTGTTGTTTTTTTTTTTTGTTTTGTTTTTTTTGAGAAGGAGCCTCACTGTGTCGCCAGGCTGGAGTGCTGTGGCACGATCTTGGCTCAACTGCAACCTCCGCCTCCCAGATTTAAGCGATTCCCCTGCCTCAGCCTCCTGAGTAGCTGGGGTTACAGGCGCCCACTACCACACCCAGGTGATTTTTTGTATTTTAGTAAAGAGGGGTTTCACCATGTTGGCCAGGATGGTCTTGATCTCCTAAACTCGTGATCCGCCCAGCTCAGCCTCCCAAAGTGCTGGGATTACAGGTGTGAGCCACCACACCCAGCCAAGTTTAACAGCTTTTGAAAGTCTTTTTTTTTTTTAGGCTGGGTACAGTGGCTCATGCCTGTATCCCAGCACTTTGGGAGGCCGAGGTGGGCAGATCACTTGGTCAGGAGTTCGAGACCAGCCTGGCCAAAATGGTGAAACCCCATCTCTACTAAAAAATTACTTGGGCGTGGTGGTGGGCACCTGTAGTCCCAGCTACTCGGGAGGCTGAGGCGGGAGAATCCCTTGAACCCAGGAGGTGGAGGTTGCAGTCAGCTGAGATCATGCCATTGCCCTCCAGCCTGGGCGACCGACGAGCAAAACTGTCTCAAAAAAAGAAAAAAAAATCTTTTAGATGAATTTGAATACTTTTTACTTACTATATGTATGCCACACTATTAGCTAAAAGGACTATTTTTTTTTCTTTGCTAGGAGCCGGTGAAACCTGAAGAAGGCAGAGATATGGCAAACAGGATTGGCGCTTTTGGGTACATGGAGTGTTCAGCAAAGACCAAAGATGGAGTGAGAGAGGTTTTTGAAATGGCTACGAGAGCTGCTCTGCAAGCTAGACGTGGGAAGAAAAAATCTGGGTGCCTTGTCTTGTGAAACCTTGCTGCAAGCACAGCCCTTATGCGGTTAATTTTGAAGTGCTGTTTATTAATCTTAGTGTATGATTACTGGCCTTTTTCATTTATCTATAATTTACCTAAGATTACAAATCAGAAGTCATCTTGCTACCAGTATTTAGAAGCCAACTATGATTATTAACGATGTCCAACCCGTCTGGCCCACCAGGGTCCTTTTGACACTGCTCTAACAGCCCTCCTCTGCACTCCCACCTGACACACCAGGCGCTAATTCAAGGAATTTCTTAACTTCTTGCTTCTTTCTAGAAAGAGAAACAGTTGGTAACTTTTGTGAATTAGGCTGTAACTACTTTATAACTAACATGTCCTGCCTATTATCTGTCAGCTGCAAGGTACTCTGGTGAGTCACCACTTCAGGGCTTTACTCCGTAACAGATTTTGTTGGCATAGCTCTGGGGTGGGCAGTTTTTTGAAAATGGGCTCAACCAGAAAAGCCCAAGTTCATGCAGCTGTGGCAGAGTTACAGTTCTGTGGTTTCATGTTAGTTACCTTATAGTTACTGTGTAATTAGTGCCACTTAATGTATGTTACCAAAAATAAATATATCTACCCCAGACTAGATGTAGTATTTTTTGTATAATTGGATTTCCTAATACTGTCATCCTCAAAGAAAGTGTATTGGTTTTTTAAAAAAGAAAGTGTATTTGGAAATAAAGTCAGATGGAAAATTCATTTTTTAAATTCCCGTTTTGTCACTTTTTCTGATAAAAGATGGCCATATTACCCCTTTTCGGCCCCATGTATCTCAGTACCCCATGGAGCTGGGCTAAGTAAATAGGAATTGGTTTCACGCCTGAGGCAATTAGACACTTTGGAAGATGGCATAACCTGTCTCACCTGGACTTAAGCATCTGGCTCTAATTCACAGTGCTCTTTTCTCCTCACTGTATCCAGGTTCCCTCCCAGAGGAGCCACCAGTTCTCATGGGTGGCACTCAGTCTCTCTTCTCTCCAGCTGACTAAACTTTTTTTCTGTACCAGTTAATTTTTCCAACTACTAATAGAATAAAGGCAGTTTTCTAAACTTCCTGTATCCTGTTGTTTGTGTTGCTCTCTCCAGGGCTGGGGGTAGGAGGATGCAAGGACTTCCTGGCCTAGCTCACCCTGGAGAGGTTTGTTGAGTGCAAAGGACTAGCTTGTGCCCCACCTCCCACCCACCCAGCAGCTAATCTGGTCCCTCCCAACAACATGGAAATGATTACCCTGTACCGCATTCTGGTTCAGATTTGGGGGTAGGGTGAATGCAGCCTGAGGAGGCCAGGGAGGGAGGACTCCGGCAGCGTTTCCTTGGCCTCGGCGAGCTACTGGGCTCCACTTAAGGAGGCTGGGGCAGAGCTTCCAGGACTCTGCCCGGTTAGAAAACCCGCACGAGGGCGGTGCCGCTTTGGAGACAGGGAGGAGGGAGACCGGAAGCCTAGATCCCTCTGGCTGTCCCCTGCACTGCCGGTAACATGGCACAGGAGAGGAGGGCTGTTTGTGCACGGGCAGCTCCTGCAGCTGCTGCCGTCGCCCACCAGCCTCCTATGCCAAACCCCACATCCTAACTCAGGAACCTCTGAGAAAAAACGGAGCCCTCGAGGGCCCCAGCCCTTGGAAGGGTAACCTGGACCGCTGCCGCCTGGTTGCCTGGGCCAGACCAGACATGCCTGCTGCTCCTTCCGGCTTAGGAGGAGCACGCGTCCCGCTCGGGCGCACTCTCCAGCCTTTTCCTGGCTGAGGAGGGGCCGAGCCCTCCGGGTAGGGCGGGGGCCGGATGAGGCGGGACCCTCAGGCCCGGAAAACTGCCTGTGCCACGTGACCCGCCGCCGGCCAGTTAAAAGGAGGCGCCTGCTGGCCTCCCCTTACAGTGCTTGTTCGGGGCGCTCCGCTGGCTTCTTGGACAATTGCGCCATGTGTGCTGCTCGGCTAGCGGCGGCGGCGGCGGCGGCCCAGTCGGTGTATGCCTTCTCGGCGCGCCCGCTGGCCGGCGGGGAGCCTGTGAGCCTGGGCTCCCTGC
Organism: Homo sapiens; assembly: GCF_000001405.40. NCBI lineage: Eukaryota > Metazoa > Chordata > Mammalia > Primates > Hominidae > Homo > Homo sapiens. The sequence goes on along the minus strand of NC_000003.12, from coordinate 49,358,172 downwards.
GGGGCAAGGTACTACTTATCGAGAATGTGGCGTCCCTCTGAGGCACCACGGTCCGGGACTACACCCAGATGAACGAGCTGCAGCGGCGCCTCGGACCCCGGGGCCTGGTGGTGCTCGGCTTCCCGTGCAACCAGTTTGGGCATCAGGTGCGCCGGGCGGAGCGGGGCGGGGCGGGGGCGGACGTGCAGTAGTGGCTGGGGGCGCCGGCGGTGTGCTGGTGGGTGCCGTCGGCTCCATGCGCGGAGAGTCTGGCTACTCTCTCGTTTCCTTTCTGTTGCTCGTAGCTGCTGAAATTCCTCTCCGCCCTTGGGATTGCGCATGGAGGGCAAAATCCCGGTGACTCATAGAAAATCTCCCTTGTTTGTGGTTAGAACGTTTCTCTCCTCCTCTTGACCCCGGGTTCTAGCTGCCCTTCTCTCCTGTAGGAGAACGCCAAGAACGAAGAGATTCTGAATTCCCTCAAGTACGTCCGGCCTGGTGGTGGGTTCGAGCCCAACTTCATGCTCTTCGAGAAGTGCGAGGTGAACGGTGCGGGGGCGCACCCTCTCTTCGCCTTCCTGCGGGAGGCCCTGCCAGCTCCCAGCGACGACGCCACCGCGCTTATGACCGACCCCAAGCTCATCACCTGGTCTCCGGTGTGTCGCAACGATGTTGCCTGGAACTTTGAGAAGTTCCTGGTGGGCCCTGACGGTGTGCCCCTACGCAGGTACAGCCGCCGCTTCCAGACCATTGACATCGAGCCTGACATCGAAGCCCTGCTGTCTCAAGGGCCCAGCTGTGCCTAGGGCGCCCCTCCTACCCCGGCTGCTTGGCAGTTGCAGTGCTGCTGTCTCGGGGGGGTTTTCATCTATGAGGGTGTTTCCTCTAAACCTACGAGGGAGGAACACCTGATCTTACAGAAAATACCACCTCGAGATGGGTGCTGGTCCTGTTGATCCCAGTCTCTGCCAGACCAAGGCGAGTTTCCCCACTAATAAAGTGCCGGGTGTCAGCAGAACTGTGTGTATGTCCTGTGTCATTGTCATTTGGGAATTCTTTTTCTTTTCTTTTTTTTTTTTTTTTTTTGAGACGGAGTTTTTTGCTCTATTGCCCAGGCTGGAGTGCAGTGGCGCAATCTAGGCTCACTGCAAGCTCCGCCTCCCGGGTTCACGCCATTCTCCTGCCTCAACCTCCTGAGTAGCTGGGACTACAGGTGCCTGCCACCACGCCCGGCTAATTTTTTGTATTTTTAGTAGAGACAGGGTTTCACCGTGTTAGCCAGGATGGTATCGATCTCCTGACCTCGTGATCCACCCGCCTCGGCCTCCCAAAGTGCTGGGATTACAGGTATGAGCCACCGCACCCGGCCTGGCGATACTTTTTCTAACCTCATTGTCATAGTGGTGGGAACTTAATCCTCCTTCCCTTATCCTAGCCAAGTCTGAACTTTCTGTCCTTTTGTCTGCAGCGTGTAGGATCCACTCTTTCCTTTGTGGGAAGTCTGGCTCCTGGCCTGCATTTCTGCCTTCACCAGAACATGCAAAGGGCCATCTCAAGACCCAGTTACAACAAAGTCCTTACTTCAAAAAAGACACAAGGCAATGGTTGACTGCCTAACTCAAATGATAGACTTCTGACTACTTGCTGCACGCTGAAATGACTGTCACAAAATAACATGAGCCCCCACTCACATTTGGAGTCATGGCCTCTCCAATTGTTAGGTCCACACAATCCCATTTTACACGGAAGCTCATGCAATGTTATAAATTCTGTTATCTGGCTAGATCTTTCCATGTTGCTACCAAGTGCCTGTATCTGCTGTGACGATGATCTTACAAGTTTCTGCCTCATATATTCAAGAGTGAGAAAACTATAATTTAACTGGCCCTTCTGACTATGCCCTGCCCAACACTTAACGTGCAATTAATTGCACATTCAGGCCCAGGATAAGGGCTTGTCTTTGAAGCCAGCTGCTGCTTCTCGGGCACCACTCAGGTCCAGCCTCTCCATCTGTTGACCCTGCTGCCAATAATCTTTAATTTTTTTTTTTTTTTTTTTTTTTTTGAGACAGTCTTGCTCTGTTGCGCAGGCTGGAGTGCAGTGGTGTAATCTCGGCTCACTGCAAGCTCCGCCTCCCGGGTTCACGCCATTCTGCCTCAGCCTCCCGAGTAGCTGGGACTACAGGCGCCCGCCACCACGCCCGGCTAATTTTTTTCTGTTTTTTAGTAGACGGGGTTTCACCGTGTTAGCCAGGATGGTCTCGATCTCCTGACCTCGTGATCCACCCGCCTTGGCCTCCCAAAGTGCTGGGATTACAGGCTTGAGCAGCAATAATCTTTCAAGACAGATTTGGAGCCATTTCCTAACGCAGTGCAGGGGACTGCAGGGCCTGGGTGTAGCTTCCGCTTGTGCAAACAGGTACCCAGAGACATGGTAGTGCTGTTCACCCGCTGACTGTGGACCAGAGGTTCTGGAGTCCCAGCATTTGTGTTCAAATTCGTGACTCAAGGTCCTTCTTAGTCTGAACCAACTCTCAAGGACTTTTCCTCTTGCCCTAAGCAGTGATCTTTGCTGCTGCTTTCCCCCTTTGTCTGCCCTTAGGTCACTAAGGATTGTAGGGCCTTCTGGACCTGCTCTGGCTCCATCCTGAGAACTCCTGAACAGGCCCACCTCCCTCTGGTTCTCTCTGCCCCAGCCTTTGAGTCCCCCTTGGGGTGACCCAGGTAGAACTATCAGCTTCCCCTTTGGACCTCACTCTACTTGTGTTGTTCCTTGGAACTCTCAGGAGTCTCACTCTTGCCCAGGCTGGGGTGCAGTGGCATGATCTCAGCTCACTGCAGCCTCCACCTCCCAAGTTTAAGCGATTCTCCTGCCTCAGCCTCCCCAGTGGCTGGGATTACAGGTGCCTACCACCATGCCTGGCTACTTTTTAATATTTTTAGTAGAGATGGGATTTCGCCATGTTGGCCAGGCTGGTCTCAAACTCCTGACCTCAGGTGATCTGCCTGCCTAGGCCTCCCAAAGTGCTGGGATTACAGGCGTGAGCCACTGCGCCCTGCCAGAATGGAATGTTATTATATTAATAGATCAATATTTGTGATGAATATCATATGCCGGGCCCTGTGGGCCCTGAGATGGCTAGCCCCTGTACCCCTCCTAGACTGTTAACTTCTGGGGAAGAAGATTAGTCATTCATAAATGCAATCAAGGCTCCTGAGTGGCCATTCATGGACGCTCACGCCTATAATCCCAGCATTTTATAATCCCAAGTAATCCGAGGAGGGCAGATCACTTGAGGCAAGGAGTTGGAGACCAGCCTGACCGACATGGTGAAACCCCCGTCTCTACTAAAAATACAAAAATTAGCCAGGTGTGGTGTCGGGCGCCTGTAATCCCAACTACTCTGGAGGCTGAGGCAGGGAGAATTGCCTGAACCTGGGAGGCGGAGGTTGCAGTGAGCCGAGATTGCGCTATTACACTTTAGCCTGGGCAACAGAGCGAGACACTTTCTCAAAAAAAAAAAAAAAAAAAAAAAAAAAATCCACTCAAATGGTACCAAGGCTTTTTGACATTTGTAGACTTCAAATCTGACTCCTGGAATGGAGAATAGCAACCTGTAAATCTGGGTGGACCCAGATTGCCTGTGACCCCTAATGTCCTACATGTCTCTTCCCCAAAAGCACTTTGCTCCCTCATTCATTCATAATCCAGTCCTGTGCCGTGTGCTCTGCCAGGTGCCTGAAGAAGTCAGAAGGACAGTATATAATTATCAAAAAAGCATGTTTTGTGCTTTGAGAATAGGAAAAAAAGACAAGAAAAAAATTGTGCACCTTACACTAGTTAAAAAAAAAGAATAGGCCGGGTGCGGTGGCTCACGCCTGTAATCCCAGCACTTTGGGAGGCCGAGGCGGGCGGATCACGAGGTCAGGAGATCGAGACCATCCTGGCTAACAAGGTGAAACCCCGTCTCTACTAAAAAAATACAAAAAATTAGCCGGGCGTGGTGGCGGGCACCTGTAGTCCCAGCTACTCGGGAGGCTGAGGCAGGAGAATGGCGTGAACCCGGGAAGCGGAGCTTGCAGTGAGCCGAGATTGCGCCACTGCAGTCCGCAGTCCGACCTGGGCGACAGAGCGAGACTCCGTCTCAAAAAAAAAAAAAAAAAAAAAGAATAAAGAAGAGGACCAGGCCCAGTAGGGAGGCTCATGCATGCCTCCTGGAAAAAGTGACAGTGAGGCTGGGTGCGGTGGCTCACACCTGTGATCCCAGTACTTTGGGAGGCCAAGGTGGGCAGATGGCTTGATGGCTTGAGGTCAGGAGTTTGAGATGAGCCTGCCCAACACGGCGAAACCACGTCTCTATTAAAAATATGATAATTAGCTGGGCGTGGTGGCGGGCACCTGTAATCCCAGCTACTCAAGAGTCTGAAGCAGGAGAATCACTTGAACCCAGGAGGTGGAGGTTGCAGTGAGCCGAGATGGTATCACTGCACTCCAGCCTGGGCAACAGAGCAAGACTCCATCTCAAAAAGAAAAAGTGGCTGGGCGCGGTGGCTCACACCTGTAATCCCAGCACTTTGGGAGGCCAAGGTGGGCGGATGACAAGGTCAGGAGATCGAGACCATCCTGGCTAACACGGTGAAACCCTATCTCCACTAAAAATACAAAAAATTAGCTGGGCGTGGTGGCGAGCACCTGTAGTCCCAGCTACTCGGGAGGCTGAGGCAGGAGAATGGCGTGAACCTGGGGGGCGGAGCTTGCAGTGAGCCGAGATTGCACCACTGCACTCTAGCCTGGGTGACAGAGCGAGACTCCCTCTCAGAGAAAAAAAAAAAATTGAGACTGAAAAGAAGTCAAGAAGCAGTTGGTTAAAGAATAAGCTGATGGCGGGTGAGCAGGCAGGGAGTATAGTGTGTGAGATCCTGAGATGGGAAGGTGGCATTCTTGACTAAGTCAGCAACAGGAGGAGCAGGTTTTGGGGGTAGGTGGATGTGTTCAGATTCAGCTATACTGCATTAGACATCCAGACAGAGGTATCTGGGGCAGGCAGTTACAAGAGGCGCAGAAGAAGAGAATGTTGAAAGGCAATGGTCTAGCCACGGGAGCAGTAGCCACTGGAGAGGATGAGGTCACGTGGGGAAAGTGGCAAGAAAAAGATTAGGGGACCTGGGCCTGAGGCCTATAGATTCACAATCCTTCCAGATGAGATGGCAGAGAGAAATAGCTGGGGAGGAACAAGGTTGGAGCAAGGAGCCAAGGGAAGGGACAGTTCCTAAAGAATAGTTAGCTGGAACCCATGCTTCTGGACTGCCTGCAGTCTCGGGGCAGCTGGAACCAAAGCTAGAAAGCCATGTGTCTAGGAGGTACCAGGTCCTATTCTAGGAGATGAATATACAGTGCCCAGGAGTCACCCAGGTACTTGTGAAAATATATGTTCCACAACCCACCTCCAGAGACACCAAAGTGGAAAGTCTAGGGACCTAGGGTCCTACTCAGTGTTCTACCAGCTGGACCTGTGAGAAGAGACATCCCACTTCAACTCTCCCCTTTCCTGTACAGGGTCAATGTGGCCTAGGCCACACTCTCTGGTTAGGCTACAGGATAGGAACCCAGAACTTTCCAATAAACTCCAACTTCTCTCCAGGATGCCTGGTGATTGACCCCTCCTTGCCCCATGCCACCCCCACCATCTCAGTTTATGCCTTGGACTACGAGTGAAGGGAACTTTTTTTGGTTTCCCCTGAAATTACTCAGCTTCAGTAAAGGGAACTTCTGAACTCCCAGTATGCCTGATCCTGGCTGGAGAACATTTCTCCTCAGACTTTAAGCTGTATGCCTCCTCTCTCAACTAGAAGTCATTTCTTTCTTTTTTTTTTTTTGACAGGGAGTCTCGCTCTATTGCCCAGGCTGGAATGCAGTGGTGCAATTTCAGCTCACTCCAACCTGTCTCCCGGGTTCAAGCAATTCTCCTGCCTCAGCCTCCTGAGTACCCGAGACTAATTTTTTTGTATTTTTAGTAGAGGCAGGGTTTCACCATGTTGGCCAGGCTGGTCTTGGACTCCTGACTTCAAATGATCCACCCACCTGGGCCTCCCAAAGTGCTGGGATTACAGGCGTGAGCCACCATGCCCGGCCAGTCCTTTCTAACTCTCTCTTCTCCAGGAAGTTTCAGAGTAAAGCCAGTTAAGACTTCACTGTCTTCCCCCAACACACACAGACACACTCTCACACATACACATTCTTTTCATTCAACCATGCAACTGCTGCTGCTCTGACTGGTACCCACCCCACCCCATTGTGAATCAGCAGCTCAAATAAACAAGTAAAAGAGTAGAAATCACATTCAGCCTATGTGAAGTCCTGGCTTTAAAAGCAGAAATGGCTGCAGAGCATTGCTTGCACAGAAAACACATACAGCATTTAGGCCACTGACCTAGGTTCAGAAACTTCCATTTCAGCAGTTCTTACAGAAGGGCTGCTTTTGGGGTTTTTTTTCAAACATTAAATCTGATAAAATTAGGTCAGGCATTTCTTGCACAATTAGCAGTTGATCAAATGACTTCCTTATTCTGACTCAACGTAGTCCTAAAAACAACATTTAAAACAAGTTTATTTTCAGGCTCAGTGCAGTGGCTCACACCTATAATCCAAGCACTTTGGGAGGCTAAGGTGGGCAGATTGTTTGAGCTCAGGAGTTTGAGAACAGCCTGGGCAACATGGCGAAACACTGTTTCTACAAAAAAATACTGGCCAGGCAAGGTGGCTCATGCTTGTAATCCCAGCACTTTGGGAGGAAAAGGCGGGTGGATCATGAGGTCAGGAGTCCAGCCAATATGGTGAAACCCCGTCTCTACTAAAAATACGAAAATAAGCTGGGCATGGTGGTGTGCACCTATAGTCCCAGCTGCTCCAGAGGCTGAGGCAGGAGAATCGCTTAAACCTGGGAGGTGGAGGTTGCAGTGAGCTGAGATTGGGCCACTGCACTCCAGCCTGGGTAACAGAGCAAGACTCTGTCTCAAAAAAAAAAAAAAAAAAAAAAAGAGCCAAGCTTTGTGGCACATGACTGTGGTACCAGCCAGCTACTTGGGCAGCTGAGGTCAGAACATTGCTTAAGCCCAGGAGATCGAGGCTGCAGTGAGCTGATTGCGCCACTGTACTCCAGCCTGGAAGACAGAGTGAGACCCTGTCTCAAAATAAATAAAACAAGTTTATTTTCAGAAAAGCATTCCTGGCCTGATAAGTCTAATAAATCTCTTACATTTTAACTTTTGGATAAGATAGAGTAAAAAGTACTGGCTAAAGATCTCCCCAAGGGGCCAGGCATGGTTGCATGTACCTGTAGTCCCATCTACTCAGGAGGCTGAGGTGGGGGGAATCACTTGAGCCCAGAGGGTCAAGGCTGCAGTGAACTGAGATTGTGCCACTTCACTCCAGCCTGTGCGACTCCAGCCTGGGCTGTCTCAAAATAAACAAACAAAAAACCCCCCAAAAAACCAACCTGGCCAACATGGTGAAACCTTGTCTCTACCAAAAAATACAAAAATTAGACGAGTGTGAGGCGGGCGGATCATTTGAGGTCAGGAGTTTGAGATCAGCCTGGCCAACATGGTCAAACCCTATCTCTACTAAGAATACAAAAATTAGCTGGGCATAGTGGTGCCCTCCTGTAATCCCAGCTACTTGGGAGGCTGAGGTAGGAGAATTGCTTGAACCTGGGAGATCGAGGTTGCAGAAGCCAAGATTGTGCCACTGCACTCCAGTCTAGGTGACAGAGTGAGACTCCATCTCAAAAACAGAAACAAAATTAGTCGCACATGGTGGCGTGTGCCTGTAGTCCCAGCTACTTGGGAGGCTGAGGTGGGTGACTCGCTTGAACCCAGGAGGCGGAGGTTGCAGTGAGCTGAGATTGTGCCACTGCCCTCCAGCCTGGGCAACAGAGACAGACCCTGTCTCAAAAAAAAAAAAAAATTTTTTTCCCAAGAAAACACAGCATGGGTTTATAAAGAGCAGGCCATGATCCCTATCAGAGTACTCTGAATTGACATGTTTTTGTTACTGCACTCACGAAGTAAGCGGGAAGAGTATGCATTCACATACAGGTGTGACACACCTGGGCGGGCACTGAAATAAAGCCCAGCTCCAGCCAGCCACAGAGATTAATGGGTATCTGCCTCACATCAGACACTGACTGATTGGGAGCTGAGGGGGACAAATGTCAGAAGTCCTTGTCCAAGAAATGAGGTCTCATAGGCCTTGGCCCTGAAATGGTGTAATTCTCACTGCCTCTCAGAGAGGCTGTGTACAGAGACATTGCTTATCTCTACTCAACAGCCATTCCCAAGTCCTTCCTCCTGGCTGGCTGGCAGAATCTACTTTCCTGCTGTAAAGATAGGGGCAGGTGACCTAATCTTGGCTATGAAGAGATGCAGAGGCTCCTGGGAAAGCCCCCATGATCCCAGGAAACAGGATCTTGTTTCCTCTCTCCCTTCTCACTGGTGGGTGTTGTTGAGGGTACCCAAAATTCTGGGAGCAAGGCAGCCACGTTGGAGCTTTGAAGGCAAAGAACTAGAAGGCCCCAGATAAACAAACTGATGTCTTTCAGCTTTGACCTTCCCAAGAACTCAACTCCAGACGTGTCATGTGAAAAAACAAGAACCACCAAATAGGTGGGCCAATTGCTGCTGGGGATTCTGTTAGTTGCATCTAGAAGCATTGAGACTGACATGACATGACAGTGGTGTACTGGGCAGGGGTGCTAGGCAACTTGTTGGCCCTAACTGGCTGGCAGAATATTTTCCTAGCCAGCCTTACCTGTTGTAAATGTAAGGGCAGGTGACCTGATCTTGGCTGTGAAGAGACGCAGAGGCTCCTGGGAGACCCACTTTTAGTGCCCCTCACAGGTCCAGTGTAATTGTGGCCCTCAAGACCAGTAGAGGAGACCACAAAGCAAGCCCACTTGATCCAAATTCCTAGAGCTCTAGCAGCATTCAGGAACACATGTAGCTTACCCTCAGTGGTGTCCTACAGTTCTGAAGACCACCTGGCTTCATAGGGAAGCAAGTGAAGGGAATCTAAATCTCCCTGCAGCAGAATACCCCAGTCACCTTTGTCCCCAGCACATGACTGTGTGTGTGTGCATGTACATGTGAGTGAATCTAAAGTCCAGGTCTCATGCCAGGTACAGTGGCTCACGCCTATAATCCCAGCACTTTGGGAGGCCGAGGCAGGTGGATCACCTGAGGTAAGAAGTTCAAGACCAGTCTGGCCAACATCCAACATGGCAAAACCACATATCTTTTTCTTTTCTTTTTCTTTTTTTTTTTTGGAGTTTTGCTCTTGTTGCACAGGCTGGAGTGCAGTGGTGTGATCTCGTCTCACTGCAACCTCCACCTCCCAGGTTCAAGTGATTCTCCTGACTCAGGCTCCTGAGTAGCTGGGATTACAGGCGTCTGCCACCATGCCTGGCTAATTTTTTGTGTTTTTAGTAGAGATGGAATTTCACTATGTTGGCCAGGCTGGTCTTGAACTCCTGACTTCAGGTGATCCACCCGCCTCATCCTCCCAAAGTTATAGGGTTACAGGCGTGAGCCACCACGCCTGGCCTGGCGAAACCACATCTCTACAAAAAATACAAAAAAAAATTAGCTGTGTGTGGTGGCGCACGCCTGTAGTCCCCAGCTACTGGGGAGGCCGAGGCATGAGAATTGCTTGAACCCAGGAAGTGGAGGTTGCAGCGAGCCGAGATTGTGCCACTGCACTACAACCTGCGTGACAAAGTGAGACTCTGTCAAACACACACAAAAAAAAGTAATAAAAAAAATAGGCCGGGCATGGTGGCTCACGCCTGTAATCCCAGCACTTTGAGAGGCTGAGGCCGGCAGATCACCAGGTCAGGAGATCGAGACCATCTTGGCTAACATGGTGAAACCCCATCTCTACTAAACAAAATACAAAAAATGAGCCGGGCGTGGTGGCGGGAGCCTGTAGTCCCAGCTCCTCGGGAGGCTGAGGCAGGAGAATGGCAGGAGCCTGCGAGGCGGAGCTTGCAGTGAGCAGAGATGGCGCCACTGCACTCCAGCCTGGGCAACAGAGCGAGACTCTGTCTCAAAAAAAATAAATAAATAAAAAAATAAAGTCGGCTGTGTGGGGTGGCTCACGCCTGTAATCCCAGCACTTTGGGAGGCCGAGGCGGGCAGATCATGAGGTCAGGAGTTCAAGGCCAACCTGGCTAACACAGTGAAACCCTATCTCTACTAAAAATACAAAAAAAAAAAAAAAATTAGCTGGGCGTGGTGTCAGGTGCCTGTAGTCCCAGCTACTCAGGAGGCTGAGGCAGGAGAATGGCATGAACCCGGGAGGCGGAGCTTACAGTGAGCCAAGATTGCGCCACTGTGCTCCAGCCTGGGTGACAGAGTGAGACTCTGTCTTAAAAAAATAAATAAAAATAAAAAATAAAGTCCTGGTCTCCTGAGCATCCTTTGTGGATGTCATCATATACCCCCAAAGGCCAAAAGGAATATTAAGTATGCCTTTGCTTTCTACACTAGTTGCTTAAGTTTCCTTCCCAGGGAAGTATCTGCAAGCATGACCCTTCATGTTCTTGTGACACTTTTTTTTTTTTGAGGCAGAGTTTTGCTCTGTTGCCCAGGCTGGAGTGCAGTGGCTCGATCTCGGCTCACTGCAAGCTCTGCCTCCCGGGTTCACACCATTCTCCTGCCTCAGCCTCCCAAGTAGCTGGGACTACAGGTGTCCACCACCACACCGGGCTAATTTTTTTGTATTTTTAGTAGAGATAGGGTTTCACGGTGTTAGCCAGGACGGTCTTGATCTCCTAACCTCGTGATCTGCCCACCTCAGCCTCCCAAAGTGCTGGGATTCCAGGCGTGAGCCACTGCACCCGGCCCCTGTGACACTTTTACCACACAACATACAATACTGTATTACATATGTAACCATCCTTCATCCCTAACCACACTGTGAACCCTGGAGGGTAGGGACCATGAGCACATAATACTCAAGTACTATTAGTCCAGTGAAGAAATGACTAATAGCCGGATCATTCTTTCTTTCATTTATGCAAGAAATGCCTACTGAGAATTCGCACTGTGGAAAGGGCAAAGGATACACGCAAATTAACGTTAAATACTGGTTCATGGTTAAGACTGTGATGGTAATAGAATTACAGGAGGAAGACAAGACACTGGCGGCACCTGGGCCCAGGCTGCCACACCCTCTGCCCGAAGAGGGCTGGCCATCAACACAAGTGGCATAACCAGAATGGAATCTGTCCATTGGCACAACTCCTCCATATAAAAAAAGTGATCCCACTTCCTCTCTGTGAGACTTGTTCAGTTTTTTGCCTCTATTATCTTCTGCAAGAACCTAATCCTTATATAACAGAGGTTAGAAATCACTGAGAAGACATTTAATTCTTCTAAAGTGTGCTTCTAGAATCTTTTTCTTTTCACAGTCCCCTGGGCAGGTTAAGGAGGCACAGGTGAGAAGGAACCAAAAATATTTCTCCCCTGTTGCCACCTCCAATTAAAATATGTCTAATATTTGTGAATACTGCCACGTGTGCTCTGTTAGTGCTGGCCAAGTGTGGACCAAGAATAACTTGGGAGAGCCAAGTCCTATCAGGTGTAAAGAAAACTGTGGTAGCAGCTAAGACAAAAACCTTATGATTTGGAATAAAATAAAGCTTAAAGGCCAGGCGTGGTAGTTCAAGCCTGTAATCCAAGCACTTTGGGAGGCCGAGGCGGGTGGATCACCTGAGGTCAGGAGTTCAGGAACAGCCTGGCCAACATGGTGAAACCCCGTTTCTACTAAAAATACAAAAATCACCTGGGCGTGGTGGCCGGTGCCTGTAATCCCAGCTACTAGGGAGGCTGAGGCAGGAGAATCCCTTGAACCCAGGAGGCGGAGGTGGCAGTGAGCGGAGATTGCGCCACTGCATTCCAGGCTGGGTGACAGACTAAGACCTTGTTTCAAAAAAAAAAAAAAAAAAAAAGCATAAAGTTCACACACCCAGACATTATTAATCTTTTTTTTTGAGACGGAGTTTCGCTCTTGTTGCCCAGGCTGGAGTGCAGTGGTGCAATCTTGGCTCACTGCAACCTCCGCCTCCTGGGTTCAAACTATTCTCTTGCCTCAGCCTCCCAAGTAGGTGGGGCTACAGGAATGCACTACCATGCCCAGATAATTCTGTATTTTCAATAGAGATGGGGTTTCACCATGTTGGTCAAGCTGGTCTCAAACTCCTGACCTCAGGTGAACCACCTGCCTCGGCCTCCCAAAGTACTGGGATTACAGGTGTGAGCCACCGTGCCCGGCCTGACATTATGAATCTTTTTTTTTTTTTTTTTTTTTGAGATAGGGTCTCGCTCTGTCACCCAGGCTGGAGTGCAGTGGCGCAATCTTGGCTCAGTGCCAGCTCCGCCTCCCGGGTTCATGCCATTCTCCTGCCTCAGCCTCCTGAGTAGCTGGGACTACAGGCACCCACCACCACGCCCGGCTAATTTTTTGTATTTTTAGTAGAGACGGGGTTTCACTGTGTTAGCCAGGATGATCTCGATCTCCTGACCTCGTGATCCGCCCTTCTCGGCCTTCCAAAGTGCTGGGATTACAAGCGTAAGCCACCGCGCCCGGCCAACATTATGAATCTTTAATTAGACATCACAGTCCAAGATCAACTAGTATGTGACCAATAAGCCAGGTTTTCTTCTAGCTCCCTTCCTGGTTTCTCTTCTGTTCTTGTGGCCCAAGGTCCTCTGGTAATGGATGGATTGTCCACTTCTGGGATCTTGGTGTCCTACCGGGCCTATGGTTCTCTCTAGGATAAAGTGGCTCAACATAGAACACAGCTCTGGTGCCAAGATGTCTCTGAGCTGAATCAGTCACCCTTGTCATTTCCTCCCAAGTCCCTAGGTCACTACCACAACAGGAACACGCAGGCAGATGTTCATTGTTTCCAGTTCTCTTTTTTGTTTTATTTTTGAGACAGGATCTTGCTCTGTCACCCAGGCTGGAGTGCAGTGGCACGATCATAGGATCACAGCTCTCTGCAACTTCAAACTCCTGGGCTAAAAAGATCCTCCCACCTTGGCCTACTTAATAGCTGGGATTACAGGTGCACGTCACCATGCCAGGCTAATTGTTTTATTTTAAATTTTTAAATTTTTTTTTCCTTTTTTTGAGATGAAGTTTCACTCTTGTTGCCCAGACTAGAGTGCAGTGGCGTGATCTTGGCTCACGGCAACCTCCGCCTCCTGGGTTCAAGTGATTCTCCTGCCTCAGCCTCCCAAGTAGCTGGGATTACAGGCGAGCACCACCATGCCCAGCTAATTTCTATGTTTTTAGTAGAGACTGGGTTTCACTAGGTTGGCCAGGCTGGTCTCAAATTCCTGACCTCAAGTGACCTGCCCACCTCAGCCTACCAAAGTGCTGGGATTGCAGGAGTGAGCCGTGCCTGGCCCTGGTTTTTTTGCCTCCTAAGTAGTTGTGACTACAGAATGAGATTCTGTCTCAAAAAACAAAACAAAACAAAAAACGGCTCAGCGTGGTGGCTCACACGTGTAATCTCAACACTTTGGGAGGCAGAGGTGGACAGAGTGCTTGAGCCCTGGGGAACAGGGCAGAAGTTGCAGTGAGCCAAGATTGTGCCACTGCACTGCAGCGGGGATGACAGAATGAGACCCTGTCTCAAAAACAAAACAAAACAAAAAACCCCACCATTTATTTATTTATTTATTTATTTATTTATTTATTTATTGAGACGGAGTTTTGCTCTTGTTGCCCAGGCTGGCATGCAATGGCACGATCCTGGCTCACCACAACCTCTGCCTCCCAGGTTCCAGCGATTTTCCTGCCTCAGCCTTCTGAGTAGCTGGGATTACAGGCCCATGCCACCACGCCCAGATAATTTTTGTATTTTTAGTAGAGATGGGGTTTCGCCATGTTGGTCAGGCTGGTCTCGAACTCCTGACCTCCTGATCCGACTGCCTTGGCCTCCTAAAGTGCTGGGATTACAGGCATGAGCCACTGCGCCCGGCCACCCCCACCATTTAAATCAAACAAACTGGCTAACAAAGTTTAAAGACTTTGTAAATAATGGTGACCTTGTAGTCCGGGCACGGTGGCGCATGACTGCAATCCCAGCACTTGGGAGGCGGAGGATCACTTGAGGCCAGGAGTTCAAGACCAGCCTGGGCAACATGGTGAAACTCCATCTATACTAAAAATATGAAAATTAGCTAGGTATGGTGATGCAGACCAGTAGTCTGGTTAGCTAGGCATGGTGATGCAGACCAGTAGTCCCAGCTATTTGGGAGGCTGAGGTAGGAGGATCACTTGAGCCCAATAGGTCGAGGCTGCAAGTGAGCCATGATTATACCACTGCACTTTAGCCTGGGCAACAAAGACTCTGTCTCAAAAAAAAAAAAAAAAAAAAAAAAGGTGATCTTCCAACTATGGAATTCACTTTATTCTTCACATTTCAACTACCAGCATTTTGTAATCTTTTATTTATTTATTTTTCTTTTTTTCCCTCCAAATACCCAGATATCAAGAAGAATATTTTGCAATCCTAATATTAATTTTTAAGGGCTACCAATAATTAGTGCGCTATTTTTATAGCTATTAAAAGCACTAAATTCCTGACTTAAAAATATTGTCCAAATTTTTCATTTTTATAATTAGGTTTTGTCCCCTTTTCTAGTGGTGCTGAGGACTTGTCCTACTTGTCTTCCTTAAGACTGCCATAAATGGTTTGGTGAAACTGCTAAAAAAAGAAGAGGGAAGCAGACACCCTGAAATGTAGATTCTGAACCGATGTCAGTAACCAACTTTTTTTTTTTTTTGAGACAGAGTCTCTCTCTGTCACCCAGCCTGGAGTGCAGTAGTGCGATCTTGACTCACTGCTACCTCCATCTCCCAGTTTCAAGTGATTCTCCTACCTTAGCCTCCTGAGTAGCTGGGATTACAGGTGCTCGCCACCATGCCCAATTAATTTTTGCATTTTTAGTAGAGACAGGGTTTCACCACATTGGCCAGGCTGGTCTCGAACTCCTGACCTCAGGCGATCCGCCTGCCTTGGCTTTCCAAAGCCAAAGTGCTGGGATTACAGGCGTGAGCCACCACGCCTGGCCTCAACTTTCTTTTTCCATAAATAACAGGACTAAAGGTAGTGTTTCTTTTTTGATAACATTTTTAAGAGTTTCAGCCGGGCACGGTGCCTCACACCTTTAATCCCAGCACTTTGGGAGGCTGAGGCCAGTGGATCATGAGGTCAGGAGTTTGAGACCAGCCTGCCCAACATGGTGAAACCCCATCTCTACTAAAAATACAAAAATTAGCCAGGCGTGGTGGCGCACACCTGTAATTCTAGCTACTCAGGAGGCTGAGGCAGGAGAATCGCTTGATCCAGGGAGGCAGAGGTTGCAGTGAGCTGAGATTGCCCCACTGCACTCCAGCCTGGGGGACCCAGCAAGACTCCATCTCAGAAAAAACAACAAAACAAAACAAAACAAAAACGAGTTTCAAAGAACTTTCATAGAAGGGGACTTGTTAGGGTTGGCTCTGCAGATGTAGAATCATCATGTGGTGGTGGTAACTCTTATCTACAGGGGATTAATTACTATGTGGTTATTTAAGGCAGTTTTAATTCCATATTTACTTTCTCCTACTATCTACCCAATTGCCAAGAGGCCTTTCTTATCAGATGGTGTGTGATGGATGACCCAGGGAGTGCAAATTAATTTCAATTGGCCAAACCCAACATAAAAATAGTAAATCTGTTCAAATGACCTACCGTATTTTCACTGGGCCAGTTCCCCTTCCTTCACCCCCGACACAAAACATAGCTCATCTTTTCAACAGGAATAGGTAGAAAAATAAGAATAATAAAATAAAATAGACATGGCTTCTCTGTTTCTCCTCTTCTCCCTCACAGCCACCTCCATAGTGAGAGGTTCCTAATGGTTCTGTGTCTGAGTTACACCACCGTGGGCGTGAAGCACCCTCAGCCATTTTGTCTCTGCTTCAAAACTTCCTATAATGCCTGCCTGCCTTTTAAGGCAGGATATATGGTCTGTCTGGCCTCCTTTCTAGCTTTAGATCCCCTTAGGCTGTTGTAGCGTTGTAGTGCCCGCCTCAACTGGCCTAATCCCCACTCTCTGATCCTGTCCTGCCTTTTCCAGAAATTATCTTCTGGTCCCTTGAGTCTCCCCTCCTGTAACATGCATCCTCATCTTTATTCTGCCAGCATTTTTTTTCAATACCACACTCAAATGTTACTCAAGTCAAAGGCTTCCTATGAGAGCAGGGGTTGTGCCTGGCGTTCTACAGCCTTTGGTTCACACCCCCTTTTTTTTTTAGAGGGGGTCTTGCTCTGTTGCCCAGGCTGGAGTGCAGTGGCGCAATCTCGGCTCACTGCAACCTCTGCCTCCCAGGTTCAAGCGATTCTTCTGCCTTAGCCTCCCGAGTAGCTGAGACTAGGTGTGGGCCACCACTAACGGCTAATTTTTTTTTTTTTTTTTGTATTTTTAGTAGAGAAGGGGTTTCACCATATTAGCCACGCTGGTCTCGAACTCCTAACCTCGTGATCTGCCCGCCTCGGCCTCCCAAAGTCCTAGGATTACAAACATGAACCACCGCGCCGGACGCCCGGTCTTTTTTTTTTTTTTTTTTTAAGACATTTCGGTCTCCACGTTGGTCAGGCTGGTCTCGAATGCCCGACCTCAGGTGATCCTCCTGCCTCGGCCTCCCAAAGTGCTGGGATTACAGGTGTGAGCCACCGCGCCCGGCCGGTTCACACCCTTTATTTGTATTTATTTTTTTTTTTTTGAGACAGGGTCTCACTTTGCCGTCCAGTCTCAAGTGCAGTGGCGCCATCTCGACTCACTGCAACCTCGACCTCCTGGGCTCAAGGGATCTTCCTACCTCAGCCTCCCAAGTACCTGGGACCACAGACGCGAGCCACTGCCCGGCTATTTTTTGTATTTTTTTGTAGAGACGGGATTTCGCTATGTTGCCGAGGTTGGTCTCTAACTCCTGGGCTGAACCTATCCTTCCGCCTCAGCCTCCCAAAGTGCTGGGACGACAGGCTTGAACCACCGCGCCCGGCCTGGTTCACACACTTTAATGGCACTTACCACATACTGCTAGGCATTGAGGTTATTTCTGTAACATCTCTTCTTTTCTACTAGATTCTATGAGGGCAGGAACTAGGTCTTATTTTTCTCTGAGGACAAGGACTGTTAGACAAGTGTATGGAGACGCATCTAGACCAACTGCCTGACTTCCTCTTTCCTCTGGGTTTACTTCTCCCTCCAAGAGGAGGGTTGTGTGTGTGAGCGGGGCGACTGGAAAACATAGTGTTCAGGACGTTGTATCTTGTTCCAGGAACTAAGTACACGCCTGGGTAACTAATGTGGAGTACCTCTCCTTCCCCTGTTGCTATCGCCCCTCTGTGGCTGCTTGGCAAGTAGCTCAGTATGAAGAGCTGACGGAATTCTGCGGTGGGCCAGGTGGCTCTGGCGTCGACTGTTTAAGGCGACTGTTAATGACTACAACACACCATTGAGTCTTGGTCCCAAGGCGCTGGTGCACATGGTACTTCCCGAAATCCCTGTAGGGCCGCTGGAGCAGGAGCCCCGATCCCACGTTTGGGCAGCTGACTCGCCTAAGGCCTCCAGCTGAAAGCGGAATTGCAGGGGTGAGAATGAGCAGACCTAACTACCGGGCTTCTCGCACCTGGCCTGCATTTATTTAGGACCACGATAACCTCGAAGGCCAGGCTGGGGTGCCCGATGGGTCGTGGGCTTGCTGCCTAACTCCCTGAGATCGGCGGGCTGAACAGAGCTTCGAAGTGTAGCGCCATCCTGAGCAGAGGAAGGGGCGCCCGAAGGCCGCGTAGCGGGCGGCAGGGCGGGAGGAAGTAGCAGCTGCTGCTCCCCGCCCACCCCTCTCGCGTGTGCCTTTCCGCTCCACTGTTCGCCGGTGAGCTAGGTGGCGCGAGAGCGGAGGGGAGAAAAGACAGCGGCTGCAGGAGCCGAAGGCCGCGGCTCGAGGTGGGGCAGGGGCGGGCACGCGAGCGTGCGTGCGTGGGCGCGGTCTATAGCACGCCGCGCGCGGGGCGGATGTCCGGGCCGGCTGGGCCGGGGCCGCGGAGGAGATGGCGGAAGGTGGAGGCTGCCGTGAGCGACCGGATGCGGAGACTCAGAAGTCCGAGCTTGGACCCTTAATGAGGACCACACTCCAACGCGGGGCGCAGTGGTGAGCTCCCGGCTCGCTCTTCCTCTATGCAGAACCAGGGGCCGAGAAAAAGGGGCCTCCTTTTTCTCGGCTAGAGTAGGGGCTGGGCGGGGATGGTATGTAGTGACCCTGGAAGAGTAGCCTGACACCTGCCCCTCAGGAGAATAACTCCAGGATCAGCTCTGGGAAAGCGCAGGCGGGGCCTGAGTGTCGTCTCAGTTCATTTGGAGCCCTAGGGGGCGGGCCCGGCGGGGGCCAGGAGGAGGGATGTGGAGAAGGGGAAGGTTGGTGGGGACCCTAAGGGTGGGGAGAGCCCTTTACCATGAGGACTCGCCGTGTGACCTTGGGCGAAGGTGTCACAGACCTGGATTCCTCACTGTTAAAACCAGGATAGCAATATTTGGCTCACCGACCTCAGTGGGTTGAGGGGAAAATCAGAAGTAGATACTTTGTAACTTGTAAACTGCCAACAGATGTCAAGGTCAGAAGCTGAACAAATGTCTGAGAACCCCGATTATTTTGGTAGCAAGTGTCAAAAATATTTGCGGCAGCAGTGTCTTGGAGTGGGAGAGGAGGATAGCCTAGGTCCTGGAGCTAGATAGAAGATGAAGGGTCCAGAATTTAGAAGACCCAGGCTGAGTTATTAGGCATCTTAATAGATTGTTTAGTAGAGGGGACAATACTTTGTACTACTGGAGAGATTCCTGGGTGGTGTAATTGTGTAGGAGTAGAAAAACTAAGGCTAGACTTTGCATCGAGTATGATTGTTACCCATCTTGTTTGTTTTGTTTTGTTTTGAGATGGAGTTTCACTCTTGTTGCCCAAGCTGGAGTGCAGTGGCGTGATCTTGGCTCACGGCAACCTCCGCCTCCCGGGTTCAAGCGATTCTCCTGCCTCAGCCTCCCGAGTAGCTGGGATTACAGGCTCACGCCACCACACCCAGCTAATTTTTTGTATTTTTAGTAGAGACCGGGTTTCACCATGTTGGGTAGGCTGGTCTCAAACTCTTGACCTTATGATCCACCCGCCTCGGCCTCCCAAAGTGCTGGGATTACAGGTGGGAGCCACCGTGCTCGGCCCGAGTGTTACCTATCTTTAAGAAATCATTGTGGTGATGATCTGCCGAGGAATTGAGCAGGAGAATAGAAAAATTGGGGTTAGGAGGAGTACAGATAACAGCTTATGTATTCACCTTGAGCTAACCAGTTTGTGAAAGGCAGGGTAAACAGAGGTACTTTTTTTGTGTTTTCTTTTCTTTTCTTTTCTTTTTTTTTTTTTTTTTGAGAAGGAATTTCGCTCTTGTTGCCCATGCTGGAGGGCAATGGCGCGATCTCGGGTCACGGCAACCTCCCCCTCCCATGTTCAAGCGATTCTCCTGCCTCAGCCTCCCCAGTAGCTAGGATTACAGGCATGCGCCACCACGGCCGGCTAATTTTTTTTGTATTTTTAGTAGAGACGGGGTTTCTCCATTTTGGTCAGGCTGGTCTCGAATTCCAGATCTCAGGTGATCGCCCGCTGTGGCCTCCCAAAGTGCTGGGATTACAGGCGGAAGCTACTGCGCCCGGCCTAGCAGAGGTACTTTTTAAGTTAACCTCTATAGGGTTCATAAAGAATACTCAGCAGAAGTAGAGGAAGTTTAAGATAGACTAAAATCATACAGTAAAATTGTATGGAAGGTATTGCTCAAGGGATTTGGAAGAAAAATAGCATTTTAGAGATGGATGTGTTTATGGATCCTTGTGACCTCTGGGAAGCTGCCTGACCTCCTCTCACATTTGTTGGTTATAAAATTTTAAGGATGCACCAATATAATTGTTGATGCTTTGTTGCTCCACAGAGATTGTTTTAATTGTAAAACAGCATAGAGATACTTTTTTTTTTTTTTTTTTTTTTTTTTTTTGAGACGAAGTCTCGCTGCATCACCAGGCTGGAGTGCAGTGGCGCGATCTCGGCTCACTGCAATCTCTGCCTCCCGGGTTCAAGCGATTCTCCTGCTTCAGCCTCCCGAGTAGCTGGGATTATAGGCATGCACCACCATGCCCCGCTAATGTTTGTATTTTTAGTAGAGACAGGGTTTCACCATGTTGGCCAGGATGGTCTCGATCTCCTGACCTCGTGATCCACCTGACTCAGCCTCCCAAAGTGCTGGGATTACAGGCGTGAGCCACCGCTCCCGGCCAGCACAGTGATACTTTAAAAATATAAACAGGTCTGGTGCAGTGGCTCATGCCTGTAATCCCAGCACTTTGGGAAGCTGAGGCAGGAGGATCACTTGAGGCCAGGAGTTCAAGACCAGCCTGGGCAACATAGCAAGAGCTAGCCTCTACAAAATAAAAATAAAAAAATAAATTAGCCAGGCATGGTGGTATGTGCCTATAGTCACAGCTACTCAGAGGCTGAGGCAGGAGGATCACTTGAGCCCAGGAGTTTGAGGCTACAGAGAGCTATGATTGTGCCACTGCACTCTAGCCTGGGTGACCCTCTCTCTAAGGAAATAAATAGGTAAATAAAATACCACATTTGCTTACATTTAAGTAAAAAAGTGGTAAGTTGAATATGAAGCACAAATTAATGCTTTTTGACAAGATGAACAATAGGCACTATTATATGTACATGTGTATGTGTATATTTATATATGTACACGCATGTTATGTACTTTTTTTTTTTTGACAGGGTTTTATTCCTGTCACCCAGGCTAGAGTGCAATGGCATGATCTCAGCTCACTGCAACTTCTGTCTTCCGGGTGCAAGTGATTCTTGTGCCTCAGCCTCCCGAGCAGCTGGGACTACAGGCATGTGCCACCACGCTCAGCTAATTTTTGTAATTTTAGTAGAGATGGGGTTTGTTGCCCAGGCTGGTCTTGAACTCCTGAGCTCAAGTGACCATCCACCTCGGCCTCTCAAAGTGCTGGGATTACAGGTGTGAGCCACTGCGCCTGGCCTTGTGTGTACATTTTTGGAACTCCTTTGGTCCTTAAAGGAAAACTGAAGTGGGTGGTGTTTCTAACCCATTTTCAGAAAGAGCATTAGTTTAGTGCTGTTCATGTCAAGCAAAACAGTGTAACCAAACTGTCTGCCTGGAGTGGGACTTCTGTAAAGATCATTATGAAATTAATGACTTGTGGCCGGGTGCGGTGGCTCACGCCTGTAATCACAGCACTTTGGGAGGCCGAGGTGGGCAGATTACCTGAGGTAGGGAGTTTGAGACTGTCCTGACCAACATGGAGAAACCCTGTCTCTACTAAAAATACAAAATTAGCCAGGTGTGGTGGCACACACCTGTAATCCCAGCTACGGGAGACTGAGGCAGGAGAATCACTTGAACCCGGGAGGCGGAGGTTGCGGAGAGCCGAGATCACACCATTGCACTCCAGCCTGGGTAACAAGAGCGAAACTCTGTCTCAAAAAAAAAAGAAGTTAATGACTTGTTTATTAGCAAACATGATTTTACCCATGAAAAGACTCCATTTAGACTGAGTGTGGTAGCTCATGCATGTAATCACAGCACTTTGGGAGGCCAAGGCAGGAGGATCACCTGAGATCAGGAGTTCGAGACCAGCCTGGCCAACATGGTGAAACTCCATCTCTACTAAAAATACAAAAAAATTAGCTGGGCCTGGTGATGCATGCCTGTAATCCCAGCTACTTGGGAGGCTGAGGCAGGAGAATTGCTTGAACCCAGGAGGTGGAGGTTGTAGTGAGCCAAGATCATACCACTGCACTCCAGCTTGGGCAACAAGAGCGAAAACTCCGTCTCAAAAAAAAAAAAAAAAAAAAAAGAGGCCAGGTGCAGTGGCTCATGCCTGTAATCCCAGCACTTTGGGAGGCCGAAGTAGGCGGATCACCTGAGGTCAGGAGTTTGAGACCAGCCTGCCCAACATGGTGAAACCCCGTCTCTACTAAAAATACAAAAATTAGCTGGGAGTGGTGACAGGTGCCTGTAATCCCAGTTAGTCAGGAGGCTGAGGCAGGAGAATCGCTTGAACCTGGGAGGCAGAGGTTGCAGTGAGCCAAGATTGTGTCACTATACTCCAGCCTGGGCGACAGAACAAGACTCCGTCTAAAAGAAAAAAAAAGAAAGACTGCATTTAAATAAGCATTTTGAAACCACTTGTTTTCTTTCTTTTATTCACTCTTTGAACAATCATTTCACTTAATGGATGCATACCCTGGGCCAGACTCTCTGTGCCATGTGGGGCCTGGGCCCTGCTCTTGCTCTTGTGACAGTGTTTTTTAGTGGGTATTGCATATGCCCCAAGTGGAAGGACCATAAAAAAGATTAAGGAAGCAGCTGCAGAAATTTATAATCTCAGCTTTTCTGCTACAGTAAATTTCTGTCTCTCTCTAGGTATCTTATTGACAGCCGGTGGTTCAAGCAGTGGAAGAAGTATGTGGGCTTTGACAGCTGGGACATGTACAATGTGGGTGAACATAACCTATTTCCTGGCCCAATAGACAACTCTGGGCTATTTTCAGGTATAGTAAATGTTGCTTTTCTAGCTAAACATTCACCTGGGCAGTGGCCTGATGTTATGTGCATCTGTAACATGGACGTTGTGAACTTTCCTAGTGTGAGGAGATAGAAACAAGTATCCTCATTTTGCATCTATAGCAGAAGTCTTTGCAAACCCTTAATGAGAAGTTAAGCTACTTTTTTCCCTTAAATTAACTGCATCTGATAAGAGTATGCTTCTAACATTTTAACTTTCTCTCTTTGCAAATTAGTTCTGCTAGCTATTTCACATTTTAAGTTAGTATATGGAATGGAAAGAAATAGGATGTCATTTTGAAATTGTATCTAAAATTTAAGAACCAGAATTTTTTGTTACCTTTGCAGTGGAACAAATTGTAAACCTGTGAACTTTCATCAAGAATTCCTGTGATGGCTGTTTTTATCATATAACTAGTGTGAGGAGAGGTTGAAGGTCAGTAGACAGAGTTATGACTGTAGTCAGCTCCCAATGGGAACTGTGGGAAAAGCGACATGTAACACACTAGAGCTTGCTTGCACTTGTACATGCACTGAGATGACAGAGTCAGCTTTTCCCAGGCTTTCTTTTGCCTGACTTCAGACCTCTTTAAAGTCATGATAGAGGTGATCTGTCATGGGTGTCAAAAATCAGGGCAGTGCCAGGAGTGGTGTCTCACGCCTGTAATCTCAGCACTTTGGGAGGCCAAGGCAGGTGGATCACCTGAGGTCAGGAGTTCGAGACCAGCCTGGCCAACATGGTGAAACCCCGTCTCTACCATGTTGGCTAGGCTGGCCTTGAGCTCCTGGGCTCAAGCTATCTTCCTGCCTCAGCCTCCTTAGTCACTGAGACTACAGTGTTCTACCACTCTCAGCTGTTTTTTAAGTTTTTTGGTAGAGACGGGGTCTTGCTATGTTGCCCAGGCTGGTTGAACTCCTGGCCTCAAGCCATCCTCCCACCTTGGCTTCCCAGAGTGTTGGTGTGAGCCACTGTGCCTGGCCTAACTTGGATATTTTTAAAACTGAGCAATGCTTCAGCTCAGACCTTGTTTTAGGAGAGGTCTACATGGTATAAACAATATCATTTACTTT
Source organism: Homo sapiens (assembly GCF_000001405.40). Taxonomy (NCBI): domain Eukaryota; kingdom Metazoa; phylum Chordata; class Mammalia; order Primates; family Hominidae; genus Homo; species Homo sapiens. The sequence continues at coordinate 49,334,384 of NC_000003.12, read as the reverse complement.
GTTTCCTGAAATAGGTCAAATGGTGGCACTATGCCACGAAGTTGCCCTAAGGAATCATTTCATTATGTTCACATTTTGTTCTTTTTCTCATTTTTATGAAATGGAGAATTCTTAAGGTTTTAAATTCAGGCATACTTTGGCTTATTGTGCTTTGCTTTATTATATGTTGCAGATACTGCATTTTTAGCAAATTTTGTAGGTATTTGGCAACGCTGCCTTGACAATCTGTCAGTTCCATTTTTACAACAGCATGTGCTCACTTCATGTCTCTGTTACCACATTTTGGTAATTCTCAAAATACTTCAAAGTTTTTCATTATTATTTGTTATGGTGATCAGTGATCAGGGAGCTTTCTTTTTTTTTTTGAGACGGAGTTTTGCTCTTGTTGCCCAGGCAGGAGTGCAGTGGCATGATCGTGGCTCATGGCAACCTCCACCTCTTGGGTTCAAGTGATTCTCCTGCCTCAGCCTCCCGAGTAGCTAGGATTACAGGCATGTGCCACCACGCCCGGCTAATTTTGTATTTTTAGTAGAGATGGGGTTTCTCCATGTTGGTCAGGCTGGTCTTGAACTCCCGACCTCAGCCTCCCAAAGTGCTGGGATTACAGGCATGAGCCACCATGCCCAGCCAACAGGGATCTTTCATGTTGCTATTGTAATTGTTTTGGGGCATCATGAAGGGAGCCCATGTAAGACAGTGAACTTAATTGGTAATTATTGTGTGTATTCTCGCTGCTTCACCAACCAGCCATTCCATCTCTCTCTCTCTCCTCAGGCTTTGCTATTGCCTGAGACACAATGACACTGAAATTCGGCCACTTAGTAACCCTAACAACGTCTTCTAAATGTTCAAGTGAAAAGGAGAATTGCATGTCTCTCACTTCAAATCAAAGCTAGAAATGATTTGAGTTTGGTTAAGGAAGCCGAAATAGGTTGTAAGCTAGGCCTCTTGTGCCATATAGCTAGCCAAGTTGTGAATGTAAATGTAAACCTCCTGGACTTAAGTGATCCTTCCACCTCAGCCTCCTGAGTAGCTAGGACTACAGGTGCTTGCCAGCATTCCTGGCTCATTTTTGTATGTGTTTATTTTTTCTTTTTGTAGAGATGGAGTTTTGTCATGTTGCCTGGGAGATGGAGGAACCCAGGAAATGGTGGTTTCAGTGAGCTGAGATTGCGCCACTGCACTCCACTCCAGCTTGGGCGACAGAAGTGAGACTCCATCTCAAAAAAAAAAAAAAAAAGTGCTACTCTAGTGAACACATGAATTATAAGAGGCTGAAACAGCCTTATTATTGCTGATATGGAGAAAGTTTATTCATTTATTTTTTTTTTTGAGACAAGGTGCCATCTTGTCTCAAAAAAAAAAAAGGTAGCTACTGCTACCTCGTGCAGTAGCACAATCACACCTCACTACAACCTTGACCTTCCCAGGCTCAGGTGATCCTCCCATCTCAGCCTCCTGAGTAACTGGAACTACAGGCCCCACCACACTCGACTAATTATTGTATTTTTTGCAGAGATTTTTTGTGGGTTTTGTCATGTTGTTCAGGTTGATCTTGAATTCCTGGGCTCAAGCAATCCTCCCGCCTTGACGTCCCAGAGTGCTGGGATTACAGGTGTGAGTCACTGTGCCCAGGCTAAACAACAGGTTTTATTTTATTTTATTTTTATTTATTATTATTATTTTTTTGAGACAGAGTCTCACCATGGGGTTTCACCATGTTGGCCAGGCTGGTCTCAAACTCCTGACCTTAAGTGATCCGCCTGCCTCGGCCTCTCAAAGTGCTGGGATTACAAGCATGAGCTACTGTGCCTGGCCTAAACAACAGATTTTAAATGTAGACAAAACACCCTTCTATTGGGAAGATGCCATCTACCTCTTTGCTGCTAGAGGGGAAAAGTCAGTGCCTGGGTTCAGAGCCTTTTTTTTTTTTGAGACAGGGTCTTGCCCTGTCACCCAGGCTGTAGTGTGTGATCACAGCTCACTGCAGCCTTAACCTCCTGGGCTCAAGTGATCCTCCCACCTCAGCCTCCTGAGTAGCTAGGACTACAGTTGCTTGCCACCATGCCTGGCTGATTTTTATATGTTTGTTTGTTTGTTTGTTTTGTAAGACAGAGTCTCGCTCTGTCGTCTAGGCTGAAGTGCAATGGCACAATCTTGGCTCACTGCAACCTCCACCTCCCAGTTTCAAGTGATTCTCCTGCCTCAGCCTCCCAAGTAGCTGGGATTACAGGTACCTGCCACCACACCCAGCTAATTTTTTTTTGTATTTTTAGTAAAGACGGGATTTCAGCACGTTGGCCAGCCTGGTCTCGAACTCCTGACCTCAGGTGGTCCACCCGCCTTGACCTCCCAAAGTGCTGGAATTACAGGTGTGAGCCACTGTGCCCAGCTTTGTATTTTTTTTTTTTTTTTGTAGAGATGGGATTTTGCCGTGTTGCCCGGGCTGGTCTCCAACTCCTGGGCTCAAGTGATCTGTCTGCCTTGACTTCTCAAAGTGCTGGGATTATAGGCATGAGCCACTCTGTCCGGCCAGATTCAGAGCCTTGAAGGACAGGCTGACTCTCTTCTTAAGGGATACTGCAGATGGTGACTTTAGTTTGAAGCTAGTGCTCATTTATCATTCCAAAAATCCCAAGGCCCTCAAGAATTATGCTAAATCTGCTCTGCCTGTGCCCTACACATGCAACAACAAAGCCTGCATGATAGCATATTTATTTACAGCATGGTATACCGAATATTTTTGTTTTTATTTTATTTTTCTGGGACAGAATCTCGCTGTGTCGCCCAGGCTGGAATGCAGTGGTGCAATCTCGGCTTACTGCAACCTCTGCTTCCCGGGTTCAAGTTATTCTCATGGCTCAGCCTCCCAAGTAGCTGAGATTACAGACATGCACCACCAGTTCTGGCTAATTTTTGTACTTTTAGTAGAGATGGGGTTTTGCTATTTTGGCCAGGCTGGTCTCAAACTCCTGGCCTCAAGTGATCCACCCGCCTTGACCTCCCTAAGTGCTGGGATTACAGGCATGAGCCACCACAACAAGTTTACCGATTTTTTTTTTTTTGAGTCGGAGTTTTGCTCTTTTGCCCAGGCTGGAGTGCAATGGTGCGATCTTGGCTCACCACAACCTCTGCCTCCCAGGTTCAAGCGATTCTCCTGCCTCAGCCTCCTGAGTAGCTGGGATTATAGGCGTGCGCCACCACGCCCAGCTAATTTTGTTTTTTTAGTAGAGACGGGGTTTCTCCTTGTTGGTCAGGCTGGTCTCGAACTCTCGACCTCAGGTAACTGCCCACCACGGCCTCCCCAAGTGCTGGGAGTACAGGTGTGAGCCACCACGCCCGGCCTCCCAATATTTTTTTTTTTTTTGAGACGGAGTCTTGCTCTGTCACCCAGACTGGAGTGCAGTGGCGCGATCTCGGCTCACTGCAAGCTCCGCCTCCCGGGTTCACACGATTCTCCTGCCTCAGCCTCCTGAGTAGCTGGGATCACAGGCGCCTGGTGCCTGCCACCACACCCGGCTACTTTTTTTGTATTTTTAGTAGAGACGGGGTTTCACCATGTTGGCCAGGATGGTCTCAATCTCCTGATCTCGTGATCCACCCATCTCGGCCTCTCAAAGTGCTGGGATTACAGGTGGGAGCCACCGCGCCCGGCCTCCGGCCTCCAGCCTCCAGCCTCCCAATATTTTTAGCTCAGGGTTGAGACCTACTGCTCAGAAAAAGCACTGAGCTAATCTTATCAAAATGTTACTGCTGCCAGGTGCAGTGGCTTACGCCTGTTATCCCAGCACTTTGGGAGGCCAAGGTGGGCGGATCACGAGGTCAGGAGATTGAGACCATCCTGGCTAACATGGTGAAACCCTGTCTCTATTAAAAATACAAAAACAAAATTAACCGGGTGTGGTGGCGGGTGCCTGTAGTCCCAGCTCCTCGGGAGGCTGAGGCGGGAGAATAGCATGAACCCGAGAGGTGGAGCTTGCAGTGAGCCGAGATGGCGCCACTGCACTCCAGCCTGGGGGACACAGCGAGACTGTCTCAAAAAAAAAAAAGTTACTGCTCCATTGCAATGTACCTAGTTACCCAAGAGCTCTGATGGAGATGCATGAGGAGATTAATGTTGTTTCATGCCTACTAAAAACATCCGTTCTGCAGCCTGTGAGTCAAGAAGTAATTTCAACTTTTTTTGTTTGTTTGTTTGTTTGTTTGTTTGTTTTGAGACAGAGTCTCACTCTGTTGCCCAGGCTGGAGTGCAGTGGCTCAGTCTTGGCTCCCTGCAACCTCTCCCTCCCAGGTTCAAGCAATTCTCCTGCCTCCTCCTACCAGGTTCAAGTAATTCTCCTGCCTCAGCCTCCTGAGTAGCTGGGATACAGGTGCCCGTCCCTCCACCTGGCTAATTTTTGTATTTTTAGTAGAGACCAGGTTTCACCATGTTGGCCAGGCTGGTCTCAAACTTCTGACCTCAAGTGATCCTCCCGCCTCAGCCTGCCGAAGTGCTGGGATTACAGGCCTGAGCCAGCGTGCCTGATTTGATTTCAACTTTCAAGTCTTATTATTTAAGAAATACATTTTATAAGACTTTATCTGCCATAGATAGTGATTCTCCTGAAGGATCTGGGCAAATTAAATTGAAAACCTTTTGGAAAGGATTTACCATTCTAGATGCCATTAAGAATATTCATGATTCCACCTGGTGCAGTGGCTTATACCTATAATCCCAGGACTTTGGCAGGCTGAAGTAGGTGGATCCTTTGAACCCAGGAATTGGAGACTAGGGTGGGCAACTTGGCAAAACCCCATCCCTATAAAAAATACGAAAATTAGCTAGGCCTGGTGGCATGCACCTGTAGTTCTAGCTACTTGGGAGACTAAGGCAGGAGGATTGCTTGAGTCTGGGAGGTCGAAGCTGCAGTGAGCTGTAATCATGCCACTGCACTTCAGCCTGGGTGATAGAGTAAGGCCTGCCACTCCCACCTGCCCACACACACACACAAAAATATTCATGATTCATGGGAGGTCAAAATCAACATTAATAGGAGTCTGGAAGAAGTTCATTCCAACACTTACGGATGACTTCAACGGGCTCAAGACATCAGTGGGAGAAGTAACAGCAAAAGTGGAAATAGCAAGAGAACTAGAATTAGAAGTGAAGCCTGAAGATGTGACTGAATTGCTTTATTTTTTATTTTTACTTTTATTTTTATTTTTTTTGAGATGGAGTTTCGCTGTGTCACCCAGGCTGGAGTGCAGTGGCGCAATCTTGGCTCACTGCAACCTCCGCCTCCTGGGTTCAAACAATTCTCCTGCCTCAGCCTCCCAAGTAGCTGGGCTACAGGTGTGCACCACCATGCCCAGCTAATTTTTGTGTTTGTAGTAGAGACGGGGTTTCACTACCCTGGCCAGGCTGGTCTTGAACTCCTGACCTCATGATCTGCCCACCTCGGCCTCCGAAAGTGCTGGGATTACAGGTGTGAGCCACTGCGCCTGGCCTATTTTTAATTTTAATTTTTATTTATTTTTATTTCTTTTGAGACAGAGTCTTGCTCTGTCACCCAGGCTGGAGTACAGTGGGGTATCTCGGCTCACTGCAGTCTCCACCTCCTGGGTTCAAGCAATTCTTATGCCTCAGCCTCCCGAGTAGCTGGGACTACAGGCATGCATCACCATGCCCAGCTAATTTTTGTATTTTTACTAGAAATGGGGTTTCACCATGTTGGCCAGGCTGATCTTGAATTCCTGACCTCAAGTGATCTGCCTGCCTCAGCCTCCCAAAGTGCTGGAATTACAGGCATGAGCCAACATGCCCGGCCTGAATTGCTTTAATCTTATGATAAAACTTGAATGGCTGAGGAGTTGCTTCTTATGGGTGAGCAAAGAAAATGGTTTCTTGAGATGGAATCTATGTCTGGTGAAGATGTTATGAGCATTGTTGAAATGACAACAAAGGAACCCTGCCCTGAAAAAGGTGTGTAAACTAGTCGGAGGGATGGTGGGAAACCATAACCACCTCATGTATGATTTATTTATTTTTGAGATGGAGTCTTGCTCTTTCACCAGGCTGGAGTGCAGTGGCGTGATCTTGGCTTACTGCAACCTCTGCCTCCCGGGTTCAAGCAATTCTCCTGCCTCAGCCTCCCGAGTAGCTGGGACTACAGGTGCCCGCTACCACACCCGGCTAATTTTTATATTTTTAGTAGAGACGGGGTTTCACCATGTTGGCCAGGCTGCTCTCAAACTCCTGACCTCATGATCCAACCGCCTCAGCCTCCGAAAGTGCTGATTACAGGTGTGAGCCACCACACCCAGCCTGGAGTTTTTCTTTTTTATCCTCTTCTCTCCCTCCAATTATAGAAGAAATACAAATTCCTCATAAAATCTTCATGGATAAAGAGAAAACATGGATAAAGACAAAAGTCTGCTCTGTATAATGACCAGTGACAGAATTTTGGAATTTCATTCCTGTTTCTTTCTGTAAATAATTTTCTTATTTCTGAAAAGTACATGGAAATCATGTAAAACCATCATTTCTGGGGTAAAGAGCAGTGACTTATGTGCTCTTTTCCTTTTTTAGATCCTGAGAGTCAGACCTTGAAAGAACACTTAATTGATGAATTGGACTATGTATTGGTCCCTACCGAGGCGTGGAATAAACTACTAAACTGGTACGGCTGTGTAGAAGGCCAGCAACCCATCGTCAGAAAAGTGAGTTATGTGAATTGTCCCACCTGCTGGTCACTGTCTGCAGGTGCTTTCTGTTGGACACTGACTAGTGTTTGCTAGGAAAATGAACATACCTCAGTGGTTGAATAGTGGTGCTTGAGGCCTTGTTTCTGGATCTCTTTTTTTTTTGAGATGGAGTCTTGTGCACTTGTCGCCCAGGCTGGAGTGCAACGGCACGATCTCGGCTCACTGCAGCCTCTGGCTCCCAGGTTCAAGTGATTCTCGTGCCTCAGCCTCCTGAGTAGCTGGGATTACAGGCGCCTTTCACTACGCCTGGCCAATTTTTGTATTTTTAGTAGAGACGGGGTTTCGCCATGTTGGCCAGTCTGGTCTCAAACTCTTGACCTTGTGATCCGCCCGACTCGGCCCCCCAAAGTGGTGGGATTACAGGCGTGAGCCACTACGCCCAGCCTGTTTCTGGTTCTCTTTAGGAAATTGTGGTTGTGAGTGAAGTTGCTCACCCAGAATATTATCATGAGTGGCCTCTAAACATCAGAGCTGCCCAGTGGCTTGGAATGTGCCCAGCAGCGCTGTGAGAGAACTTTCTGGAAAATTCTATGAGAGAAAGTTCACTGGGGGCATATGGACATATAGCTAATGTCCTGCATCTTGTTTATCTTAAAAAACCTTTATGATACTGCTTTTCCCTCTATGCTTAAGAGTCTTTGAGCTAGGCGCAGTGGCTCACATCTGTAATCCCAGCACTTTGGGAGGTTGAGGCGGGTGGATCACGAGGTCAGGAGATCAAGACCACCCTGGCCAACATGGTGAAACCTCGTCTCTGCTAAAAATCCAAAAATTAACTGGGTGTGGTGGCACATACCTGTAGTCCCAGCTACTCGGGAGGCTGAGGCAGGAGAATTGCTTGAACCCAGGAGACGGAGGTTGCAGTAAGCCGAGATCACCCCACTGTACTGCAGCCTGGCAACAGAGTGAGACTCGGTTGCAAAAAAAAAAAAAGAGTCTTTGATCAGGCCGTGCATGGTGGCTCACGCCTGTAATCCCAGCACTTTGGGAGGCTGAGGCAGGCGGATCACGAGGTTAAGAGATCGAGACCATCCTGGCCAACATGGTGAAATCCTGTCTCTACTAAAAATACAAAAATTAGCTGGGCATGATGGTGGGCCCCTGTAGTCCCAGCTACTCGGGAGGCTGAGGCAGGAGAATCTCTTGAACCCAGGAGGTGCAGGTTGTAATGAGCTGAGATCGCACCACTGCACTCCAGGCTGCTGACGGAGGAAGACTCCATCTCAAAAACAAAAAACAGTGAAGAATAGGCTTCTCTCTAATATCATCAAGATGCTCTTGGTCTTAGTGGGTAGAAAAAAAATATATATATATTTTTTTGCGGGGTACAGAGTCTCGCTCTGTCGCCCAGGCTGGAGTGCAGTGGAGCGATCTTGGCTCACTGCAGCCTCCACCTCCTGGGTTCAAGCGATTCCCCTGTCTCAGCCTCCTGAGTAGTTGGGATTACAGGCACATGCCACCATGCCCGGCTAATTTTTGTATTTTTCATAGAAATGGGGTTTCACCATGTTGGTCAGGCTGGTCTCAAATTCCTGACCTCAAGTGATCCACCCACCTCGGCCTCCCAGAGTGTTGAGATTACAAGCGTGAGCCACCACACGCGGCCAGAAAAAATATTTTTAAACTCTTTGTCCAGGTACTGGTAGCTTTAAAAATCTGTTCTTTTGATCCCTTGATCAGTAAAGGAAATGGATTATCATGAGTTTTCTGCTTTTTGCTTCTGATAAGATATGCTACATCCAAGACTGCCCAGCTGCAAAACCGCTATGCCCTCACCCCTGCCTCTTGTTCATAGGTTGTGGAGCATGGCCTGTTTGTCAAGCACTGCAAAGTCGAGGTGTATTTGCTGGAACTGAAGCTCTGTGAGAACAGTGACCCCACCAATGTGCTGAGTTGCCATTTCAGCAAGGCAGACACCATTGGTGAGAGGCTGGGCTGGGGTCCCTGGTATGTGGTGAGAGAGTGTAGGACATTGTGGCTGATGGGAGGGAAGAGGGCATTATTTTATATGCCCTCTTTAGATTTGTTACCCAAATCATCTCGAGCTGTAGTTGCCAGTCCTGACCTGGGGGCCTATTCCTCCAGGAATTCTTATGGAGAGAACACTGGGCCTGCTCCTTGCCCATTTGTCTATGATAATGAAGATAAGGAAATGTAGATCCAAAGAAGTTTAAAAATAACTTATTTAAAAATCTCAGCAAGGTTTACAGTGAGCTACGATCCCACCACTGCACTGCAGCCTGGGCATCAGAGCAAGATCCTGTCTCTTAAAAAAAAAAACAAATCGCAGCCAGAAAATGGTGGAGCTAGCTTTTGAAGCCATATCTGAGTTAACTCCAAAGATAAGCTTTCTCGCTTTCTATGTTGCTTTTGCGCCATAAATGAGAGACACACGTTAGCAAAGAAGCATAGGGATACTTTCCAGGCATATGAGTGCAAGAGGCCACCCATGGGAGATGATTGATTTTAAGAGGTATCAGGGGGTTGATCCAGAGCACCTGTGAGCATCTGACAAGAAAGAGGATGAGCATTAGTTTGCCATGGCTGTCTTTAGCCTTGCATGTGGACAAAGCCCCAAGTGATATTTCTGCCTGTTCCTAGCAACCATCGAGAAAGAGATGCGGAAGCTATTCAACATCCCTGCGGAGCGTGAAACACGGCTCTGGAACAAATACATGAGCAACACCTACGAGCAGTTGAGCAAGCTAGACAACACTGTCCAGGATGCTGGGCTATACCAGGGTCAGGTAGGAGGGCCCTGGCCATTCCCCAGCAGGTAGCTCTGCCCAGGGTGTGTGGCCAGATACTTTTTGCTTCTAAGCATGTTGGAAGTGCGGTGGTTTGAACTCTCCTCATTTGGTTTCCCCTTTCACTCAGGTGCTAGTAATTGAGCCTCAAAATGAAGATGGCACATGGCCCAGGCAGACCTTGCAGTCAAAGTAAGTGAATTTTTTCTCCCTTGTTGTAGGCTCACATGTGCAAAAGAGACAGTCTTTCCTAAGGCAGTACTTGTACTAAGAAAAATTGTTCTGATTCAGATGAACAATGCCTATTTTGTATATCCAGAGTTCATGCTTCTGGATGAAGACCGTGGCTTTTGGTAGCAGGGCAGCATCTAAGGGAAGCCTGTCAGGATATCTCAGCAAGGTGGCGAGCCTCTGCTCGTGGAGAATGAGAAAAGGAGGAAGGGATATGAGGGATCAAGTCTAAGGTTGCTGCTCTACCAGGAGGTTGCTTTGTTTTTGTCACGCTTTTATTTTCTCCACATGTAGTTAGAGGCCTTGATGGATAAGAGGAAGGCTAAGGCATGGGGTTTTATATGACTTAAAAGTGATAGTTGAGGCCTGAGCATGGTGGCTCATGCCTGTAAGCTCAGCACTTTGAGAGGCCGTGGGAGGTGGCTCACCTGAGGCCAGGAGTTCGAGCCCAGCCTGGTCAACATGGTAAAACCCTGTCTCTACTAAAAATACAAAAATTAGCTAGGCATGGTGGCAGGTACCTGTAATCTCAGCTACTCGGGAGGCTGAGGCTCAAGAGTCGCTTGAATCCAGGAGGTGAAGGCTGCAGTGAGCTGAGATCGCACCATTATACTCCAGCCTAGGTGACAGTGCAAGACTCTGACCCAAAAAAAACAAAAACAAAAAAAAAGTGATAGCTTGATTCTACCTGTTTCTGCCCAGTGGCCTGTTACTCATTGTTGCCCTGGGAGCTTGCTGGGTGAATTGTTCAGCTACAAAACTTGGACTAAGGACACATCTGTTTCAAGAGATGTTCATGTGGTATGTGGAACTGTGCATGTTCTTAGGGAGATAAAGAAGTGATTAATTTTCGTTATGGTATAAGTTTTGGAAATTATATCTGTGTTCCAGTAGTTATGGGAATAATGTTGCGCTCTGTCCTTTTCCCTCTGTCAGGCCTTGGACTGTGACCATTACATAGTAGTGGGCTCCTAGGTCATTTGAGAACCATGAAAACTATGAGTTCTTAAGAGAAGAACTGTTAGAACCCCTGAAGTCCAGTCATGGACTCCAGTTTAAGAAACCCCGGTTGCCAGTTGTTGACAAGATAAATAAAATAGCTGTGGTAGGCATAGCTGTGCTCATCTTCACCCTGAGATATCCATATCCTAATTCCCAGAATCTGTTTCAGAATCTGTCATTATGTCAGGTGACATGGCAAAAGGGACTTTGCAGATGGGATTAAGCACAATGGTGAGTGCCTGTAGTCCCAGCTACCTGACAGGCTGAGGTGGGAGCATTGCTTGAGTCCAGGAGTTTGAGGCTGCAGTGAGCTATGATTCTGCCATTGCCCTCCAGCCTGGGCGACAGCAAGACCCCATCTCTTTTTTTTTTTTTTTTTTTTTTTTTTTAAAAAGGCCAGGAGCAGTGGCTCATGCCTGTAATCCCAGCACTTTGGGAGGCCGAGGTGGGCGGCTCACCTGAGGTTGAGAGTTTGAGACCAGCCTGACCAACATGGAGAAACCCTGTCTCTACTAAAAATGCAAAATTAGCCAGGCGTGGTGGTGCATATCTGTAATTTCAGCTACTTGGGAGGCTGAGGCAGGAGAATCGCTTGAACCCGGGAGGCGGAGGTTGCAGGGAACTGAGATTGCACCATTGCACTCTAGCCTGGGGAACAAGAGCGAAACTCCATCTCAAAAAAAAAAGAATGTCTGTTCACCAGTGAGTGAAGACAAGCCATAAGCCATACAGTGAGAGAAGAGATTTGTAATCCATGTCTGACAAGTTGTGTCCAGAATTTTTTTTTCTTTTTTTTTTTTCCCTGTGACGGAGTCTTACTCTCTTGCCAAGGTTGGAGTGCAATGGTGCGATCTCAGCTCACTGCACCCCCACTCCCGGGTTCAAGTGACTGATGCCTCAGCCTCCCGAGCAGCTGGGACTACAAGCTCCCACCACCATGCCCAGCTAATTTTTGTATTTTTAGTAGAGACAGGGTTTTACCATGTTGGCCAGGCTGGTCTTGAACTCCTGGCCTGTAGTTATCTGCCTGCCTTAGCCTCCCAAAGTGCTGGATTACAGGCATGAGCCACCACAGCTGGTCGTATATCTAGAGTTGCAAAGAAATTCCTACTAGTCAATACAAACAAGTCAGGCAACACTAGTAAAAAAAAGAGGCAAAAATGTAGAATTATATGCACATTCTGCTACTCAACAATCCTGTTGTTAGGCATATAACCAATAGAAATATATCCCATGTTCTCTTAAATACATATTTCAGGATGTTTGTGCTAGCACTGCTTGTCATAGTTACAAACTGGAGCTAACCCAAATGTCCATCAAAAGTAAATGGATAAACTGCAGTAAGTGTAAGCACACAAGGAAATTCTGTCCAGCTTTGCACAACAGTGATGAGTCTAATGAAAAATGATGAATGAGAGAAGGTAGACACAGAGCAGGGCATAATGATTCTGTTGACTTAAAACTTTATAACAGGCAAAATTAACCTTGGGGATTCATGGTCAGAACTGGTTAGTGTTGGGAAGAATTGCGACTGAATCGTGAGAAGGACACCTAGGGGTCTGGGGGTGTCCTGTTTCTTGGTCAGGGTAGTGGTTACATGGATGTATCACTTGGTGCAAATTTCTTGATTTTATACACTCAGGGGTTTTGTTTTTTTGTTTTTTTAATAGACGGAGTCTTGATCTGTAGCCCAGGCTGGAGTCCAGTGGCATGATCTCGGTTCACTGTAACCTCTGCCTCCTGGGTTCAAGCAATTCTGTGCCTCAGCCTCCTGAGTAGCTGGGATTACAGGTGCATGCCACCCATGCACAGCCAATTTTTGTATTTTTAGTAGAGACGGGGTTTCACCATGTTGGCCAGGCTGGTCTCGAACTTCTAGCCTCAAGTGATCCGCCTGCCTCGGCCTCCCAAAATGCTGGGATTACAGGCATAAGCCACGGCGCCCGGCCAAAAAAAATCAATAATAGGCCAGGTGCGGTGGCTGGCCAACATGCTGAAACCCCATCTCTTAAAAAATAGAAGAAAATTAGCCCGGTGCAGTGGCACATGCCTGTAATCGTAGCTACTGGGGAGGCTGAGGCATGAGAATGGTGGTGGGGATTGCAGTGAGCCTAGATCGTGCCACTGCACTCCAGCTTGGGCGATACAGTGAGACTCTGTCTCAGGAGAAAAAAAAAAAAAAGGTACAATAATAATCAAGGTTTAAGAAAGCAACTAGTATCTATAATATTCCAGAGATAAATTCTGGGTAATTCCAACATAGGTGAGGAATTAGTATAGAGCAGAGAGAGATGAGAATGTCCAGAACTACTATTCTTGAGGATGAGAAAGGTGAACAATTGTAAGTTTATGTAATTTATGGGGAAAAATAAAAATAGAGATCCTAATAAGTTAATGGAACAACTAACAGAAACGGAAAATTGAATGTATAACTTTGAAACATACTACGTCAGTTAGGAAAGGCTTGCTGGCAGGTAAGAAAAATCTGCAAATTAGCGTATTAAGCAAGATGGAGGCTTACATCTTTCTGAAAAGAATTTCTGACGTAGGCAGTCAATCCATTGCTGACGTAGCAGCTCCATGGCAATATTAAACCCAGCTGACCTACCCCTTCCTTTTTAGGACATTTCTCAGATATCATACATCAAACCTCCTTTGTATCTCATTGGCTAATCATATGACAATACCTGGCTTTCAGGAAGGCTGGGATGTACTGTATAGCAGGACTGCATCATGTCCAGCTAAAAACTGGGGTTCTCAAACTAAGGAAGGAGGGGAAAATAGCTAGCAGGAGGCGACTAGCAAACTGCCACACCTGCAAAAGGAAAATTAATGGAAGGCAAAAATGAAGGGGGGAAAAAATAAGAAGTATGGTAATTAGAAAGCATGTTAGAACATGTGGAAAAAGGGGGAAAAAAAAGAAACCTGAAATAAGGAGGCTGAATTAAATTCAGTGAAGTCTAATAACAGCATTAGAATCACTGTAGATGAGTTAAATTTACCAAACTAAAGACAAACTCTCAGATCAGACTTTAAAAGACAAACCACACCAGGGATACAGTGGTATGTGCCTATAGTCCTAGCTACTCAGAAGGCTGAGGGAGGAAGCTTGCTTGAGCCCAGGAGTTCGAAGTTACCGTGAGCCACGATTGCATCATTGCACTCCAGCCTGGACGACAGAGTGAGATGCTGTCTCTTTTTCTTTTTCTTTTTTGTTTGAGATGGAGTTTCACTCTTGTTGCCCAGGTTGGAGTGTAATGGCGCGATCTTGGCTCACTGCAACCTCTGCCTCCCAGGTTCAAGCAATTCTCCTGCCTCAGCCTCTCGAGTAGCTGGGATTACAGGCATGCGCCACCACGCCCGGCTAATTTTGTATTTTTAGTAGAGACAGGGTTTCTCCATGTTGGTCAGGCTGGAGACCCTGTCTCTTGGAAAAAAAGAGTCAGGCATGGTGGCTTATACCTGTAATCCCAACATTTTGGAAAGCTGAGGTGGGAGGATTGCTTGAGGATAGGAGTTTGAGACCAGCCTGGTCAACATAGCAAGACTCCTGTCTCTACAAAATTTTTTTTAAAAATTAGCTGGGCATGGTAGCTTGTGCCTGCAGTTCCAGCTTCTTGGGAGGCTGAGGTGGGAGGATCCCTTGAGCACAGGAGTTTGAGGCTGTAGTGAGCTATAATTGTGCACTGCACTGCAGCCTGGGTGACAGAGCAAGAGCTTGTCTCAAAACACAAGAAAACAAAACAAGGCTGGGCACAGTGGCTCATGGCCTGTAATCCCACTTTGGGAGGCGGAGGTGGGTGGATCACTTGAGGTCAGGAGTTCAAGACCAGCCTGGTGAACATAGCGAGACCCCCCTATCTACTAAAAGTACAGAAAATTAGCCAGGAGTGGTGGCGTGCACCTGTAATCCCAGCTACTTGGGAGGCTGAGGCAGGAGAATTGCTTGAACTCAGGAGGTGGAGGTTGTAGTGAGCTGAGATGGCACCATTGCACTCCAGCCTGCGTGACAGAGCAAGACTCCATCTCAGAAAACAAACAAACAAACAAACAAACAAACATGTTTAGTAATACATTGTGTGTCAAAGACACAGAGAAGTTGAAATTGAGGGAATGGAAATAGTGGCTTATGCCTGTAATCCCAGCACTTTGGGAGGCAGAGGCAGGCACATCACGAGGTCAAGAGATCAAGACCATCCTGGGCCAATATGGTGAAACCCCGTCTCTACTAAAAATACAAAAAAATTAGCTGGGTGTGATGGCATGCTCCTGTAGTCCCAGCTACTCGGGAGGCTGAGGCAGGAGAATCTCTTGAACCCGGGAGGCGGAGGTTGCGGTCAGCCGAGATCGCGCCACTGCACTCCAGCCTGGGCAACAGAGCAAGACTCCGTCTCAAAAAATAACAAGAAAACGTACATCAAGGGAATATGTCATCGAAGGAAGGTCACTAGTTGGCTTAATAACTTTTTTAAAACCTACCAATAGAGTCAGTTTTATATATTTCTTTTTTTTTTTTTTTGAGATGCAGTCTTGCTCTGTCACCCAAGCAGGAGTGCAGTGGCGCAATCCCTCCCAAGGTGGTGGAATTACAGGTGTGAGCCACCATGCCTGGCCAATGTATTTCTATTTATTTATTTATCCCTCAACAGTCCTCCCTCCAATTTAATATATTTCTTGGCAGAGGATAGTAAATGTTTCCATGGATGGATTCCTTGGTGGTGGTGATGGTGGTTTGTTTTTTTTTTTTTTTTGAGGCAGAGTCTTGCTCTGTCACCCAGGCTGGAGTGCAGTGGCACGATCTCGGCTCACTGCAACCTCTGCCTCTCAGGTTCAAGCGATTCTCCTGCCTCAGCCTCCTGAGCAGCTGGGATTACGGGTTCGTGCCACCACGCCCGGCTAATTTTTTGTATTTTTAGTAGAGATGGGATTTCACCACGTTGGCCAGGCTGGTCTCGAACTCCTGGCCTCAGGTGATCCACCCGCCTTGGCGTCCCAGAGTGCTGGGATTACAGGCGTGAGCCACCACACCTGGCCGGTTGTTTATATTTAATTGTCTTTTTTTCACTAATGAGGACCACCTTGTAAATTCTGGGCATTTTCAGAGTTTTCTCTTCCATGTGAATTGCTCCAGCTAACTTAATATTAGTTTCTCAAGGGTTTGTGTAGACCTGGCTTTGTCTCTTTCCATCTGTTTCTCTCTTTCCCTTTAACGTCACTTGCCTGAGGTCTATAAGGCCCTTTAAGGTTGCCAGCCCAGAGCCAGAAGAGATTGGTGTCCCTGAAGTTAAGAAAGCCACCTTTGCCTACAGATGGTGTTCACAGTGTTGGTGTGGAGTCACAGCTTGACTTTTGGTAAGGCAGCAAGTATTCTGACTGTTAAGAGTTTATTGTAGCTGGGCACTGGTGGCTCATGCCTGTAATCCCAGCAGTTTGAGAGGCTGATGTGGGAAGATTGCTTGAGCCCAGGAGTTTGAGACCATCCTAGGCAACATAATGTGACCCTGTCTCTTAAAAAAATAAAATTAGGTCAGGCACGGTGGCTCATGCCTATAATCCCAGCACTTTGGGAGGCCAAGGCGGGCGGATCACCTAAGGTCAGGAGTTCAAGACCAGTCTGGCCAACATGGTGAAACCCTGTCTCTACTAAAAATGCAAAAATTAGCCAGGCGTGGTGGCGTGTGCCTGTAATCCCAGCTACCTGGGAGCCTGAGGCAAGAGACTCGCTTAAACCCAGGAGGCAGAGGTTGCAGTGAGCTGAGACTTCACCATTGCTTTCCAGCCTGGGCAACAAGAGTGAAACTCCATCTCAGGCTGGGCGCAGTGGCTCATGCCTGTAATCCCAGCACTTTGGGAGGCCGAGGCGGGCGGATCACGAGGTCAGGAGATTGAGACCATCCTGGCTAACACAGTGAAACCCCGTCTCTACTAAAAATACTTAAAAAAAAAAAAAAACACCACGGGCATGGTGGCAGGCGCCTGTAGTCCCAGCTACTCGGGAGGCTGAGGCAGGAGAATGATGTGAACCCAGGAGGCGGAGCATGCAGTGAGCCGATATCACGCCACTGCACTCCAGGCTGGGCAACAGAGTAAGACTGTTGTCTCAAAAAAAAAAAAAAAACAAACAAACAAAAAACAAAACAAAACAAAAAAAGAGTGAAACTCCATCTCAAAAAAAAAAATAGGGGGCCCCAGGAGATGTTGACCCAGCAGGGCATGGCGCTGCAGAACTACGACAACAAGCTGGTCAAATGCATAGAGGAGCTATGCCAGAAGCAGGAGGAGCTGTGCTGGCAGATCCAGCAGGAGGAGGACAAGAAACAGCGGCTGCAGAATGAGGTGAGGCAGCTGACAGAGAAGCTGGCCTGCGTCAACGAGAAGCTGGCCCGCGTCAACGAGAACCTGGCACGCAAGATTGCCTCTTGCAGTAAGTTCTACCAGACCATCGCGGAGACGGAGGCCACCTACCTCAAGATGCTGGAGAGCTCCCAGACTTTGCTCAGTGTCCTGAAGAGGGAAGCTGGGAACCTGACCAAGGCTACAGCCTCAGACCAGAAAAGTAGTGGTGGCAGGGACAGCTGACCAGACCATGGGCAGGGCCTGCCTCTGTGCGCCCCTCAACTCAGCCCCAGCAAGTCTGTCCACAGAGCGTCTTCTTCATGGCAGCAGCTGCCTTCTTTCACTGTCTCAGGTGCTAAGAGGGGCAGCTGCCAACCTCCACTGGCATCAGTGACAAGCCCGGGGCACAGCCTGTGGGTCCTGGCTTTGTGCTCACACAGGCTATGGGGAGGGTGGGCTCTAGGTCAGCTCTGCAAGGGGCCTGTCTCTGCGGCACCCACACTCCTGGGCTGCCAGGGAGGTCCTGGTTGTAGTCTGAGCACCATGGAGGTCCCCTCAGCCAGCAGAGGCCCAGGGCAGGGGGCAGGGGTTCTCCTTCATCCCAGAACCCAAACCTCAGGGCTCACCCCTGTGGCCTGTGACTGTCAATAAAGATTATCTTTGTAAAAATAAATAAATGATTGAATGAATGAATGAAAAATAAGTTAACCGGGCTTGGTGGCTTACGCCTATAATTCTAGCACTTTGGGAGGCTGAGGCGGGCAGATCACTTGAGGCCAGGAGTTCGAGACTAGCCTGGCCAACATGGTAAAACCCTGTCTCTACTAAAAATAAAAAAATAGCCAGGCATAGTGGCATGCACCTGTAATTCCAGCTACTCGGGAGGCTGAGGCATGAGAATTGCTTGAACTGGGGAGGCTGAGGCATGAGAATTGCTTGAACTGGGGAGGTGAAGTCTGCAGTGAGCTGAGATTGGACCACTGCACTCCAGCCTGGGTGACAGAGTGAGACACTCTCAAAATAAATAAATAAAGTTAAATTAAAAGAGTTTATCATTATCTTAATTATAATTCCAGGTACCAGACGCTGGATACTTGAGGTCAGTCTTTATTTTATTTTTTTTAGATGAAGTCTCGCTCTCATTTCCCAGTCTGGAGTGCAATGGCGCGATCTCGGCTCACTGCAACCTCCACCTCCCGGGTTCAAGTGATTCTCCTGCCTCAGCCTCTGAGTAGATGGAATTACAGGCATGTGCCACCATGCCTGGCTAATTTTGTATTTTTAGTAGAGATGGGGTTCCTCTGTGTTGGTCAGACTGGTCTCGGACTCCCAACCTCATGTGATCCGCCCACCTCAGCCTCCCAAAGTGCTGGGATTACAGGCGTGAGCCACCACGCCTGGCCTAGTCTTAAAGGATAGGATAGATTCATCCTCAGAGCAGCATTCAGTCTGGAGAACATCTGAGAAGCAAGTGGAGTGCAGTAGATTAAGGAGGGCAGGGATGGGCTTTGCCTGGTTTGTCCAGAGCCTCACTTTGGGCCTGGGCACAGGGATGTTACAGGGTCCCACCATGGTATCAGGCACACGTTTGAGTTGTAATTGATAATCACGTGACATGCCTGGGGAGCAGGACTTACCAGTAGAAAGGTGCCTGGGAGTCCAGAGGCTTGACTACAGTGTCTCTTAGGAGCAGAGGTATCCTTGTTTGGAGGCATAGTGTCTGTTTTCAGAGTGTGGCATGAGACCCAGTCACAAATCAGAGTGAGATCTTGCTTACCTAATATATATGCCTGAGATTCAGACATTTCTCCTGGCTTCCTATATTCCAGCCTGTAATGCCCAGGGTTTGTTCCACAGTTGCCTGAAGGTCTGGAGACAAGTCCCTGCCCTAGTGCTCAGCATTTCCCAGATTATAGTAAATTTTCTGAAGAGAAGTTTTGCTTCTGACTTGTCTGTCAAAGATAGAGTATTTTTTAATAGATAGGGTCTTGCTTTGTTGCCCAGACTGGAATGCAATGGCATGATCATAGTTCACTGCAACCTCAAACTCCTGGGATCAAGGGATCCTCTCGGCTTAGCCTCCCGAGTAGCTAGGACTGCAGGCACGTGCTGCTATGCCTGGCTTTTTCTGTTCTGTAAAGAGAAGTTCAGCCTCCCAAAGTGCTGGGATTGTAAGCATGAGCCACTGCACCCAGCCTAAGGATAGAGTTTTTTTTTTTTTAAATCTTACTGTGTTAATTTTCAAGCATATAAAAAGTATCCTTATATGCCCTTAATTTGGTTTCTTTTTGATTGAATTTACTATGAAAACTGGCAGTATTTTCTAGAACATTTTAAACATCAAATAAAATTTTTCTTTAATTTCTATCACCCTGAAATGTTGTCTGTTTAAGAAATTGACAGGTCTTGGATATCTCAAATGATTTGTATGGATTTTTGCCCTTTTTAAAAATAAATAAATAAATAGAGACAGGGTCTTGCCATGTTGACCAGGTTGATCTTGAACTCTTGGCCTCAAGCAGTCCTCCCACCTTGGCCTCCCAAAGTGCTAAGATTACAGGCATGAGCCATCAGGCCCGGCCGATTTTTGCCCTTTTAAGCTCAAGAAAATAGATAAGTTATCAATGAATAGTTACTGAGAAGAGGAGTGCCATACTATATATCTTGAGGTTCTGTGCATCAGAATTTGAATTTCAGTATTCTGTCTTACCTCCCTCAGTGCTGAGATGACTGAGTCTGCCATTGCATATCAGACCAGCCTTGGGCAGCAGACTTTCTTTATGCATAAGAGGCTAGGAAATCACATTGGACATCTCACTGGACAGGATTGAACACATGCATGCTTAAGTCTCCCATGTGGTGAATGAGAGTACCCTTGGCTGTGGTGAATCTCACTTAGTGCAGCTGCTTGAGTTCTTGGACTCCTTTGCAGCATGAGGATGAAGCTGTGTGAACCAAATCCTCTTTAGGATTAGAGAAGGGTACATTTCCTTATGGGAAGGTGAGAGACTGAGGAGCCCTCATTCTCCCTTACTGTGACTGCATTGTGGAGCAAACCTCAGTTCAGGTACCTGCTTAGGCCCTATATAATTTCTTGATGTGCCCATTGCTGGTATACAAGATCATACTTGTTTTTGCTGCCATGTTTTTCTTCTCACAGGGAAGCCAAGTTGAGATCAGATCCCATGAGGGTGAACACTGTGTGGGAACAGTACATCTTCTTAGTCATTTTCTGTATTCTAAAAATAACCCAGTATTCTATAAGGGAAATACCAGTTTTATATTTGAAACAATGGAGGAGG
The DNA here is from genome assembly GCF_000001405.40 of Homo sapiens. Taxonomy (NCBI): domain Eukaryota; kingdom Metazoa; phylum Chordata; class Mammalia; order Primates; family Hominidae; genus Homo; species Homo sapiens. Next base: position 49,314,022 of record NC_000003.12, on the reverse strand, counting down.
ATTCACTTTCTTCTTTGGCTGAGCGCAGTGGCTCATGTATGTAATCCCAGCCCTTTGGGAGGCTGAGGCAGGAGGGTTGCTTGAGTCCAGGAGTTTGAGACCAGCCTGGGCAACATAAGGAGACTGTTGCTATGGATTACCAAAAAAAAAAGGTAAAAATTAAAAACTTTAAAATAAGATTTACTTTCTTCCTTATGTCCTTATATAGATTCTAGCAGATTGATGAAATTGATAGCAATTTAAAATTTGGGCAATTAGCCCTTGAATTAATTTGAAAGTAGAAATCTAAAATAAGAGCCTGAAAAATATTAAAACATGAGTTTGAAACAGAGAGGTTACACTGGCAAATTTGAAGAAACAAAATTCTCCATAGAAGGCGTAGTGAAACCAAATTGCCATTTTTCTGTTCTCATGTCCTTATATCCAGCTATTTAATTTGCATCCAGCCTTTTTGGGGAAAGTCATCTCTTATTGCCATTTTTCTTTTTTTTTTTGAGATGGAGTTTTGTTCTTGTTGCCCAGGCTGGAATGCAATGGCACGATCTCGGCCCACTACAACCTCCGCCTCCTGGGTTCAAGCAGTTCTCCTGCCTCAGCCTCCCAAGTAGCTGGGATTACAGGCATGCGCCACTAGGCCTGGCTAATTTTTTTTATTTTTAGTAGAGACGGGGTTCCACCACGTTGGTAAGGCTAGACTCGAACTCCTGACCTCAAGTGATCCACCCACCTCAGCCTCCCAAAGAGGTGGGATTATAGGCGTGAGCTACCTCGCCTGGCCTTATTGCCATTTTTCTTTGCCTTTCACTAATAATTTTTAAAATTCAGGGAAGCAGTCCAGATGTGGTGGTTCACACCTATAATCCCAGCACTTTGGGAGGCCAAGGCAGGCAGATCACAAGGTCAAGAGCTTGAGACCATTCTGGCCAACATGGTGAAACCCTGTCTCTACTAAAAATACAAAAAAATTAGCTGGGTGTGGTGGCACGCGCCTGTAGTCCCAGCTACTCGGGAGGCTGAGGCAGGAGAATTGTTTGAACCCGGGAGGCGGAGGTTGCAGTGAGCCAAGATTGTGCCACTGCACTCCAGCCTGGCGAGAGAATGAGACTCCGTCTCAAAAAAAAAAAAGAAAAAAAAAAAGAAAAAAAATGTAGGGAAGTTTATGATTTGTAAATCAAACCAGGATGCTTGAAGATGAACCTTGTGGGGTTTTTTTTGTTGTTTTTTTTTAAGAGACAGAGTCTCACTCTGTCACCTAGGCTGGAGTGCAGTGGCACGATCTCGGCTCACTGCAACCTCCGCCTCCCGGTTTCACGCAATTCTCCTGCCCCTCAGCCTCCCCAGTAGCTGGGACTACAGGCACATGCTGCCATGCCTGGCTAATTTCTTTATTTTCTTTTTTTTTGAGACAGAGTTTCGTTCTTTTTGCCCAGGCTGGAGTGCAATGGCGCGATCTTGGCTCACTGCAACTTCTGCCTCCCGGGTTCAAGCAATTCTCCTGCCTCAGCTTCCCGAGTAGCGCCATCACATCTGGCTAATTTTTTTTTTTTTGAGATGGAGTCTCACTCTGTCACCAAGCTGGAGTGCGGTGGTGCAGTCTCGGCTTACTCCCGGGTTCAAGTGATGCTTCTGCCCCAGCCTCCCGAGTGGCTGGGATGACAGGCGCCCGCCACCATGTCCAGATAATTTTTGTATTTTTAGTAGAGATGTGGTTTCACTGTGTCTTGAACTCCTGACCTCATGGCCAGGCTGGTCTTGAATTCCTGACCTTGTGATCGTGACCTCATGATCCGCCAGCCTCGGCCTCCCAAAGTGCTGGGATTACAAGGGTGAGCCACCTCACCCAGCCTAATTTTGTATTTTTAGTAGTGACGGGGTTTCTCCATGTTGGTCAGGCTGGTCTCAAACTCCTGACCTCAGGTGATCCGTCTGCCTCGGCCTCCCAAAGTGCTGAGATTACAGGCATGAGCCACCACGCGCGACCTGGCTAATTTCTTTTGCATTTTAGTAGAGACAGGGTTTCACTGTGTTGCCCAGGCTGGTCTCGAACTCCTGAGCTCAGGCAATCTGCCTGCCTCAGCCTCCCAAAGTACTAGGATTACAGGCACGAGCCACTGCGCCTGGTCAGCCTTGTGGTTTTTCACACTGAAAGGGTATGTGGTGGTGTGGACTGATGTGACAGGAAGACCAGTTAATTTGTGGACTCTCACTTAAATAAAGTTTACCTTGAAGTAGTATGAATACAGGCTTTTTGTAATTTATTTTAACTTAATATGAAGAATATTTATTCCTTGAGAAGCAACCTAAGGCATTAAATAGGGCTTGCTCTTTGCAAAAAGTCAGTAGCATTGTTTCTGCTTCTCTCTCCCAGATCAAGCACTGCGCCTAGCAGAAATTTTACTACCTCTCCAAAATCATCAGCAAGTCCCTATTCCTCAGTGTCTGCCTCTCTCATTGCAAATGGTGATAGCACTAGCACCTGTGGGATGCACAGTTCCGGTGTCAGCAGGGGGTAAGAGCAGGTCCTTTCACTCTGCTTCCTTTCCCGTGGTCCTTTCCCAGGCTGTATCTTGAGAGCTCATCTGCTGCTCCACTAAGCATAGTGGGGTTAGAGTTCCTCATGGGAACATGCTACATGTAGTTTCTCACTCCATTTCATACCTACAGTAAAGTGTGCTTCCAAGTTCTGATCTGTGTTGCTTGTCCTCCTGTGAGCTGGTGTTTTCCCCACAGCCTACATCACAGGTAGTCTCGGAGGGTGGGGGGGTCACTGCATTTGTTTATGAAGGGATGGGCTGGCCCGTATGGCAGAATAGTTGTGAAGGGACAGTGCTCAGCTGTGGATGGCCGTGATCCTTTCTCCAGGCATTTCAGGCACACCTGCCACATGGCATAGATGTGGGGAAGAGGGTGAATGGGGTGAGGAAGTGTGCATGAACTTTCAGGGCCAGTCAAGCCTGGGTGTGGCCTGGTGGGTAGTAGCAGATGCAAGCTCTTAATAACTAAAATGGTCTTCCCTAAAGTCACCTGGCAAAATTAGCATTTGCCAAAGCCTAACAGAGGAAAATTCAAGTAGTGTTTCTTTCCTTAAGGATGTGCTTACCAGCTGCTAGTGTGTCAAGTAAAGGGTGGGGCAGGTCTGGAGGGCAGGGGAGGGAGTAGAGGGAATTTGCATCATGGGCTTACTACCACACAAGTTCTAGAGGCCCCCATAGGAGCCTCAAAAAGCATCTTGAGGGCATGTGTTATGCACTTGCTTTTATTGCTGATGTGTGTTGTGTTTTCCAGTGGATCTGGCTTTTCTGCTTCGTATAATTGTCAGGAGCCACCATCCTCTCATATACAACCTGGGCTCTGTGGACTTGGAAACCTGGGAAACACCTGCTTCATGAACTCCGCTTTGCAGGTAGAGGAGAGAACTTCCATTCAAATAACACAGCATCTTGAGGTTTGGGTGGAAGTGGCCTGCAAAGGTACTGGGTGGATCCTCTCCCAGGAGTCCCTGCCTACCCCTTGTTGGTGCTTCAGTAGTCTCTGCTAGGGCATCTCCCACTAGGTGGTATAGAATGGCTTCATCAGTGTTTGTGGACCCCAGATGTCTTTGTAGTCAGCTCTGTGTTTGGTTTTATAGTAAGATTATTTTGAATTTTACTGACTGTTGAGGTATGATCTCTCTAGAAAATATTGGAGTGCATCCCTGATTGGTCTCTGATGGGATGAGGAAAACTTACAGCAGGTGATGCCAAGCTCAATTATGCTTTGCTGAAGGCTGACTACCTTTTCACTAAAAATAGCTGTCCCAGCCGGGCGCAGTGGCTCACGCCTGTAATCCCAGCACTTTGGGAGGCAGAGGCGGGTGGATCACCTGGCCAATGTGGTGAAACCCCCATCTCTACTAATGATACAAAAATTAGCTGGGTGTGGTGGCATGCATCTGTAGTCCCAGCTACTCAGGAGGCTGAGGCAGGAGAATCACTTGAACCTGGGAGGCGGAGGTTGCAGTGAGCTGAGATTACGCCACTGCACTCTAGCCTGGGCAACAGAGTGAGACTCTGTCTCAAAAAAAAAAAAAAAAAAAAAAAGATTAAAAAAAAGTCCGGGGGCAGCACTGTGGCTCACGCCTGTAATCCCAGCACTTTGGGAGGCTAAGGCGGGTGGATAACCTGAGGTCAGGAGTTCGAGACCAGCCTAGCCAACATGGCAAAACCCCATCTCTACTAAAAATACAAAAATTAGCCGGGTGTGGTGGCACACGCCTGTAATCCAAGCTTCTTGGGAGGCTGAGGCAGGAGAATCGCTTGAACCCAGGAGACGGAGGTTGCAGTGAGCCGAGATTGCGCCATTGTATTCCAGCCTGGGCAACAAGAGTGAAACTCCGTTTCAAAAAAAAAAAAAAAAAAAAAAAAGCTGTCCCGCCCCATGCTCCTTACTAGAGAAAATCCAAAATCCCCTCTTTGAAACTTGCTTATTGGCCAGGCGCAATGGCTCACACCTGTAATCACAACTCTGGGAGGCTGAGGGGGTAGTATTGCTTGAGGCCAGGAGTTTGAAGCCAGCCTGAGCATCATAGCGAGACCCTGTCTCAAAATGGAAAAGAAAATAAACCTTGTTTATTAATTCATCAAATATTTATTGGGCATATATTATGTGACAGCACTGTAATAGTCATGGGCTGCAAGGAGTTAAAGTCCAGCTTCAAAGTTAGGAGGGCACAGTTCCCAAGACTGCCCTCATTTCCGAAACCAACTGCAAGTTTGCAGGTTTCCAAGACCACCCTTAGTTTTGGTAATTTGTTTAGAAGGAGTCACGGAATTTACTTAAAGTTATTATACTCATGATGATGGTTTACTGTAGTGAGAGGATGTAGACTAAAATCAGCCAAGGGAAGAGGCATATAGGGCAGAGGTCAGGAGGATCAAAATGTAGAGCTTCTGTTGTTTTCTACCTATGGAGTCAGTACATGGTACTTTCCTTTTTTTTTTTTTTTTTTTTGAGACAGCATCTCTTTCTCTGTTGCCCAGGCTGGAGTGCAGTCGCGCAATCTTGACGCACTGCAACCTCCACCTCCTGGGTTTAAGCAATTCTCATGCCTCAGCCTCCCGAGTAGCTGGGATTACAGGCACACACCACCACGCCTGGCTAATTTTTGTATTTTTAGTAGAGACAGGATTTCACCATGTTGGCTAACCAGGCTGGTCTCAAACTCCCGGCCTCAGGTGATCCACCCACCTCAGCCTCCCAAAGTGCTGGGATTACAGGCATGAGCCACCGTGCCTGGCCAGAACATGGTGATTTCCTGGCATTGATGTGTAATGATGCATATGGAGTACTGCAAACTATGGAAGCTCACGTGAGCTTCAGCGTCCAGAATTTTTACTGGGGCTTCATTATATAAATATGATTGACTGGCAGGGTGTGGTGGCTCACGCCTGTAATCCCAGCACTTTGGGAGGCCAAGGCGGGCGGATCATGAGGTCAAGAGTTTGACAACAGCTTGGCCAACATAGTGAAACCCCGTCTCCACTAAAAATACAAAAAATTAGCTGGGCATGGTGGCGGGCGCCTGTAATCCCAGCTACTTGGGAGGCTGAGGCAGGAGAATCTCTTGATCCCGGGAGGCGGAGGTTGCAATGAGCCAAGATCATGCCACTACACTCCAGCCTGGGTGACAGTGTGAGACTCTGTCTCAAAAAAATATATAATAAAGTATAAATATGATTGACTCATTACCTAGGTGAACTGATACCATGTGACCCAAAGCCCCCACCGTAAGTCACATTTTTGGTTTTTCTGGAGTGGCTAGCCCTTCTCACCCTAGGACTAGACTGTACAGTTCTGATCAGCCTCTTCTCCACCTCCAAAATTGTATTGTTAGGTTATCCAGTATGACCCAAGGCCCACCAGGCAAACAGACAGTCCTATCAGGCATAACATTCCAGGGGCAAATAGATTACCTCCCAGAAGCCAGGGGCAAAGCTAGACCTTCTGTTTGAGCAGAGCAAAATTCATTTTTTTTTTTCTTAGAGACAGGAACTCTCTCTGATGCCCAGGCTAGTGTGCAGTGGCATGATCATAGCTCACTGTAACCTTGAACTCCTGGGCTCAAGTGATCCTCCCACCTCAGCTTCCCAAATAGCTGGGACTACAAGTGTGTACCACCAGGCCTTGCTAATTGTTTTTTCTTTTTGTTTTGTATGTATGTTTTTTGTTTGTTTGTTTGTTTTGTTTTGTTTTGTTTTGTTTTGTGGAAACGGGGTCTCACTTATGATGCCCAGGCTGGTCTCAAACTCCTGGCCTTAAGCAGTCTTCCTACCTTGGCTTCCCAAAGTGTTGGGATTACAGATCTGAGCCACTGCACTTGGCCCAATATTCTTTACATAGGGACTCAGTGGTAAGCAAACCAGCAATGGTTTTTGTCCTCATAAAATTGATAATCTGGCTGGGCACAGTGGCTCACACCTGTTTCCCAGTGATTTGGGAGGTTCAAATGGGAGGATCACTTGAGCCCAGGAGTTTGAGACCAAGCCTAGCTAACATAAGCAAGACCCTATCTCTAAAAATTAAAAAAAAATTTTTTAAAGACTTACATTCTCACTTTTTTTTTTTTTTTGAGACATAGTCTTGCTCTCTTGCCCAGTCTGGAGTGCAGTGGTGCAATCTTGGCTCACAGCAACCTCTGCCTCCCGGGTAGCTGGGATTACAGGCATGTGCCACTACGCCCAGCTAATTTTTTGTATTTTTAGTAGAATGGGGTTTCACCATGTTGGCCAGGAAGGTCTTGAACTCCTGGCCTCAAGTGATCCACACTCCTTAGCCTCCCAGAGTGCTGGGATTACAGGTATGAACTACCACACCTGGCCTACAGTCTAACTTTGAATTTTTTTGTAGTGTGAGCAAAAACATAAAACATTTGTTAAAAGATTAGATAACCCTTGGGTTTTGAAATTATTTTCCGGCTGGGCGCGGTGGCTCCCAGCACTTTGGGAGGCTGAGGCAGGCGGATCACCTGAGGTCGGGAGTTCCAGACCAGGCTGACCAACATGGAGAAACCCCATCTCTACTAAAAATACAAAATTAGCTGGGCGTGGTGGCGCATGCCTGTAATCCCAGCTACTCGGGAGGCTGAGGCAGGAGAATCACTTGAACCCAGGAGGTAGAGGTTGCGGTGAGCTGAGATTGCGCCACTGCACTCCAGCCTGGGCAAAAAGAGCAAAACTCTGTCTCAAACAAAACAAAACAAAAAAATTATTTTCCTCTTGTGGTGAGGTGGAAGTAGCCTAGTACTGAAGAAGAGGTGTGATTTGGCTTCTCATGGGCAAGTTTTTCCAAGTCTTTGTACCCTCAATTTTCCTTAGCTATTATTGAGCGAGGATAATGATGAGTTTTATAGTTCTAAATGTAAATATTAGGGCAAAAAGGGTTAAAATTTCATGATTTAAGCTTCTATCTCATGATGCTAGGAAAAAGAACCCAAAGGAAGTAGGAGAGAACTAATAGCGTTAAGAACAGAAACTAATGAAAAAGGCTGGGCGCGGTGGCTCACGCTTGTAACCCCAGCACTTTGGGAGGCCAAGGTGAGCGGATCATCTGAGGTCAGGAGTTTGAGACCAGCCTGGCCAACATGGTGAAACCCCATCTCTACTGAAAATACAAAAATTAGCTGGGTGTGGTGGCCGGTGCCTGTGATGTCAGCTACTCAGGAGGCCGAGGCAGGAGAATCGCTTGAACTCAGGAGACAGAGGATGCAGTGAGCCAAGATCGCACCATTGCACTCCAGCCTGGACAAGATCGAAACTGTCTCAAAAAAAAAAAAAACAAAAAAAAACACTTTTTTCATTAAATAAGAATTATGCAATTATTCAGCTTTTTTCCTAAGGTAGTTTTTTTCAGAGACAAAGTCTTAGCCAATGCATATGCGGTCCTCTAAGACCACGTCCCTCCGAGATTAGCTGCAAGGGGTCCACCTTGCAGCTTGGCCTCCTTGAGGCTGTGCTTTACTGTCGTGAGCCTTCAGAGAATCTCCTGAGTGCCTCATTTTGTTGGCGTTGTCCCTCAGTGACCCTTTAGAACTTGATTTATCTTGTATCTCTGGTACTGTCTAGAAGGTGTGTAAAGCCCTCATCATGTTCTGTTTCAGTGTTTGAGCAACACTGCACCACTGACTGACTACTTTCTCAAAGATGAGTATGAAGCCGAAATCAACAGAGACAACCCTCTGGGGATGAAAGGGGAAATTGCAGAAGCCTATGCTGAACTCATTAAGCAGATGTGGTCTGGAAGGGACGCCCATGTGGCACCTCGCATGTTCAAAGTAGGTAGACATATATATATATGGGTTGGGTATCCCTGTATATAGATGCCTGGGACCAGAAATGTTTCGGGACTTCAGGTTTTTTAGGATTTTTTTTTATGGTATTTACATTATGCTTACTAGTTCAGCATCCCCATTCCAAAATCTAAAATGTTTCAGTGAGCATTTCCTTTGAATATCATGTCAGTGTTAGGTTATGGATCTTTAAGCATTTGGATTTCAGATTTTTGGATAAGGGATACTCTCCCGTACTTCCTTTTTCCCACTTTGGGGAGAGTGGTTTAGTGTTGTTATGAGGCATTCCTTTCGTTGCATTTTGGGATTAAGATGGGATCTGGGCCAGGCGCTGTGGCTCACGCCTGTAATCCCAGCACTTTGGGAGGCTGAGGCGGGCGGATCACAAGGTCAGGAGATTGAGACCATCCTGGCTAACATGGTGAAACCCCGTCTCTACTAAAAATACATAAAAAAAAAATTAGCTAGGTGTGATGGCAGGCGCCTGTAGTCCCAGCTACTCGGGAGGCTGGGGAAGGAGAATGGCGTGAACCCGGGAGGCAGAGCTTGCAGTGAGCCGAGATTGCGCCTCTGCACTCCAGCCTGGGTGACAGAACGAGACTCTGTCTCAAAGAAAAAACAACAACAACAACAAAAAAGTCCAGGCGTGGTGGCTCATTCCTGTAATCCCAGCACTTTGGGAGGCTGAGGCGGGCAGATCACGAGGTCAGGAGTTCGAGATCAGCCTGACCAACATAGTGAAACCCCGTCTCTACCAAAAATACAAAAATTAGCCAGGCGTGGTGGTGCGCACCTGTAATTCCAGCTACTCAGGATGCTGAGGCAGGAGAATTGCTTGAACCTGGGAGGTGGAGGGTGCAGTGAGCCGAGATCACGCCACTGCACTCCAGCCTGAGCGACAGAGTGAGACTCTGTCTCAACAACAACAACAACAACAACAACAAAATTAGCTGGACATGGTGATGTACCTGTAGTCCCGGCTACCAGGGAGGCTGAGGTGGGAGAATTACTTAAGCCTGGGAGGTCAAGGCTGCAGTGAGCTGTGATTGTGCCACTGTACCCAGCCTTGGCGACAGAGACCCTGTCTCTAAAAAAAATGAAAATTCAGTTTAATTTCTAGTATCATCTGAAGGCTGTTTCCAGGTTCTCTGAGCCTGGATTCTACAGGCTTCGTGGTTTGAGTTGGGACCCCCTAAGTCAGGAATTGGGCTCACATTCTTGGAAGGTGATGTGAGGGGCAGTTATCACTGGGGTCCCTCAGCCAGGAAGGTTTAAGGAGAAGACATGGATACACTCGGAGCAACTTGGGCTTTCCATTGCCCCAACTGCTTTTTCCTGCTGAGGTGGAGGTGCTTTGCTCCCTCCCGCTCAGCAGATTTAAGCTGAAATCTGAAAGATCCTATTTAGCCTGTACCACTGGGATTCATGGAGCTTCATGAAGCATATGATAAGAAAAGACATGCATATTTATGATTCAGAGAGGAAAAAAAATAGCACCTTAGCTCAGTGAGAAAACTAAAATCTCAGGTGGTTTGTTGAAATTGAAAACTAATTATCTTTCATCCCCTTGGTCACATGAATCCCTGGGAAATATATAAATGACTGTTCACATACTAAGTCACAAAGAAACTAGAATTGGGTGGCAACGGCTGGGTGCGGTGCCTCACACCTGTAATCCCAGCCCATGGGGAGGCCAAGGTGGGTGGATCACTTGAGGTCAGGAGTTCAAGACCAGCCTGGCCAATATTGTGAAACCCCATCTCTACTAAAAATACAAAAATTAGCCAGGCGTGGTGGCATATGCCTGTAATCCCAGCAACTCGGGAGGCCAAGGCATGAGAATTGCTTGAACCTGGGAGGCGGAGGTTGCAGTGAGCTGAGATTGCGCCACTGCACTCCAGCCTGGCAACAGAGTGAGACCCTGTCCCAGAAAAAAAAATAAAAAAGAATTGGGTGGCAACACACTGTGCTGAAGCTAATGTAAATAAACAACTGGAAGGTAGTGTTTAGGGGTATTAGGGAAGTGTGGAGCTTCCTCAGTGATGGATGTGTTATATATCTGCACTGTGTTTTGGTAGCTACCAGCTCAAGCACCTCTGAGCACTTGAGATGTGGTTCATTTGACCGAGGAACTGAATTTTTAATGGTTTTTAATTGTAATTAATGTAAATTTCAATTGCCATATGTGGCTAGTGGCTATGGTATTAGAGAACAGGTGTAGAACAGTGGTTCTCCTTTTTTTTTTTTTTTTTTTTTTTTTTGAGACAGCCTTGCTATGTCGCCCAGGCTGGAGCGTACTGGCACAATTTCGGCTCACTGCAGCCTCCGCCTCCTGGGTTCAAGTGATTCTCCTGCCTCAGCCTCCTGCGTAGCTGGGATTACAGGTGTGCACCACCATGCCCAGCTAATTTTTGTATTTTTAGTAGAGACGGGGTTTCACCATGTTGGCCAGGCTGGTCTTGAACTCCCAACCTCAGGTGATCTGCCTGCCTCAGCCTTCCAAAATTCTGGGATCATAGGCATGAGCCACCGTGCCTGGCTGGTTCTCCATAGGATGCATCACAATCTCTGGGAGTGCTTAATACAACACAGACTGCTAGACCCATCCCCAGAGTTTCTGATTGAATAGGTTTGGTGTGGGGCCTGAGAATGTGCTTTTCTACTAAGCTCCCAGGTGATACTAATGCTGCGACTGGGGACCATACTCTCAGAATAACTGGTGGAGAGTATTACTGGACAGACAGTATTTAGGGACCTGAGGGCTGTTATGTACAGGAGGATTCCTCCAGCTGATGAAAGTATTGTTTGTAATGTCCTTATGGAGTTTAAGACTCTGAACCAAAGAAGGACATGTTGGAGAGGGATTCATGTCAGTACTTGGGTGTGGTTACTCAGGGTACTCCACCCTTCCTCCTTAGGACTTAGGGCAGTGGCCCAGGTTCCAGGTTCATCCTCCTGGCTCTCTGATCTAGGCCTTCTTTCTGGTGGGAACCACTGGCCTCCTGTAGGCTCTTCAGGAGTTAATTGGACTACTCAACCAAGTGTTCTCTCTCACTGCCCCAGCTAACTCCTCAGAGCTATTTTTGATGGCAATTCTTTTTTGATTTAACTAGTTCTTTACGTATTATGCCTTCTGATACAGTTGCTTTTGTTGTAGACTCAAGTAGGACGTTTTGCTCCTCAATTTTCTGGCTACCAGCAACAAGATTCTCAGGAGCTGCTGGCCTTTCTTCTAGATGGATTGCATGAAGATCTGAACCGGGTAAAGAAAAAGCCCTACTTGGAGCTGAAGGATGCCAATGGGCGGCCAGATGCGGTATGCCATTAATGATGTCTGAATGATAATATGCCAAAGAAGCTGCCTCCTATTGAGAGTGCAGGGATATTCTTCTGGTCTTTGAGTGTTGTTGCCAGGGCCCTGGTTGCTTCTCACTGTAGCTAGTTATAGGGATATGGTCTCTGGTCAGAAAGGGGCTAACTGTAGTTACTGCTTTTTTTTTTTTTTTTTTTAAATAGAGACAGAAACTTGCTGTGTTGTCTAGGCTGGTCTCCAGCTCCTGAGCTCAAGCAGTCTTCTCACCTCAGCCTCCCAAAGTGCTGGGATTACAACAGGCGTGAGGCACTGTACCCTAGTTACTCCTAAGGCTTCCTCTTGGGCTTTTTCAAATTAGAGTGAGCTTGTTTGATATTTCACTGGTGAACTAGGGACTAAGAACACTCTGAAAACTGTAAAGTACCTATAGTGAGGACCCCTAAGATTGTTATTGCTCACAATAAAATCCATCCATGATTACTTAATTTGTTATTAGTATCATTAGGACATTTATACCTTTTGCCTTGATTATCTGATCAGTGCAAGAGGATTTTAGTATTTCAGCTACCCTATCACATTGGGATAATCAATATGAATGCTTTAAAGTAAAATTTAGATCTTCTTAGAAAAACTATGAGTTAGCTGAGCTGTAGTATAGATAAAAACTTTATTTTTAAAATTTATTTATTTATTTTTTTTGAGATGGAGTCTCACTCTGTTGCCCAGGCTGGAGTGCAATGACGTGATCTTGGCTCACTGCAACCTCCACCTCCCGGGTTCAAGCGATTCTCCTGTCTCAGCCTCTCAAGTAGCTGGCACTACAGCCACGTGCCACCATGCCCAGCAAATTTTTGTATTTTTAGTAGAGAGGGGGTTTCACCATGTTGGCCAGGCTGATATTGAACTCCTGACCTCTGGTGATCCGCCTGCTTCGGCCTCCCAAAGTGCTGGGATTTCAGGCGTCAGCCACCGTGCCCCGCCAAAAACCTTACTTTAGATCACTGGAAACATATAGGGGGGCTTTCCTTGCCCTGGCCATGTCTCTGTACCGATAGTGTTCTCCGGGCTTCTGTTTCTTATCAGGACACACAGACCCCTAGTTTCCAATAGGTCCTATGTTGCCAACCTTATTAAGTGTGAGGATTAGGGCGAGGCGCAGTGGCTTTCCCCTGCGGTTCCAGCACTTTGGAGGCTGAGGTGGGAGCATCACTTGAGGCCAGGAGCTCTAGAACTGTCTGGTCAACATAGTAAGACCCCCATCCCTACCAAACCTAAAAAAATTAGCCAGGCATGGTGATGCATGCCTATAGTCCTAGCTACTTGGGAGTCTGAGGCAGGAAGATCGCTTTGAGTCCGGGAGGTTGAGGCTGTAGTGAACCATGATCACGCCAGCCTGAGCGACAGAGCAAGACCATGTCTCAATCAATCAATATAATATATATTTGAAATATGTATATATATAAACATATATGTGAAATATATATATGTGTGTTGGGGTGGGGATTGGGCGTAGAGCTGGCATGTGGTATGAGTATGATACACTAAGAGTAGTCCTGGCCTTGTTTGTCCTGGATCAAGCTCTTGGCTGTACAGATTGCCACCTGATTCATCTCCAGGTTTGCTGTGAGTCATTCTGGATGCAGGGGCAAGGGGCTGAGAGGTGTTGAGAATGTCCTGTTTATCCCTTTGACGCAGGTGGTGGCAAAGGAAGCCTGGGAGAATCACAGGTTGAGGAATGATTCTGTGATTGTGGATACTTTCCATGGCCTCTTCAAATCTACTTTGGTTTGCCCAGAATGTGCTAAGGTTTCTGTGACCTTTGACCCATTTTGCTATCTAACGCTGCCACTGCCCTTGAAGAAAGATCGAGTTATGGAGGTTTTCCTGGTTCCTGCTGACCCTCACTGCAGACCTACTCAGGTGACAGAATCCACACCCTTATGGCACCCCTCACTGCAAGTGGTCTCCAGATCCCAGTGGGACTGCTCCTATCTGCTGCATTGGCTGCCTCTGAGTCCCCTTGGTACTTGCCTGGGTATGGGCCCTTGGCCTCCATCAGACCTTTGTCTAATCCCATATCATTTAAGGCCTATTGTGAAGGTCTTTGCAGCTTCTTTGCTTCTCTGTCACTTTTTTTTTTTTTGAGACAGAGTCGCTCTGTTGCCCATGCTGGAGTGAAGTGGCATGATCTCAGCTCACTGTAACGTCTTCCTCCCAGGTTCAAGCGATTCTCCTACCTCAGCCACTCAGTAGCCGGGATTACAGGCGTGTACCACCACGCTCAGCTAATTTTTGTATTTTTAGTAGAGACATAGTAGAGACAGGATGTTACCTTGTTGGCCAGAACTCCTGACCTCAAGTAATCTGCCCATCTTGGCCTCCCAAAGTGTTGGGATTACAGGCGTGAGCCACCGCACCCGGCCTCTGTCACTTTTTTGGCCACACTTCATTCACGCGACTAAAGTAACCTGATCTACTAAGTGGTTCTTGAATCTGAATGTTGGGGAACCAGAAGCACGGTTCTTTTCGTACTCAGATATACCCTCACATAACCTAGGACAGCCTGTACAGAAGATTAGGCCAGATGAGAGGTGTGAGCAGCAGGTCTTAGTGTCTTACCCTGCTGATGGCTCACTGAGTAATTGTATTGCTTAGCCTTCTGGTTTTGGTTTCTTTGTCTCTAAAGAAAGTTGAGGGCCGGGCGCGGTGGCTCACGCCTGTAATCCCAGCACTTTGGGAGGCCGAGGCGGGCAGATCACGAGGTCAGGAGATCCAGACCATCCTGGCTAACACGGTGAAACCCCGTCTCTACTAAAAATACAAAAAATTAGCCAGGCATGGTGGCGGGCGCCTGTAGTCCCAGCTACTCGGGCAGCTGAGGCAGGAGAATGGCGTGAACCCGGGAGGCGGAGCTTGCAGCGAGCCAAGATTGCGCCACTGCACTCCAGCCTGGGCGACAGAGCGAGACTCCGTCTCAAAAAAAAAAAAAAGTTGAGGCAGGCTGGGCACGGTGGCTTACCCCTGTAATCCCAGCACTTCAGGAGGCCGAGGCGGGCAGATCACGAGGTCAGGAGTTCGAGACCACCCTGACCAACATGGTGAAACCCTGTCTGTACTAAAAATACAAAAATTATCCAGGCGTGGTGGTGCGCGCCTGTAATCCCAGCTACTCAGGAGGCTGAGGCAGGAGAATCGCTTGAACCCGGGAGGTGGAGGTTGCAGTGAGCCAAGATCGCGTCACTGCGCTCCAGCTTGTGTGACAGAGCAAGACTGTGTCTCAGAAAAAAAAGAAAAAAGAAAAAAAAGAAAGTTGAGGCCGGGCTTGGTGGCCAACACCTGTAATCCCAGCACTTTGGGATGCTGAGGCGGGAGGATTGCTCGAGGCCAGGAGTTTGAGACCCTGTCTCTACAAAAAATAAAAATAAAATAAAAAGGTAGGACCAGATGGCAATTTGAATTTGTATAATTTCAGCAGTTCTTCAGAAAGTACTCTAAAGAATTAAGAATAAAATGAAGCAATGTTTGGAAGAGAAAGAGATGGCCTAGCCCCCATGCTGCTGCCTGTGTATTGAGGAGGATGCTGACATAGAGGTCCTGCTTATTTGCTCTGCTTCTGACTCATCTGTACCCTGACCTCACCATACATTGTTTCTAGAAGGGCTCCTCTGCCCCTAGTGATGCCTGCTTCTCCTAATGCATTTCGCACCCTTTGTGGGGCACCCCTGTGACCTTGACCATCTCTGTCTTGCAGTACCGTGTGACTGTGCCGCTGATGGGGGCTGTGTCCGACCTGTGCGAGGCTCTCTCCAGGCTGTCTGGCATTGCTGCAGAAAATGTAAGGCGGGGTGATCAGTGGCACTCGGTCTATTTGGGATACTTCATAGCATTTGGAGTTTACTTTCAACCTTGAAGCCACTTTTTGGGGTTGTTGTTATTGCCAGCACAAATGTGATTATTTGTGTGTGTCTGGATGCCTCACTCACTATGCACATTGTGACTGAGACTGTCCCTTCCAGCTCCAGGAAACACTATCTTTCCTTCATTGGGTTCACACTAGCCGTGGTCAAAGGACCAGGAGTAGGGCTCTGCTGTCAGATCTGTGCACTGAGGGTGGCATAGAGACTGCAGACTATGGAATACTCCAGAGGCTCTGGACAACTGCTGGTTTCTGGTTAGCACCACACTCCTCGCCCTTCCTGCCAGTCGAGGGCAGATGCTACCAGCATGTTCAATTCTGATGGCAGCCATGCTGCTCCCCCTTGGGCCTTGGCCCTCAGCTCTCTGGGGCTGTTTGTGTGGTGGTTTCTCTAGAGGCAACATTTGAGTATGAGTATTTTTTTTTTCATTTGTTTCTGGGTTTTAAGCAGTTAGTAGGGGCACTCTTAGCCATTCTGTGGTCTTTCTGTTACTGTTCATTCTTAGATGGTGGTCGCAGATGTGTATAATCACCGATTCCACAAAATTTTCCAAATGGATGAAGGTTTAAACCACATCATGCCTCGGGATGACATTTTCGTGTGAGTACTCAGCAGTTTCTGCTGCAGGTCAGGTCAGAGGACACATTCTAGAGACTTTGCTGCATTCATATCTCCAGAACAAAAATGTGGGCAGTCATTGCTCATGTGGATTGGCCCTGACCCCTGGGTGCAAGAGATGGGTATTGAGGGCATCGTGGGCAGCCATCAGTGCTCAACCCCTCCTGCCCTGCAGAGCTAAACATTCTGATAACTCTCCTCAGCACAGCCACAGCCTTTTTTCAACAGTTTTGCCTATGAAGAAGGCCAAATCACTGCTCCTACAGATGGTCCTACCATCAGAGATGCCTTTCTTAAGAGGAATCCCAGCTGTGTGATGGGAAGATGGTAGTAGGGGTGTGGTACGGAAGGATCTTGTCCTTTCTCTGCCACAGGCTGTAGCTTCTCAGCGAGTACCATGATACTACCATCCCCAATGCAGAAATGACAGGGCTGATTTAAACAGCTGTTTTCAGCTCAAACATTCTGTAAGCTCTGAGACTGAGTTTCTTCATCTCTGTGAGGACAATACAAAGGCCTCCTCTGCCTTCCCACATGCTGCTTCATGGCTGCTCTGTGTAATTGTGTGTGTGTCCCTCTTCCAGGCACAGTGGTGTAATAACTTGCCGGCTGCTCCCATACATGAACTTGCCTGCTGCTCCCAGGCAGCCACTTGCCCAGGAAGTATGGAGCACAGCCGTACTGTCCCTCCCTCTTTACCTCTCACTCAGGAACTTGCCTCTGCTGAGAAAGGGTTTTAGGATTTTGTTTTGGTTTTTGTTTTTGGCTGAGGAATTCAGTATGTAAAGGAGATAGTTCCTTCCCTTTACATTTTTGGGCCTATGACTTCTAGATCTCTCTAAAAGGAATAGTTCCTAGCCACACCCAAGATCTATTTCTGTTCTCACTTGCACAGACACAGCCAAGAGCTGACACTGTGCCAAGGGCTAGAACATGGGAAAGTCCACTTTCACATATAACCCCAAGCCCTTAACATGGTCTCTGTAAATTCCAGAAAGTAGTGTTTTCACACACCTGAGCTGAAAGGAACTGGAGGATTACCCTGTGGGGAGCTTAGCAGACCACCAACAAAGGAATTTTCAGAGGGCCTATGGGCCAACCATTGGAAAAACAAATTCTTTTATAGATGAATTTGAATTGACAATTGTTTTATGAAAGCAATAGTAGCATCTGGTATTTTTATTTTATTTTATTTTATTTTTTTAGACGGAGTCTCGCTCTGTCTCCCAGGCAGGAGTGCAGTGGCGCAATCTCGGCTCACTGCAAGCTCTGCCTCCCGGGTTCATGCCATTTTTCTGCCTCAGCCTCCCGAGTAGCTGGGACTACAGGCACCCGCCACCACGCCTGGCTCATTTTTGGTATTTTTAGTAGAGCCAGGGCTTCACCGTGTTAGCCAGGATGGTCTCAATCTCCTGACCTCGTGATCCACCCGCCTTGGCCTCCCAAAGTGCTGGGATTACAGGCGTGAGCCACTGTGCTCGGCCAGCATCTGGTATTTTTTATTTTTTATTTATTTATGTTTTTGAGATAGAGTCTTGCTGTGTCACCCAGGCTGGAGTACAATGGTGTGATCGTGGCTCACTGCAAGCTCCGCCTCCCAGGTTCATGCCATTCTGCCTCAGCCTCCTGAGTAGCTGGGACTACAGGCGCGTGCCACCACACCTGGCCAATTTTTTGTATTTTAAGTAGAGATGGGGTTTCACTGTGTTAGTTAGGGTGGTCTCGATCTCCTGACCTCGTAATCCGTCCCCCTCGGCCTCCCAAAGTGCTGGGATTACAGGTGTGAGCCACTGTGCCCGGCCTGCATCTGCTACTTTTTAATGTGTTGTACACTGTGCTACTAAATTATTTAATTCTTACCACACCTTTTAAAGTGGGTAATCCCATTGTCCACCGAATAAATAGACTAAGAAGTTAGGTGCTTATTACTAGCAGCCAGAAAATGGCAATGTGGACCTGGAACCTGGGGCAGGTGCACTCCAAGGCCTGGTTCTTTACCACTATGCTGGACCACAGTATTTACTCGAGAGCACACCTTGGACATTTTTATGTATTAGAAATTCCTCCTTCATAAACTTCAGTCAGGACTGTTTGCTAGGCATTTGGGGAGGGGGGGGTGTGTGTGTGTGTGTGTGTGCGCGCGCGCGCGCACACGTGCATATGTTTAGTTTCAAAATTTGAATCAGTAAGTTTGTGTCTCCCCCTATAGGAAGAGGGAAAGACTACAGTCGGTTGCCAGCAATTTTGGTAACATCTGTTCCAGGATAAAACATCTATAAATCTCCTCAATCCCATGTATTCACTAAGTAAGACACATTTTTCAAAATCATTGATTTGTATCTAGCAGTTTCTTTGGTTATCTCTGATGTTTTTCAGAATTAGATACGATTCTTTCACTTCAGTGTTTTTGAACAAAGATGACAATTACTTTTATAAATTTGCTTGCTCATTTGGAAAAAAAGAGTTTGGCTAATATCCTAGGTGTACATCTTTGTACAATATTTGGTCTTATTAAAGGGCAGGGCACTCAATGCTTTTTTTTTTTTTTTTTTTTTTTTTTTTTGAGATGGAGTCTCGCTCTGTTGCCCAGTCTGGAGTGCAGTGACAAGATCTTGACTCACTACAAGCTCCGCCTCCTGGGTTCACACCATTCTCCTGCCTCAGCCTCCCGAGTAGGTGGGACTGCAGGTGCCCACCACCATGCCCGTCTAATTGTTTGTATTTTTAGAAGAGATGGGGTTTCACCGTGTTAGCCAGGATGGTCTCAATCTCCTGACCTCGTGATCCGCCCGCCTTGGCCTCCCAAAGTGCTGGGATTACAGGCGTGAGCCACCGCGCCCAGCCAACTCAATACATTTTTTAAAGATGAGCTCTTTGATGACAAAAGATGAACTTGGTGGCTGGACCCAGCTGTGTGCCTTTGTGTTCAGAGTGATGATCTGAATGATGGCTGTTATCTGTGTTGGGTCCCAGTTGAAGGACCACAGAGTTTGAGGCCGTGGTTGGAAGAAGGAGTATCACGGTTAGCCCTCAGCCCCAGGTTGTATAGGTTCACATTGTGCTGACAATGGTCCTTCTAGGGATTCCTGACTCAACCTCTAGAAACGTCTTGGCAATAGTTATAGCCACCTTTTCTACTCAAATATGCTCTGTCCCAGTAATCATAGCCCTGGCCACCACATAGCTTCAGCTCAGATCTCTGTTGTTCACAAGGACCTACTGCTAAAAGTGCCCTCTTGTGTGATTGACGCAGGTACGAGGTCTGCAGCACTTCCGTGGATGGCTCGGAATGTGTCACGCTTCCAGTCTACTTCAGGGAGAGGAAGTCCAGGCCATCAAGCACTTCCTCCGCATCAGCGCTATATGGGCAGCCACTATTGCTTTCTGTCCCCAAGCACAAGTTAACCCTTGAGTCTTTGTACCAGGCTGTTTGTGATCGTATCAGGTTGGTGGCAGGAATGTGATTTGGTTGTTATCTGAGATGAAGATATACCCAGTAATAGTAGTGGCAACTCCTGCCAAGTGGCTGTGTTGATCCTACATGCTCACCTCTGTAAGAAATGCATTTGCCGGGTGCAGTGGCTCATGCCTGTACTCCCAGCACTTTGGAAGGCCAAGGCGGGCAGATCACCTGAGGTCAGGAGTTTGAGACCAGCCTGGCCAAGATGGTGAAATCCCGTCTCTACTAAAAATATAAAATTAGCCAGGCATGCTGGTGGGTGCCTGTAATCCCAGCTGCTCGGGATGCTGAGGCAGGAGAATCGCTTGATTCTTGATTCTCCTGGGAGCTAGAGGCTGCAGTGAGCTGAGATCGCGCCACTGCATTCCAGCCTGGGTGACAGAGTGAGACTCCATCTCAAAAAAAAAAAAAAAAATGCACTTGTGCCAGCCCCTGGATGGGCCAGGGCAGGTGCTATTGGGATGAGCCACCTGGCACATCTTAGG
Organism: Homo sapiens; assembly: GCF_000001405.40. Classification (NCBI taxonomy): domain Eukaryota; kingdom Metazoa; phylum Chordata; class Mammalia; order Primates; family Hominidae; genus Homo; species Homo sapiens. The sequence continues at coordinate 49,293,906 of NC_000003.12, read as the reverse complement.
TACCGTGATCCTAGGAGTCCAGTCCTCTTAGAATCATGTTAGGGAGGCTAGCGCTTTGATGGCATTTGTATTTTATTTCTGAAGTGTTCCACTATCGTTCTGAAGCTGGAAATTAGGATTATTGGGAAATACCTTCAAAACTGATGGTGCCACATGACTTTCACATAAGACTCGAGACAAACTTTCTTAAGAGTCTTCATTGGCTAATTTCTTGTGGGTTTTTTTTTTTTCCTTCCGAGATGGAATCTTGCTCTCTCGCCCAGGCTGGAATGCAGTGGCACGATCTCGGCTCACTGCACCCTCTACCTCCCAGGTTCAAGTGATTCTGCTGCCTCAGCCTCCCAAGTAGCTGGGATTACAGGCATGTGCCACCACGCCCGGCTAAGTTTTGTGTGTGTATGTTTTTGTTGTTGTTGTTGTTGTTTGTTTGTTTGTTTGTTTTTTTGAGATGGAGTTTCACTCTGTTGCCCAGGCTGGAGTGCAGTGGCACAATCTCGGCTCACTGCAACCCTCACCTCCCAGGTTCAAGTGATTTCCAGCTAATTTTTGTATTTTTAGTAGAGAGGAGGTTTCACCGTGTTGGCCAGGCTAGTCTCAAACTCCTGACCTCAAGTGACACTCCCATCTCAGCCTCCCAGAGTGCTAGGATTACAGGCATGAGCCACCGTGCCTGGCCAAACTTTTGTATTTTTAGTAGAGATGGGGTTTCACCATGTTGGCCAGACTGGTCTGGAAATCCTGACCTCAGGTGATTGCCCACCTCGGCCTCCCAAAGTGCCGGCATTACAGGTGTGAGCCACCATGCCTGGCCATTTGTGTTTTTAATTTCTTAAAATATTGAGCCACTGTGTTATTTTATTTTATTTTATTTATTTTTTGAGACAGAGTTGCTCTCTGCCCAGGCTGGAGTGCCTAGTGGCATGATCTCGGCTCACTGCAACCTCTGCCTCCCACGTTCAAGTAATTCTCCTGCCTCAGCCTCCTGAGTAGCTGGGATTACAGGCATGTGCCACCATGCCCAGCTAATTTTTTTAGTTTTACTAGAGATGGGGTTTCACCATGTTGGCCAGGCTGGTCTCGAACTCCTGACCTCAGGTGATCCACCTGCCTTGGCTTCCCAATGTGCTGGGATTAGCCACCACACCTGGCCCAGTGGATAATTCTAAAGCACTTCTATTTACATAAATTGCTTTGTCAGTAGCTATCATCCATATAAATTATGAACTACTTCTTAGCCGCATGGTGGAAAAAATAGATAAATGTTACAACTAACAATCTTTTTTTTCTTCTCTTTTTCTCTTTTTGAAGCCGCTATGTGAAACAGCCTTTACCTGATGAGTTTGGCAGCTCACCCTTGGAGCCAGGGGCCTGCAATGGCTCCAGGAACAGCTGTGAAGGTGAGTATGCACCATGCTCTGTGGCTGTGACTGACCAAATACCTCCTGATTTCCCTCTTCTTCTAAAGGTGTTACACACATGGGAGAAGGGGGTTGGGACTGGGTTGGGGCTCTGCCTACAGCAGCAGAGTTAGGAGTTAGGTCTACAACATTCTACTCTGCCAGTGCCTGTTGTCCAACTTTGCTACCTTGTGGAATCTTCCTTTTTTTTTTTTTTTTTTCCAGATAGGGGTCTCATTCCTGTCACCCAGGCTGGAATGTGGTGGTGCAATCATGGCTCACTGTTACTTCAGACTCTTGGGCTTAAGTGATTGTCCCACCTCAGCCTCCAGAGTAGCTGGGACTACAGGTGCATGCCACGACACCCAGCTAATTTTTAAATTTTTTGTGAAGACCAGGGGTTGGCCGGGCGTGGTGGCTCACGCCTGTAATCCCAGCACTTTGGGAGTCCGAGGAGGGCGGATCACGAGGTCAGGAGATCGAGACCATTCTGGCTAACACAGTGAAACCCCGTCTCTACTAAAAATACAAAAAATTAGCCGGACATGGTGGCGGGCACCTATAGTCCCAGCTACTTGGGAGGCAGGAGAATGGCGTGAACCCGGGAGGTAGAGCTTGCAGTGAGCCAAGATCGCGCCACTGCACTCCAGCCTGGGCGACAGAGTGAAACTCTGTCTCAAAAAAAGAAAAAAAAAAGGACCAGGGGTCTTGCCATGTTGCTCAGGCTGGTCTTGAACTCCTGACCTGAAGCAATACTCCTGCCTTAGCCTCCCAGAGGGCTAGGATTACAGGTGTGAGCCACCCCACCTGACATGTCACTCTTCTTTTTGGGACTTACGTGACTCAGTGGCTTTCTGTAAAACCATATATGTCTTTCAAGCTAGTGCTGTAAATTTTTTCTTTTCTTTTTCTTTCTTTCTTTTTTTTTTTTTTTTTGAGACGGAATCTTGCTCTGTCGCCCATGCAGGAGCGCAGTGGCGCGATCTTGGCTCACTGCAACCTTTGCCTCCTGGGTTCAAGCAACTCTCTACCTCAGCCTCCCAAGTAGCAGGGATTACAGGCGCATGCCACCATGCCTGGCTAATTTTTGTATTTTTAGTAGAGATGGGTTTTCACCATCTTGGCCAGGCTGGTCTTGAACTCCTGACCTCATGATTCACCTGCCTCAGCCTCCCAAAATGCTGGGATTACAGGTGTGAGCCACTGTGCCCAGCTTTTTTTTTTTTTTTTAAGAGTAGGGTCTTGAGGCTGGGTGCGGTGACTCACACCTGTAATCCCAGCACTTTGGGAGGCTGAGGTGGGTGGATCACGAGGTCAGGAGATCGAAACTATCCTGGCTAACACAGTGAAACCCCATCTCTGCTAAAAATACAAAAAATTAGGCGTGGTGGTGGGCACCTGTAGTCTCAGCTACTTGGGAGGCTGAGGCAGGAGAATGGCGTGAACCCGGGAGGCAGAGCTTTCAGTGAGCCAAGATCACGCCACTGCACTCCAGCCTGGGCGACAGATTGAGACTCCGTCTCCAAAAAAAAAGCGTAGGGTCTTGATTATCACCCAGTCTGGAGTGCAGTGGTTCAATCATGGTTTACTGCAGCCTCAACCTGCCAGGCTCAGGCTATCCTTCCACCTTGCCCTCGTGAAGTGCTGGGATTACAGGTGTGAGCCACTGCGCCCAGCACATAAATTCTCAGTTGCAGACGGGTGCGATGGCTCATGCCTGTAATCCCAGCACTTTGGGAGGCCAAGGCAGGCAGATCATCTGAGGTCAGGAGTTCGAGACTAGCCTGGCCAACACGGTGAAACCCTGTCTCTACTAAAAAATACAAAATTAGCCAGGCATGGCAGTGTGTGCCTGTAATCCCAGCTACTTGGGAGGCTGAAGCACGACAATCTCTTGAACCCAGGAAGCGGAGGTTGCAGTGAGCTGAGATTGCATCATTGCACTCCAGCCTGGACAACAGAACAACATTCCATCTCAAACAAAAACAAAAACCAGCAAAAACAAAAAATTATCAGTTGCAAAACCAAATGTCCAGATTCCTCCAAGACATGCAGTCCTAGAAAGTGAGAACTGACTTTAACTAATTAATTTATTTCTATATGGAGTCCACTTTGTTGGCCAGGCTGGAGTGCAGTGGCACAATCTTGGCTTACTGCAGCCTCAGTCTCTTGGGTTCAGGGGATTCTCCCACCTCAGCCTCCCAAGTAGTTGGTACTATAGGTGTGCGCCACCACACTTGGCTAGTTTTGTATTTTTAGTAGAGACGGGGTGTCTCCATCATGGCGAGTCTGGTCTCGAACTCCTGACCTCAAGTGATCTGCTCACCTTCGCCTTCCAAAGTGCTGGGGTTACAGGCCTGAGGCTGTCATCAAGAGATACTCCAAATTATTTTTGGTATTTTAGGGTTGAATATGGCTGGAATACAGTGGCGCAATCATGGCTCACTGCAGCCTTGACCTCCTGGGCTCAAGCAATCCTCCCACCTCATCCACCTGAGTAGCCAGGACTACAGGAATGTGTCACCATACCCAGCTAATTTCTTTTTCTTTTTTTTTCTTTTTTGTGGAGACAAGCAAGGTTTTCCCATGTTCCCCAGGCTGGTCTTGAACTCCTGAGTTCAAGCAATCCACCCACCTTGGCCTCCCAGAGTGCTGGGATCATAGGCGTGAGCCGCCACACATGGCCAATATTTGGATTCTCTTTTTTTTTTGAGACTGAGTCTCACTCTGTCACCCAGGCTGTAGTGCAATGGTGGGATTATAGGCGCCCACCACCATGCCCGGCTAATTTTTGTATTTTTAGTAGAGATGGGGTTTCACCATCTTGGCCAGGCTGGTCTCGAATTCCTGACCTCAGGTGATCCATACACCTCGGCTTCCCAAAGTGCTGGGATCACAGGCATGAGCTACTGCACCCGGCCTCAATATTTGGCTTCTTATTCTTGCCCGAAATGTTATGTTCATTTCCCGCTAGGGATAAGTAGGAATACATTTTGTTTATAGGTCCAGCAGCAGAGGTGTTGGAATGGTAATAGGTCTCTGAACAGCCCCTGGGTGATCTGTGGTACTCTGGAAGCTAAGGCACTCTGATCCCCAGCTCAAGGTGTGGGGTGGACTTGAACAAGTCACTTCATCCCTCTGAACCTTGGTTTACCTGTCTGCAAAAGGATATCTGCTTCACAGATCTGCAATTACAATTTGAGGTCATGCGATTAAAGGACAGGGCACATGAAAGGCACTCAATCAGTAACAACATCTTGTGAGTGTGTTTGCTATTTTTACTCCTAACCCTGTTTCTTAGGCATGTCCGGGACAATGAGTGTCACCTTTTGAATCCTACAGGTGAATCTTGGTGTGTAGACTTCAGACCTTGTTTAAGCACAAAGGTTTTTTTGTTTGTTTGTTTTCTTTTGCTCTGTCGCCCAGGCTGGAGTGCAGTGGCACAATCTCAGCTCACGGCAACCTCCGTTCCCTGGGTTCAAGCAATCCTCCCACCTCAGCCTTTTGAGTAGCTGGGAACTACAGATGTGTGCCACCACGCCCAGCTAATTTTTCTTTTTTTTGTAGAGACAGGGTTTCTGCATGTTTCCCAGGCTTGTCTCGAACTCCTGGGCTCAAGCAATCCATCTGCCTCAACCTCCCAACGTGCTGGGATCATAGGCGTGAGCCATTGTGCCCGGCATAACCACAAAGCATTTTTAACCTCTACTGACATGGCTCCTTGTTAGGCCTGTGACTGCTGACCTTTAGGTCCCCTGCTGATTTTCTGAGTGACTTTGGGTAGCTGCTTTCAGTGGATCCTGCTTTTTCTTTTTCTTTTCTTTTCTTTTTTTTGAGGTGGAGTTTTGCTCTTGTTGCCCAGGCTGGAATACAATGGCGTGATCTCAGCTCACTGCAACCTCCGCCTCCCAGGTTCAAGTGATTCTCCTGCCTCAGCCTCCCGAGTAGCTGGGATTACAGGCACCTGACACCATGCCTGGCTAATTTTTGTATTTTTAGTAGAGATGGGGTTTCACCATGTTGCTCAGGCTGGTCTTAAACTCCTGACCTCAGGTGATCCACCTGCGTCAGCCTCCCAAGGTGCTGGGATCATAGGCTGCTTTTTTTCTCATCCTGTGAAATACAGTCCATGGCATTTAATTCTGACTGCATTGGCCCAAGGCTCCTGGCATTATCCAGGTAACTGGCAGCCAGTGGCATGGGCCAGGACAGAGTTCTTATAAGTATGAGGGCACTGCTCATTTCCTGAGTGGGATAGAGGCAGTTTTGGGTTCTGCCCTTCTCCGAGAGGCAGCAGGCAGGGCAGGTTTTTTCTTGCCAGTGTAGGAGGGGGACAGGCTTATTGTGTGTAAAGGGACAGTGTCATATCTCAGGAATTAAGCAAGTTCGGAAAGGAACCTCCATGAGAGCCAGGGGTTGTGGGCTCTTAAATAGCACATTCTCCTTTTCTCAGAATTTCCATTTTTACTGATCAAGTATGTAGATTCTTTGTTTTAAATCTGCTCTTCTCTGTTACTTTTACACCACCTTTTGGAGTGGTCCCCATCTTTGCTAAAGTTACTTATTTGATACTTTAACTTTCACTTTAGACTGTGTGCTCCCCTTATGGAGCCCTGGAACCTAGCATGGTACCTGCACCTAAGAGACCTTTAGTAAATACTAAAGGAAAATTCATGATAGGTTTTTTTCTGGAGGAACGGAATACTTAATATTTGTGTTTATTATAATATTTGAAAATAGCTGGGCCTGGTGGCTGACGCCTGTAATCCCATCATTTTGGGAGGCCGAGAGGGCAGATCACTTTAGGGCTGGAGTTCGAGACCTGCTTGGCCAACATGGAGAAACCCCGTCTCTACTAAAAATACAAAAATTAGCTGGGCGTGGTGGTGCGTGCCTGTAATCACAGCTATTCAGGAGGCTGAGGCAGCAGAATTGCTTGAACCTGGGAGGCGGAGGTGGCAGTGAGCCGAGATTGCACCAATGTACTCTAGCCTGGGCAACAGAGTGAGACTCCACTTCAAAAAAAAAGGCAATTGACCTTTAAGTTGTGTTTCTTGGCCGGGTGCAGTGGCTCGCACCTGTAATCCCAGTACTTTGGGAAGCCGGGGCGGGCGGATCACGAGGTCAGGAGCTAGAGACCATCCTGGTGAACATGGTGAACCCTTGTCTCTACTAAAAATACAAAAAAGTAGCCGGGTGTGGTAGCACGCACCTGTAGTCCCAGCTACTTGGGAGGCTGAGGCAGGAGAATTGCTTGAACCCAGAAGGCGGAGGTTGCAGTGAGCTGAGATCACGCCATTGCATTCCAGCCTGGACGAAAGAGTGAGACTCCGTCTCAAAAAATAAATAAATAAATAGGGCCAGGTGCAGTGGCTCACGTCTGTAATCCTAGCACTTTGGGAGGCCAAGGCCGGTGGATCATCTGAGGTCAGGAGTTCGAGACCAGCCTGACCAACATGGTGAAACCCCGTCTCTACTAAAAAGATATAAAAATTAGCTGGGCATGGTGGCGCACACCTGTAATCCCTGCTACTCAGGAGGCTGAGGTAGGAGAATCGCTTGAACCTGGGAGGTGAAGGTTGCAGTGAGCCGAGATCGTGCCATTGCACTCTAGCCTGGGTGACAGAGTGAGACTCCATCTCAGATAGATAGATAGATAGATAGATAGATAGATAGATAGATAGATAGATAGAGTGGCTAGAGTGAGACTGTCTCGGATGGATAGATGGATGGATGATGGATGGATGGATGGAAGGAATGGATGGAATGGAAGATAGATAGTGTTTCTTACCAAGCTGTCTTCTTGAGTGTTGAGTGTGCGTTTCATTTAAGCCCTTTTCTCTCTGTGGGCCTAATGGTGAAGTTGCAAGAGTGAGAGACCATGTGCTGTGATGGCCAGTAGACAGGATGGCAGGGCTTCTGAATCTCATTGTGCCTGCAGGTGGCTCATTTAAGCTCTCTGAGACTGCCTCCTCATCGTGGAATAGCAGTGCCCAGTCTGCCTGTCTTGCAAGGGTGTGGTGAGAGTCACATGTGAATTCAAGTTAAATGCAAAGGAATAGATTTAACTTCATATACACAGAACAAAATCTGGAAGGAAACACCATAGTTATGTATTAAATAAAATTTTTAACATTGAAATGGTAGGAAATTATATACATATTGTTTTCCATTTATGTGCCAGGAGAAGATGAGGAAGAAATGGAGCATCAGGAAGAAGGCAAAGAGCAGCTTTCAGAAACAGAAGGCAGTGGGGAAGATGAGCCAGGAAATGACCCCAGTGAGACCACCCAAAAGAAGATCAAAGGCCAGCCCTGCCCAAAAAGGCTTTTTACCTTCAGTCTTGTGAACTCCTATGGAACAGCTGACATAAATTCACTTGCAGCTGATGGAAAACTACTTAAACTCAACTGTAAGCACTTTTTCTGACCTTTCAAGCTGGGCTTTAGGGTCTTAGGATCTGTTTGAAAATCCTTACACTTGACACTCACTGCATTGGGCTTTCACAGTCTCTGTGCCTCCAGGAGCAGCACTTGTATGACCCTTGGCTTGAAGCCCCCTAAGGACTGTTTCAGAGATCCCCCTACCTTTCAGGCTTTTCTCCTCAGTCCTCGATGACCTCAGAGGAAAGTAGGTCTCCCTCCACTCCCTCTGCGGGAATTTGCTGTGGGTCGATAACCTTTCCTGTGGCCACCCTTGGCAGCAACATTTCCCCATACTTGCTCACTTATAAGAATAAGCGCATATTTATTTTGTTCATTAATACTCACGAAATGTACCCATTCAGAGGATGGTCATGGATTTTGTAGCCTCACCGACACATGGAGGTTGTAATGGGGACTGCTCTACAGACAGGAAGAGGCATTCTGAGGGGTTGTGTGAAAAGCACAATTGGCCAGTGAGGACACCTTTGCCAGTTAGGGGAGGAGAAGCATCTCTGTCTTTCAGCTCCCTTCCCACCTCACCCTCCTGAGTAGCTGAGACTACAGGTGTGCACCACCACACCCAGCTAATATTTGTAGTTTGTGTAGAGACAGGGTCTCACTATGTTGCCCAGGCTGGAATGCCTTGCAAATTCTAGCCATCTTCTCAAACTCCAGTCTTTGACTTTTCAGCTTAATCTTCCCCTCTCTCCCCTATGCTAAGTCCTGGAAACTGCCTGCAGGCAATAAGCTAGGGCGATGTAGGGGTCTCTTTTTTTTTTTCCTTCTGTCAGGGATCTCCTTCCTGCTCTATCCAATGTCTGAAAACAATTGTTTCATCCATTTTGTCAGTTTTTTTGTGGTTTATGGTAGGATGATAAATCTGGTCCCTATTACTCCCATCTTGACCTGTGCCCTTTCAGAATTCTCCACAGTTAGTTCCTTCGTAGCTTATCTGTATCACTGAGGAAGTCTTTGCCAAAGGCTTTTTGGGGCTGGGGGTCAGAAGGGCTGGCCCATTGCAGAGCATTGCTCTTGACACTGGCTGCTGATGGGGGAGAAGGTGTTGATGGTGTGGCCTGAGTGTGGTCCTTCTCACTCCTGTCACTTGGAGAGCCTTTCCTGTTGCTTGCCATTCCATAACAAGTGACATTTTGGTCCTCCTCAGCTCGATCTACACTGGCCATGGATTGGGACAGTGAAACTCGGAGACTTTACTATGATGAGCAAGAATCTGAGGTAGGTCCCTCGGGGTTCGTGGTCGGTGGTGTCTGCTGGTTTCTGCTCTGGATGTGGACTGCGATCACTTTCACCAGTTGGACAGCAATTTAGCAAGTTATATTTAAGACTGAGAAGGAAAAGCACTTCAAGATTTTGTCATTTTATATTCAGAGGCTCTAGAAAGTGTACTACATTCCAGGTGGGAGAGCCTCTGTAGGCCTTCATGTCTTAATGCAGTAAGATCTCTTTCTCCAGCAGAACTGAGTGCTTTGATTCCCATAGGCCTACGAGAAGCATGTGAGCATGTTGCAGCCTCAGAAGAAGAAGAAGACCACAGTGGCCCTGAGAGACTGCATCGAGCTCTTCACCACCATGGAGACCCTTGGGGAGCATGACCCCTGGTACGCAGCTCCTCACTGTCTGGGCAGAGGCCCCATGCACCCCAGGACTCAGATCTGCTAGGGCCATCTGTGCACATAAACCCCTTTGTATTTGGATGTGTCACTTCTTTATATAGCTAACCCTACAACATAATCCTCTGTGAGTTGAGGTTTCCAAGGAAAGCCGTCACCCCATTTTGGAAGACAGGTCCCTGGCCAGAAGCAGTAGTGTTGAGTGCTGACCGAGAGGATGGCAGCTATCAGGGGACTGCAGCTGTGCCTCCATGCATGAGTGCCCAGGTGGCACTGGCTGCCGGCTTGCCCTGCTAAGTGGAGGTTTCTCTTTTTAGGTACTGTCCCAACTGTAAGAAGCATCAACAGGCCACAAAAAAGTTTGACCTATGGTCCTTGCCCAAGATCCTGGTGGTCCACCTCAAACGTTTCTCCTACAACAGATACTGGAGGGATAAGCTCGACACAGTCGTAGAATTCCCAATCAGGTGGGTCATGGTGACTACAGTGTTAGGAACATTTAAAAACAGGCAGAAAATCTTGGCACTGATTGGCTGAGTGGTTTGCCACCAAAAACTTTTCTGAGTAAGGATGTGTGTTGCCGGGGTCTAGGAGGTCAGAGTTTAGCTGTAGTTACCCCTTCTGTCCCTATCCTCCCATCTTTGGGGAAGAGACTCTCCAGTGGAAGCATTTGCCCAGACACAGGCTGCTGCCAGTCACCCCTGCCACTGCTAGTTTCCCTCTCGAGTCACTTAGGCCACCTAACTGGCCTTCCTGTCCATCATCTGTCACAGGTAGCCTCACCTTAGCAGAGGCAGCACAACAGGGGACAAGGCAACCAAGAATAGCCTGTCAGGTAGAGTTGGGTTATTATTGGGGGCTGCAGGTGGGCTGCACACCTGCCATGATCCTGTCCCTGGGGTAGGGATTGGGACTGGCTGTCTACTCATATCCTCTCAAGCCCCACAGTACAGACTGTAACTAAGAACAGGAAAGTAAGTTAACAGATAGATGTTCCCTGGCTGGGCACAGTGGCTCACATATCATCAATTTGGGAGGCCAAGGTGGGAGGATCACTTGAGCCTAGGAGTTCAAAACCAGCCTGGACAACATAGAGAGACTTCCTCTCTACAAAAAATAAAAAATATATTTAAAAAAATAGGCTGGGCACGGTGGCTCATGCTTGTAATCCCAGCACTTTGGGAGGCCAAGGTGGGCAGATCACAAGGTCTGGAGATCGAGACCATCCTGGCCAACATGGTGAAACCCCATCTCTACTAAAAATGCAAAAGTTAGCTGGATGTGGTGGCGCACACCTGTGGTCCCAGCTACTCAGGAGGCTGAGGCAGGAAAATCGCCTGAACCTAGGAGGCAAAAGTTGCAGTGAGCCAAGATTGCACCACTGCACTCCAGCCTGGTGACAGAGCGAGACTCTATCTCAAAAAAAAAAAAAAAAAAAAAAAAAAGAGGCCGGCACAGTGGCTCACACCTGTAATCCCAGCACTGTGGGAGGCCAAGGTGGGTGGATCACTTGAGATCAGGAGCCGGAGAGTAGCCTGGCCAACATGGTGAAATCCTGTCTCCAGTAAAACTACAAAAATTAGCTGGATGTGGTGGTGCACGCCTGTAATCCCAGCTACTAGGGAGGCTGAGGCAGGAGAATTGCTTGAACCCACTAGGCGGAGGTTGCAGTGAGCCAAGATTGTGCCACTGCACTCCAGCCTCAGCAACAGAGCAAGCCCCTGTTTCCAAAAAAAGAAAAAAAAAAGGGAGTTGCCCACAAAATGTAGATTTTAAAATGCTTTCTGGGGGAAAGAATAGATACATGAAGTATAGCATGTCAGCAGGAGACGCCAGGTGATGGATAATAAGTATTTGTTGTAAAAATTCTTTATCTTGGCTGGGCGCAGTGGCTCACACCTGTAATCCCAGCACTTTGGGAGGCTGAGGTGGGCAAATTACGAGGTCAGGAGTTTGAGACCAGCCTGACCAACATGGTGAAACCCCATCTCTACTAAAAGTACAAAACAAAATTAGCTAGGCATGGTGGCGCATGCCTGTAATCCCTGCTACTTGGGAGGCTGAGGCAGGAGAATCACTTGAACCCAAGAGGCAGAGGTTGCAGTGAGTCAAGATCGCGCCACTGCACTCCAGCCCGGACGACACAGCGAGACTCCGTCTCAAAAAAAAAAAAATTCTTTATCTTTTCTGTGTGTTTGAAAATTTTTAAATAAAATATTGGAGGAAGAAAGCTTTCTGGGGCCTGTTTTGGTTGAGTTTAAATTATTATGGCACCAACTGTAATTCTGTTAAGAACAGCCATTTCTGCATACTTGCTGAAGCCCTCTGTGTGTATCTCTAGACCCTCATCACCATTTTGTCTGGTGCTGGAGTTACCCAGAAAGGTTCTCCCATTTTCTTTTGTTGTTGTTGTTGTTTTTTTTGTTTTGTTTTTGTTTTTTTTTGAGACCGTGTCTCACTCTGTCGCCAGGCCAGAGTGCAGTGGTGCGATCTCGGCTCACTACAACCTCTGCCTCCTGGGTTCAAGCAATTCTCCTGCCTCAGCCTCCTGAGTAGCTGGGACTACAGGCGCCTGCCACCATACCCAGCTAATTTTTGTATTTTTAGTAGAGACGGGGTTTTACCATGTTGGCCAGGATGGTCTCAAACTCCTGACCTCATGATCCACCCACCTTGGCCTCCCAAAGTGCTGGGATTACAGGCATGAGCCACTGTGCCCGGCCTTTTTTTTTTTTTTTTGAGACGGAGTTACGCTCTTGTTGCCCAGGCTGAAGTGCAATGGCACGATCTCGGCTCACTGCAAACTCTGCCTCCCAGGATCAATCGATTCTCCTACCTCAGCCTCCCAAGTAGCTAGGATTACAGGTGTGTGCCACCATGCCCGGCTAATTTGTGTGTGTGTGTATATATAAATGTATATATGTGTGTGTGTGTGTGTGTGTGTGTGTGTGTGTGTGTGTGTATATATATATATATACACATACTTTTTTTCTTTTTTGAGACGGAGTCTCGCTCTGTTGCCCAGGCTGGACTGCAGTAGTGCGATCTTGGCTCACTGCAAGCTCCACCTCCCGGGTTCACGCCATTCTCCTGCCTCAGCCTCCCGAGTAGCTGGGACTACAGGCGCCCACCACCACGCCCAGCTAATTTTTGTATTTTTTAGTAGAGACAGGGTTTCACCGTGTTAGCCAGGATGGTCTCAATCTTCTGATCTCGTGATCCGCCTGCCTTGGCCTCCGAAAGTGCTGGGATTACAGGTGTGAGCCACCGTGCGCGGCCTAATTTTTGTATTTTTAGCAGAGACGGGATTTCACCATGTTGGTCGGGCTCGTCTCGAACTCCTGATCTCAGGTGATCCACCTGCCTTGGCCCCCCAAAGTGCTGGGATTACAGGCATGAGCCACCACACCCAGCCCCATTTTCTAGCCTGAATATGTCAGTGGTCAGAACATGGATCCTAGAGTCCCTTCCATCTTGGTCTCTCTCGAATAGTTTGAGTGCCTCCCTGTGTTCTGCCCTGTTGCATAACAGAGGTTGCTGGGTTACTCTTAACTACTTTGTTTGGGTTTAACATATTCAATAACTATTTTTGTGTTTTGTGCTCAGAGGGCTGAACATGTCCGAGTTTGTCTGTAACCTGTCAGCAAGGCCTTATGTGTACGACCTCATTGCCGTGTCCAATCATTATGGAGCCATGGGGGTTGGCCACTGTAAGTATTGACATCTGCTTCCTTCTGAGATGTTGAAATGTGCTCGGCCATCATCTCTCACCAGTGGACCAGGCATTGCCCTAAATGCTTTGCTTATGCAGTTTCACAGGCTTCATGCTGCACGCTTTCTTCATACTGATTCCCCTCTCTGTTTTTTTTTAATTCTTTTTTTTTTTTTTTTTTTGAGACGGAGTCTCGTTATGTCACCCAGGCTAGAACACAGTGGCGCAATCTCACTCACTGCAAGCTCTGCCTCCCAGGTTCACGCCATTCTCCTGCCTCAGCCTCCTGAGTAGCTGGGACTACAGGCGCCCGCCACCACGCCTGGCTAATTTTTTGTATTTTTAGTAGAGACGGGGTTTCACCATGTTAGCCAGGATGGTCTCGATCTCCTGACCTCGTGATCCGCCCGCCTCGGCCTCCCAAAGTGCTGGGATTACAGGTGTGAGGCACTGTGCCTGGCTGGTTTGCTCTTTTTTTGAGACAGATTCTCACTCTGTCACCCAGGCTGGAAAGCAGTGGCGCAGTCTCGGCTCACTTGCAACCTCCACCTCCCGGGTTCAAGCGATTCTCGTGCCTCAGCCTGCCGAGTAGCTGGGATTACAGGTGTGCGCCACCACACCTGGCTAATTTTTGTATTTTTAGTAGAGACAGGGTTTTGGCATGTTGCCCAGGCTGGTCTTGAACTCCTGGGCTCAAGCGAACCACCCTGCCTTGGCCTCCCAAAGTGTTGGGATCACAGGTGTGAGTCACCGTGCCCTGCCTGTGTTCATTTTTATTTGCTAATTTTTGCACACAAACATACCATTTGGGCAAGTTTCTCATCCTCAGTTTTCTCATCCATGAGGTTAGGCTGGTTGTGTGAGGGTCCACATTGGGCCTACAGTTGGAACTTCAAAATTGAAAGCCACCGTTGCTGCTATTGTGTCAAGCACAGACTGTGTGAACTGGCCTTGGGCACCTTCTCTGTTGCCCTTTCCCATGATCCTCACCACCACTTTGTGCAGTCAATGCTATAGTGAGGAAACTGAGGCTGAAGTGTTAAACACCTTACCTAAAACCACACAGTAAGTTGACACTGGATATCAGATCTCCATTGGGTTCTGTAGTTTCTGAGAGTCTGGGTGGAGCAGGAACTGGGCTGGGATTGCTGTAATAAACACATCCTGCTTGGGAATAGTGTAAAGTCAAGACAAGAAGCATTGCCTCTGGGAAATGCTTGAATCATTGTGGGAAACTGTTACCTAACCACAGACTCTGGACTCCTAGTTTTAGAGAAAGATAAATTTTTTTTTTTTTGGATATGGAGACTAAGGTATGTTGTTCACATCCCAGCTCTGCAAACCCAAACACCCAATGTTCCTCTAACTGGGATTATTCTGTAGGCTCCCGAGGCACTAAGCATTCTGTTGATGTTAGTAGCCACCTGCCTAGATGCAATGGGGGAGACTGACTTGGCATGTCCTTGTGAGAGCTATTGTTTTGCTTAAATCTTAGAAGTTTCAGCTCCTTTTATGGGTTCCCTGGTTTTGGATTATTGCACATAGCCATCCTGAAGATTGGCACTGAATAGCTCTGTTTTTTCTATTAGTTTCCCAAAATTATAGTTTAAAATCTTGGTCCCTGACAGCTCCATTTTTAGCCTTTTGATCCTTTTTGAGAAGGAACAGATTAGAAAAGAAGGTGAGTTGTTTTTTGGTTGTTAAGACACACACTGTAAACTTTTTTAATTTCAGGGGTTTTGTTTTGGGGATTTTTGTGTTTATTTAGTGCAAGCCTAATAAGCTAGCCAGATTAATTCTCTGGAGACCGCTAGAGTATTTTCTTTGTTGACTTGGCAGACACTGCATATGCGAAGAACAAACTGAATGGTAAATGGTATTACTTTGATGATAGCAACGTGTCCCTGGCCTCTGAGGATCAGATAGTGGTGAGTAGGCCATGATATGTGGTTCTTCCTCATGTCGTTATGGATTAAAGCTGGGAAGAGCCTCTATCAGGCTAGTTGGTTATTTCATCATCCTGATGTGATAGTGGGAGCTAGGTGTGACAGAGCTGGCTGGCATTCCTTCAGGGACCTTCATAAATGAGAAGCTCAGCTCTCCTCAGAGTTCTCTGCACAAGGCTCCTTCCATTTCCTGCTGCCTGGCAGGGGCAGCCATCCTCAGGTGGAAGGGTCTCCTCTGTGTGGATATGGCAGATCCTTGAGGGTTTTGGACAGCTAGAGAAAAGCTGGGGAAAATGGGTGATTTTTCCAAGCACTGAATGGTCTTTCCCCCTCTTGTATTTCAGACTAAAGCAGCTTATGTGCTATTTTACCAACGTCGAGATGATGAATTTTATAAGACACCTTCACTTAGCAGTTCTGGTTCCTCTGATGGAGGGACACGACCAAGCAGCTCTCAGCAGGGCTTTGGGGATGATGAGGCTTGCAGCATGGACACCAACTAATGCTGACTCCACGATCCTGCCACCCTGTAGCGCCAGTGTAATCCCCCAGGAGAACATCTTTGACACTCTGCAGACTGCTAGTGTTCTGTCTAAAAACCAGACAAGGAAATACCCTTCTTTTATGAGCAGAAGGAAACAAAAAAAAAAAAAGAAGACCGTTTACCTAGAAGAAGCTATGTCAAGAGGCTGAATTATTTTTATTTTTAAACAGGTGGTGAGAAATTTCTGTGAAACCTGTGAAGCTGAAAAGGGGGTGGGATGGGGGTACTCAATGGAGTATGTCTGATGGATCCCGAAGAATGGAGAGGAACACAGGCGCTGAGTATGGAGCAGCCTGGAGACCCACCCCACCTGCAGGGCTGCCCTGAGCGCCTGGATTTCTGGTTCTGATGCCAATACTAGTCACCCCAAGTAGTCTGCTCACAGTAACCCAAACCTCAAGTAAACTCCCCTTTCCCTCGCTATGTGCACTGATATGGGTTTATAATTTTCTGAAAGTTACCCACTGAAGCCCATTTCTCCGTTGAGTCATCTTGTAATTTCCAGCTTTCTCCCCGCTAAGGAAGATATCTAGTGTTGGGGATCCTGGCCCCTCAACCTCCTGTGGAACCCAGCAGTTCTGTTATATCCCCTGCTACCCTAGATGAATTAAGACGGTTAAATACTGTGTGGAACTTTTATTAGATAACACACTTTTTATTAGATAACGCTTAAAGGAAGTCAGTACATAAAACTGCCCGGTGCTGTGTCCCGTCTAGTTGTTTCCATGTTGGCTTGAGAACAGAAATCTTTGTGGGAGTTAGCCGGGAAAGGGCTCCAGTTCATGGCGATTTAGGGTAGTAATACATTTTGGTGTTACCCAGATGCTTTCTAGAACGGGTTCTTTCCTCATCCCTGCCAAGACTCTTCCCGGGGCCCCCATTCGAAAGCCCCGTCCCCACTCCCACCGCGGGGCCAGCCGCTGCGTGTGGGCAAGGCCTTAAGGAACCGGACGTATGGGTCCGGGATTTTTTGTCTGACCTTCAACCTAATCCGTGGGGGTTTGGGGCCTGCGCGGGGCACGCGCATGCGATGACCGTTGGATGGGTCGGCGTCACTGCGCTGCGGGTGAGGACAAGGACGTGGCTGCCGACTCGCCAAAGGGGGGGTGCCGGTAGGGCCAGCGGCCTGGGAGCCGCGGTGGGGCGGGAGGCAGCGGCGGGGCGGGCCAGGAAGCTGTGGGAAGTGGGGCGGGGCGTCTTTGGGGCTTCTGGCAGATGGCGGGTTCCTCCGCGAGAGCCGAGAACCGCCTACTCCAGGAGGAAAGCCCGAGGGTTGTGGGTCCTGCTATAGCCAGGGCCAAGCTCCAGGAAATCGTGGCCATTCAGGGGTAGTTTGCAGCCTCATTTGTAACATTATTGTGTTGTCCTGTGCATTTCCAATGCATTACATAAAGACATGGTCGCTTTTAGGAGAAATGTCTGAAAAACTAAGAAGATGCAGAAAGGAACTGACTGCAGCCATTGACCGGGCCTTTGAAGGAGTTAGTTATTCCCAGGAGTGCACAGGCCAGCAGAGGCTGGAACTGAGCGCCGCGCCGCTCTCCTTCTCGCTGCCCGTGCACAGGCTCCTCTGCAGAAGACATCCTCTGGCAGCCTGCTCTTCTGCTGCTCCTTTTGCTGCTGTCCCATGTGCTCCTGAGAATGAGAACCCTGCCTTTGCAACAAACCATGCCCCGGTAAATGCAAAACCACATGCTCTGTGCCCCGAGAGAAAACCTCTAACCAGCAAGGAAAATGTATTGATGCATTCCTCCATTTTGGCACCTGAAAGAGAGTCTTGGAGAACTGCAGGAGAGGGGGAAAACTGGAGAAAAGAAAATTTAAGGTGATTCTAATTTTGATGGTTTAACAGCTACAATTAAGGGGATTCTTGTTTCTGAAAAAGTTGTTGAAGATCCTAGATTTAGTTCATGACAGTGCTCTTGCCTCCTCTTGGCAGCTCTGTGACTGCATTTGGGGAGTTGACAGACATTCTTCAGAATCTGGCCTAGGAAACAGTTATATTTTGTGTATATGTTCCAGTTGAGGGGCTAGTTGTCAATCGTTGATGTCAAAAACCAGTCATGGAAACCACTTTGCAGTACCCAAAGGGGTAGTGGATGTAAAATAACCGGGTTTTAAAAATAACCTTATTTTTTAAGTTGCAGAAACAAAAGTCTTAATTCCATCTTAACTCCTGTGTTTGAATCTGGACACTGGGGCCTTTGATACCCTCCTTTGCCCACATTAGGGAGAGGCTTAATTGAAGGCTGGGCCCTACTTCCTGGCTTCATCTTTGCCTCTGCTCCCCGCTCTTACCCCAGATCTTTTTGGACCATCACCAGGTCTCTTCTAGACTTTTTCTTCTCCCGAGTAACTTGAAATTGCCTGGTCCCAGGCACCTTGACTTGGAGAAGGGATGAATGTATGAGATGAAACTTCAGGCCGGGCGCGGTGGCTCACACTTGTAATCCCAGCACTTTGGGAGGCCGAGGCGGGCAGATCACGAGGTCAGGAGATCGAGACCATCCTGGCTAACACGGTGAAACTCTGTCTCTACTAAAAATACAAAAAATTAGCCGGGCGTGGTGGCGGGCGCCTGTAGTCCCAGCTACTCGGGAGGCTGAGGCAGGAGAATGGCATGAACCCGGGAGGCGGAGCTTGCAGTGAGCCGAGATCACGCCACTGCACTCCAGCCTGGGCGACAGAGCGAGACTCCGTATCAAAAAAAAAAAAAAAAAAAAAAAAAAAAACTTCAAAGTTCTGCCATCTTGGCTGCTTCATAGGAAGGGGATAAAGAGGCCATTTAATTGGTTCAACTCCACAAGAATTTTTTTCCTTTCAACTCCACAAATATTTATATTGGTACTCATAAGCAGTGCAGGCCTTGCCGGGTGTGGTGGCACGCCTGTAATCTCAGCACTTTGGGAGGCTGAGGTGGGTGGATCGCTTGAGGTCTGGTGAAACCCCGTCTCCACTAAAAATACAAACATAAGCCGAGCGTGGTGGCGCGCGCCTATGATCCCAGCTACTTGGGAGGCCGAGGCAGGAGAATTGCTTGAATCCTGGAGGCAGAGGTTGCAGTGAGCTGAGATCTTGCCATGGCACTCCAGCCTGGGCAACAGAGCAAGACTCCATCTTAAAAAAAAAAAAATGCTGGGCACAGTGGCTCACGCCTGAATCCCAGCACTTTGAGAGGCTGAGGCGGATGAATCACCTGAGGTCAGGAGTTTGAGACCAGCCTGGCCAACATGGTGAAACCCCGTCTCTACTAAAAATAGAAAAATTAGCTGGGTGCCGTTGCGGCCGCCTGTAATCCCAGCTGCTCCAGAGGCTGAGACAGGAGAATCGCTTGAACCCAGGAGAAGGAGGTTGCGATGAGCCGAAATTGCGCCCTTGCACACCAGCCTGGGCGACAAGAGCAAGACTCTGTCTTTAAAACAAACAGGCCAGGCGCGGTGGTTCACTCCTGTAATCCCAGCACTTTGGAAGACTGAGGCGGGCAGATCACCTGAGGTCAGGAGTTCGAGACCAGCCTGGCCAACATGGTGAAACCCCCATCTCTACTAAAAATACAAAAATTAGCTGGGCGTGGTGGCAGGCGCCTGTAATCCCAGCTACTCAGGAGGCTGAGGCAGGAGAATCACTTGAACCTGGGAGGCAGAGGTTGCAGTGAGCCGTGATTGCGCCATTGCACTCCAGCCTGGGGGACAAAGCGAGACTTCATCTCAAAAAAATAAATAAAAAATAAAAATAAATAAATAAGTAAACAAATGCAGGCTGGGTGAGGTGGCTCATGCCCGTATTCCCAGCACTTTGGGAGGCTGAGGCGAGTGGATCGCCTGAGCCCAGGAGTTCGAGACCAGCCTGGGCAACATGGCTAAACCCTGTCTCTAAAAAAGAAAAAAATTTAATACAGTCTGCGATGCTCGTGAGTCATTATGGTAAAGCTGTTAGTCAATTTCTCCACTGATGTAGCAGTTTCCAATTGTCCTTTAATCAAAGCATAAATGACAAGGTCACCAGTAAGTTTTTGTCTTTGAGATTATCTAAAACTGAGTTTCCCTTCAATATTTTCTTGAAAGAGAATCTAATTCCCCACCTTTTCTTCCCCCCCACCTGGGGGCTGCAGGAAAGATATGGAGAGAGATTTGAAGGCTGACTCAAACATGCCACTCAACAATTCTAGCCAAGAGGTCACAAAGGATCTGCTTGATATGATTGGTGAGTACAGTGGGCAAGTCCATCCTGTCCTTGGGAAGATAGGTCCTTCACATGGGTCTGAGTCAGCAAATATCTCAGATATAAGAAATGCTCTCGGCCAGGCACGGTGGTTCATGCCTGTAATCCCAGCACTTTGGAAGGCCGAGGAGATCGAATCATGAGGTCAGGAGTTCAAGACCAGTCTAACCAATATGGTGAAACCCCGTCTCTACTAAAAATACAAAAATTAGCCAGGCGTGGTGGTGCACGCCGGTAATCCCAGCTACTCGGGAGGCCGAGGCAGGAGAATTGCTTGAACCCGGGAGGCAGAGGTTGCAGTGAGCTGAGATCTTGCCACTGCACTCCAGCCTGGGGGACAGAGTGAGACTCCCATCTCAAAAAAAAACAAAAAACACTCTCTTCTAGCTTGGGTACCATACATAGCGAGATCTGTCTCTTAAAATTTTTTTTAATTAGCTGGGCACAGTGGTGTGTGCCCATAATCCCAGCTACTAGGGAGGCTGAGGTGGAAGGATCACTTGAGCCCAGGAGTTCAAGCTATGATCATACCACTGTACTGCAGCCTGGGCAACTGTGCGAGACCTCATCTCAAAAGAAAAAACACCACCACCACTTTTTGGGGGGAGAGACAGAGTCTCATCATATTACCCAGGCTGGAGTGCAGTGGCACGATCACAGTTCACTGCAGCCTCAACCTCCCTGGGCTCAGGTGATCCTCCCAGCTCAGCCTCCCAAGTAGCCATAGTACTACACTAGTACTACAGGTGCACGCCACCATGATTGGCTAATATTTGTATTAGGGTTTTGCTGTGTTGTCCAGGCTGGTCTCGAACTCCTAGTCTCAAGTAATCCACTTACTGTGGCCTCCCAGTGCTGGGATCAGGCAAGAGCCACCACTCCCGGCCAAAACACTCTTATCTTTTTATTTGGTAGATGTTTTGCTCAGACTCTGCATTGATTAGGGAACTGAATGTTAACAAAACCTGTCCCTTCCCTCATACAACTGATTATCTTGTGAGGTGATAGATACATCAATCAGGTCATGTCATCAATGTTTAGATGCACTGAGTCCCTGAAGGCAAGGGATGGTGGCCACTAGGACATGGTGATTGAGCTTAAATTTTTAGGAAACAGGACATAGGCAAAAAGGAGAGAGTAATTTAGCTGGGGTCAGTAATTAAAGATTAGGAGAAAAGGGCTGGGCACAGTGGCTCACACCTTTAGTCCTAGCACTTTGGGAGGCTGAGGCGGGCAGATCACTTGAGGTCAGGAGTTCGAGATCAGCCTGGGCAACATGGCAAAACCCCTTCTCTACTAAAAACACAAAAAATTAGCCAGGCGTGGTGGTGCACACCTGTAATCCCAGCCACTTGGATGGCTGAGGCATGAGAATTGTTTCAACCCAGGAGGCAGAGGGCAGAGGTTGCAGTGAGCCGAGATCGCACCACTGCCCTCCAGCCTGGGTGACAGAATGAGACTCTGTCTCAAAAAAAAAAAAAAAAAAAAAAAAAAAAGATTAGGAGAAAAATTAGAAGTCAAAAGCTTTCCTATAATTCTACCACCCAGAGATAACCACTGTTAATATAGATATAGTATAGCATACATCCTGTCAGACTTTTTTTCTACATACAAATCTGAATGTCCTGTATGTGAACTACATGTGCTCTATTTTTTATTTTGTCTTTTTATTATTAGTAGTAGTATTTTTTATAAATAGAGACAAGGTCTTGCTTTGTTACCCAGGCTGGTCTTGAACTCCTGGTCTCAAGTGATCCTCCTGCCTCAGCCTCCCAAAGTGCTGGGTTTACAGGCAAACCATGCCAATGTGCCCTGTTTTTAAAAAACTCATACTACAGCTCCTAGTAAAGGGATGTATAACCGTGGGTGCTGCCTGAAGCTGTTGTTTCTGAAGGATCTCCAGGTTATGAGGGAGGAAAGGGAGGCCTGGTGAGGGTAGGGTACACCCCCTGGGCCACAAAGTAAAATCCCTGCCAGCCTGTGACTTCAGTGGCCTGAGTCTCCTCCAGTAGCCCCAGGAGGTAAACTGAAGTCATTACTGCCTCTACCCACCATCTTCCTTGGCTTTCACCAACATCAGGGAGGTTTTTTTGTTTTTTTTTTTTGTTTTTTTTTTTTTTGAGACAGGGCCTCACTCTGTTGCCCAGGCTGGTCTCAAACTCCTGGGCGCAAGTTATTATTCTACCTCAGCCTCTCAAGTTGCTGGGATTGCAGGTTACACACCACCGCTCCTGGCTGGGCAGCAGTTTATTACCCTAAAGACCTTGTTTCCTTGTTTTTTTTTCACATTGTGTCTTGTCATCCCTGAGAGCCAGGACAACCATGTACATTTCTATACCCTCCCACTTATACCTTTCTTGGGGACTGGCATATAGTTGGAACTCACTAAATGCTTGGGCCTGAAAGGAAGGTACCAAACCCACCTTAATTTGGCAGTCTGGCAGCCTGCCTGTCCTGGGGCAGGAATGCCTGCTTTTACACAATCCCTGATAAATGACAACCCATTCATGGTTTTTAACTTGCACCTGAAATGTCTTCAGAAACCTTCCACTGGAATTGTAAAGCTGAATGTTCTTATTTTTAAGACCATACAAGCATCCGAACTATTGAAGAATTGGCTGGAAAAATAGAATTTGAAAACGAATTGAACCACATGTGTGGTCATTGCCAAGATTCACCCTTCAAAGAGGAAGCCTGGGCCCTGCTCATGGACAAGAGCCCTCAGAAGGCCACAGATGCTGACCCTGGCAGCCTCAAACAGGCTTTTGATGATCATAATATTGTTGAGACTGTTCTGGACTTGGAAGAGGACTACAATGTGATGACGTCTTTTAAATACCAAATTGAGTAAGGACAGTTATCTAAGCTTTGATTCCTTACAGCAGGAGGCTGCCCTTGAGCCTGAGCAGAAGCAGCTACAATGGCCGTCAGGGGCCACATTTCTCAAAAGGTTGGCAGAACCTGAATTACCAGACCCTTTTTAAATCCCAGTTGTGTCCCTTTTTAAGCTGTGAGACCAGTTTTTTGAATTCCATTGCTTTGAAATGTTTCCTATTACTGATTTTTTTTTTTAACTTTCCTTGACATCTTGAATGTGTTTTTTTGATTGATGTTCAATATACCCAGTACCCATGGTAGGTGTGGGTCATGGGCCTCTGCTGTGTCTCTTAGTGTTCTTTTCCACGGGCCCCTAAAAAAGTACAGGAGTGGCCAGGCACAGTGGCTCACGTCTGTAATCCCAGCACTTTGGGAGGCCAAGGCGAGTGGATCACTTGAGGTTAGGAGTTTGAGACCAGCCTGGCCAACATGGCGAAACCCCATCTCCACTAAAAATACAAAAATTAGCCAGGAGTGGTGGTGTGCACCTGTAGTCCCAGCTACTTTGGAGGCTGAGGTAGGAGAATTGCTTGAACCTGGAGGCGGAGGTTGCAATGAGCCGAGATGGCACCGCTCCCCTCCATCCTGAGTGACAGAGCAAGACTCTGTCTCAAAAAAATAATAATTTAGCTGGTCATGGTGGTTCGTGCCTGTAGTTCCAGCTACTTGGGTAGGGACTGAGGCGAAAGGATCACTTGAGGCCAGGAGGCAGAGATTGCAGTGAGCTGAGATCACGCCACTGCACTCCAGCATGAGTGACAGAGTGAGACCCTGTCTCAAAAAAAAAAAGAAAAAAAAAGGGAAGAAAGGAAACTGAATCTCAGGGAAGTGCCCACCTCCTGAGCTAATAAGAGGAAGGAATATGGGGGTGAGGCAGAGCTGGCAAAAGGCTGTTTTTTGTTTTGATTGTTTTTAAAGACCAAGTGAAGTATAGTATAAGAAGTGGGGAAGGAGTGGAACAAGGAGTTAGATCTGTAACTGTGAGTAGTCAATTGAGATAACTCAATACCTTTGGACCTGATTGTTTTTAAAGACTGAGGGTAGTATAAGAAGAGGGGAAGGAGTAGAACAAGGAGTTAGATCTGAAACTGTGAGTAGTCGATTGAGATAACTCACTACCTTTGGACCAGCCAGGGCTGTTTATAAGTGCTAAAGCCCGAACAAACCAAAGAGTTGGGGAGAAAGGCCTAACTAACAGCTGAGTGATTGTCTAACAGACTGTCTTTTAGGCCAGTGACTCTGGCATAGGGCAGGCTGCATAGCCAGCAACATCCCTTACCACAGGTCTAGTGATTCCTCTGGGCTCAAATGTGGAGGCTACACACCCACTCCTTAGCAGAGGTTGGCCTGGCACCTGCTGGTGCCCCAAGAACTATGGCATGGTTAGACCCTGGCCACTTGATTGCATGTGCCTCCCCAGTGGGCGTGCCCTGGTTCCCAACCAGTTGTGGCCACTGCCACTGCCCTGCCTGGGGCAGGAGTTGAGGTTAAGGCTAACTACAGGCTCCTTCCAGGCCACCTACCACTCAGACCCTGCAGGAGGTAGCACAAAGCATTCACAGCCTGTGGAGTCAGAGGCCAATTTCTTCTCCCTGAGCAAGAAGAATGGAAGCAAATGAAAAGTGCTCACAGTATGCTCAACTGCCCCTGCTCAGGTGAAGAATAGCCTGTCTGGATGGAGAGATGTCAGGCTACTTGATACTCAGAAAAACAGGTCTCAAAACAGTGCCTTCCAAATAATACATGTGGATGTGGACACTCTTCTATAGACGAGGTGGAGCTTAATTCCTGTCCTTACCCCCATATTCCCACCTCATTACCACCCTTTGAAGGTGAACTAGACTTAATGATACTTCCCACGACTAAAGTAGGGAAAGGGAAAAGTCACAAACTTATAGTGGGGAAGCCTGGCAGACACCTAACCAAGTGATGTCATGTATATGTCATGAGAGGGGTGCATCACTTCCCTGGTATTCCTACCAAAAACCCAAATTCCCAGTGTATGATCTTGAGACAAATGTTAGACAAATCCAGACGTGGGGTACATTCTACAAGATACCTGGCCAGAACTCAAGACTGTTGAGATGGCCGGGTGCAGTGGCTCATGCCTATAATCCCCGACACTTTGGGAGGCTGAGGCGGGCAGATCACTTGAGGTCAGAAGTTCGAGACCAGCCTGGCAAACATGGTGAAACCCCATCTCTGCTAAAAATACAAAAATTAGCCAGGCATCATGGCATGTGCCTTTAGTCATAGCTACACAGGAGGCTGAGGCAGGAGAATTGCTTGAACCCAGGAGGTGGAGGTTGCAGTGAGCCAAGATCGCATCACTGCACTCCAGCCTGGGCAACAAGCAAGACTCCACCTCAAAAAGAAAAAAAAAGACTGTTGAGGTCATGAAAAATAAGGAAAGACTCAAAAACTATCAACAGACCACTAAAGACCAAGAAGACACAATGGCTAAATGCAACATGGAATCCTGGAGTGCATCCTGGAAGAGAAAGAGAACATTATTGGAAAAACTGATAAAACTTGAATAAAAACTAGTGTTTAATGTATTGATGTCAGTTTCTTAGTTTTGACAAATGTGTCAGAGTTATGTAAGATGTTAACATTGGAGAGGCTGAGTGAAGGATATATATGAAGTACATTTTCTGTAAATCTAAAGTTATCCCCAAACTTAAAATGCATGTAATTGCACTTTGGATCAAGTGCAACTGATCTCAAGTTTGTGAAAATGTGTATGAGCTCATGTGCAAAAAAACTTTTGGGGGTGATGGATAGGAGGGTATAGTCTTTTTTTTGTCATCTGTATTTTCTAATTGACCTGCAGTGGACATGTATCACTTCTGTAAAGACAAAAGCAGTTAGTTTAAAAACCCTCATCTCCAGTCAACTAGCCATGGACATCCTTCACAAAGTACCTGTCCAGACCCAACTTTCAGTTTCTGGAGTGGAGCCTAGGGGCCACACCAGGAGGGCTTGGCAGGACCCTGACACGAGGGCAGTCCTTTTCTGGGGGAGCTAGATCCTCAGGAGCTGGGTTATCTAGGTCTCAAAGAGCTGTTTCTCAGGAGCTCAGTTAGTTCACTGGTTTACTACTGGTCAGGGCCTGGCCCCTCCCAGGTGGGGCTTTGCAGCCGTGGCTGTATTAAATAGGGATCTAGCCAGGCAGGGTGGCTCACTCCTGTAATCCCAGCACTTTAGGAGGCTGAGGCGGGTGGATCACTTTAGGTCAGGAGTTCAAGACCAGCCTGGCCAACATGGTGAAACCCTGTCTCTACTAAAAATACAAAAATTAGCCAGCGTTGTGGCGCATGCCTGTAGTCCCAGCTACTTAGGAGGCTGAGGCAGGAGAATTGCTTGAACCCAGGAGGCAGACATTGTAGTGAGCTGAGATCGTGCCATTGCACTCCAGCCTGGGTGACAGAGTGAGACTCTGTCTCAAAATAAATAAATAAATAAATAAATAAATAAATAAATGGGGATCTATCTATCCCTTACTCTAGAAGACTTTGAAATTTATTTATTTTTCCTACCTGGAGTAGAGACGGGAATGAGGGCCCAGCACAGGGTGGGGGTGAGGAATGAGGGAGAATACAGGCTCTCCCTGGCCAGAGAGACAGGTATGTCTTTGCTTAAGCAAAGCCTTTATTTAAAAATTCAGATTTTCCAAACAGGCAATTCATCCTGGAATCCTTGAATGTGGAACTTTTCCTCACTAGAAATGCAGCTGTACAGTCAAGCAGGTGAGTCCTGAGCCTCTCCATGCCAGTCCCAGATTAGCAGGGAGTGGGCACATAGGCCTCCTCATTTCCCTGGTGACACGATCTACTCCCGTCTCTGCATCTCTGGCTCCCTGAGGTGCCCAAGAAGAACTTCCCGCCTTCGTCATCTGAGTCTATACAGTGAGCAGATACACGCTCATTTGCTCAGAACAGGGTTTGGGGAGCTGTTCTCCAGGGATTTAGTTGGAGGGGGAACAAAAGCCCAGAATTTTAATAAAACTTCCTCAGGTTTTTAAGGAGCTAGGACCAAATCCTTCTCAGGGAGACTTGATAGTTGACTTTGATCATGACTGAGAAACTTTAAATATTTTACATCATTCAGTTCTCTCCCCCACAGTTCATCTTGGCAAGCCAAACAATCACTGAATTGTTTCCGTGGAAACACCAAACTGCAATTTGGATTACCAGAATCAAAATAGAAACAAGACAGCTTCAAAAATAAATAGCTTTGGAACTTGCTAGTTGCAAACTGCAAATTCAAGCCATAGCACAAGGCATATGAGAAGATGGACCCATCCAACCCTATGACAAGAGATTTCCAGGATCCATGGCTGCATCCCACCAGTGTTCATGCCAAAGCCAGTAGAAACCAGGGTTGTAAGCCAACTGATGATAAACTTCGTAACAATACTTAAGGGAGGAGCTGGTCTTTAGAAGCTTCTAGAAAGAGAGATTTAAGAGCTGGAAGGGAAGGCTGAGAAGAAAGGGCAGGAACAAGGAGAGAGATAAGTGAATGGTGGAGTGAAGTTCCAGCAGGGAACACAGAGTCACAGCTGAGGCCTGGGAGAAAAGCAGCAATTCTTTTTTTTTTGAGACAGAGTCTTGGTCTATTGCCCAGGCTGGAGTGCAGTGGCACAATCTCGGCTCAATGCAACCTCCGCCTCCCAGGTTCAAGGGATTCTCCTGCCTCAGCCTCCTGAGTAGCTGGGATTACAGGCCTGTGCCACCACGCCTGGCTAATTTTTGTATTTTTAGTAGAGACTGGGTTTCACCATGTTGGTCAGGCTGGTCTCGAACCCCTGACCTCGTGATCCACCCGCCTCGGCTTTCCAAAGTGCTAGGATTACAGGCGTGAGCCACCGTGCCTGGCCAGCAATTCTTTCAAAAGGGAAATTAAAAAGGGCTGGCTGCAGGCTGGAAATGACCCGGCCCTCAGTTCATTCTGATTCCTGTGTTCCCCACACTCACAGGCATCACGCCTGTGTAGTCACGTGGATCTGGTTCTACATTGTGAACTCTTGCCAGTTGAGCTCTGGGAGCACTTACATTAGCACACCTCTGCCTCTGTGAGGCTCAAGCCACCACAGTTGGGCACTGGGACCTACCTTCTCATCTCTAGGACTCAGGGTTCCCCTTACCCATCTATCTGCTGCTCCCCTCACTCTTAGGATAGGGGAGCCAACTCCTGGCACACCTGCCCTGATTCCTTGGCATTCTCCTGGGCCCACCCCACCACCGTCTCTTTCAATCCCAGAGATGATTCCAACAGCATCCACAGACCAGAAGGAAGGAGACAGACAACCTGGAGGCCTGTGTCCCTCACCTTTTCACTCAGGAATGCAGTGATAAAGTAACACCATTCTGCCAACTGGTGAAATTGTGAGTTGTCAATGTTCAAAGGTCAGTGAAGAAGATTTGCAAAAGGGGCCTAGCTCAGGCCAATCTCCCTCCTGAAATGGCTAGACCAGGGGCTCACCTGGTATTAGAGTGCTGTTTCTTTTCTTTCTTTTTTTTTTTTTTTTTTAAGACAGAGTCTTGGCCGGGAGTGGTGGCTCACGCCTGTAATCGCAGCATTTTGGGAGGCCGAGGCAGGCAGATCACGAGGTCAGGAGATCAAGAGGTCAGGAGATCAAGACCATCCTGGCTAACACGGTGAAACCCTGTCTCTATTGAAAATACGAAAAAATTAGCTGGGCGTGGTGGCAGGCGCCTGTAGTCCCAGCTACTCTGGAGGCTGACGCAGGAGAATGGCATGAACCCAGGAGGTGGAGGTTGCAGTGAGCGGAGATCACGCCACTGCACTCCAGCCTGGGCGACAGAGATAGGGTTTCACCATGTTGGCCAGCCTGGTTTCGAACTCCTGACATCAAGTGATCTGCCCGCCTTGGCCTCCCAAAGTGCTGGGATTACAGGCATGAGCCACTGTGCCCGGCCCAGAGTGGTACTTTTTTTTTTTTTTTGAGACGGAGTCTTGCTTGGCCTCCCGAAGTGCTGGTATTACAGGCATGGGCCACTGCGCCCAGCCTCAGAGTGGTACTTCTGATTGAGCCACAAGATGTTTTAATGTGGTAGCAAAGACCAATGAGTCATGCAAACCATGGGAGGACTTGGGAAGCCAATACACCTGATTATAGATGATTATTGAAAAGGCTCTGGGCCAGGTGCAGTGGCTCAAGCCTATAATCCCAGCACTTTGGGAGCCCAAAGCAGGAGAATCACTTGAGCCCAGCAGTTCGAGATCAGTCTGGGAAACAGGGAGACACCATCTCTATTTTTAAATTTTGTGTGTGTATGGCAGGGTCTCACTCTGTCACCCAGGCTGAAGTGCAGTGGTGTGATGTCGGCTCACTGCAACCTCCGCCTCCAGGGTTGAAGTGATTTCCTGCCTCAGCCTCCCAAGTAGCTGAGATTACAGGGGCCTGCCACCACACTTGTTTAATTTTTGTATTTTTTGTAGAGATGAAGTTTTGCCATGTTGGCCAGGTTGGTCTGGAACTCCTGACTTCAAGCGATCCACCTGCCTCGGCCTCCCAAAGTGCTGGGATTACAGGCGTGAGCGACCACGCCCGGACTATATTTAATTTTTGTTTTTGTTTTTTTGAGACGGAGTTTTGCTCTTGTTGCCCAGGCTGGAGTGCAATAGTGCGATCTCTGCTCACTGCAACCTCCGCCTCCCAGATTCAAGCGATTCTCCTGCCTCAGCCTCCCGAGTAGCTGGTATTACAGGCAGGCACCACCACGCCCGGCTAATTTTGTATTTTTAGTAGGGACGGGGTTTCTCCATGTTGGTCAGGCTTGTCTCAAACTCCCGACCTCAAACAATCCGCCTACCTCAACCTCCCAAAATGCTGGGATTATAGGCGTGAGCCACCGTGCCTGGCCCTTTTTAAAAAAATTTTTATAAAAAAAATTAAAAGCTGGGCACGGTAGCTCATGCCTGTAATCCTAGCACTTTGGGAGGCCATGGCGGGTGGATCATGAGATCAGAAGTTCAAGACCAGCCTGGCCAAGAAGGTGAAACTCCATCTCTACTAAAAAATAAAAAAAAACTAGCCGGGCGCGGTGACAGGCACCTGTAATCCCAGCTACTTGGGAGGCTGAGGCAGAGAATTTCTTGAACCCGGGAGGCTGAGGCAGAGAATTTCTTCAACCCGGGAGGCAGAGGTTGCGGTGAGCTGAGATTGCGCCACTGCACTCCAGCCTGGGAGACAGAGCGAGGCTCCGTCTCAAAAAAAAAAAAAAAAAAAAAATTAAACAAAAAAGGCTCTGTCATCCAGAAACAAGATGAGGCTCAGGCTATTTGCATTATCCTTGGAATGTGTGGGAGAATATTAATATTTTAGGTTCCAACTAAATATCTAGAGGGAACAAAGGTTTACTCAGGAAATCTATTTGACAGTGGATCCCAGCCATAGTGGGGAAGGACTCTGTGTTCTAGGCTGTCTGGAAAATGCCTGATTTGACAAAGAGTTTTGGCCTCAGGCCTGGCATAAGCTTGGCTCATGCCTGTAATCCCAGCACTTTGAGAGGCTGAGTAAGGCCGATCACTTGAGCCCAGGGGTTCAAGACCAGCCTGGGCAACATGGTGAAACCCCATCCCTACAAAAAATATAAAAATTAGCCCAGTGTGGCTGGGCCTAATGGCTCACGCCTGTAATCCCAGTACTTTGTAAGGCTGAGCCAAGCAGATCACTGGAGGTCAGGAGTTTGAGACCAGCCTGGCCCACATGGCCAAACCCTGCCTCTTCTAAAAATGCAAAAGTTAGCTGGGTGTGGTGACGGGCGCCTGTAATCCCAGCTACTCTGGAGGCTAAGAAGATGGCTTGAGTCCAGGAGGTCGAAGCTGCAGTGAGCTGAGATCGCACCACTGCACTCCAGCCTGGGTAACAAAGTGAGACTCTGTCTCAAAAAAAACAAAAAAAAAGTCAAAACTAACTTCTAGGAAGCAACTACCATTTTTTAAAATAGAGGCAGAGTCAGACCTGGCGTGGTGGCTCACGCCTGTAATCCCAGCACTTTGGGAGGCTGAGGTGGGCAGATCACAAGGTCAGGAGTTCGAGGCCAGCCTGGCCAACATAGTGAAACCCCATCTCTACCAAAAATACCAAAATTAGCTGGGTGTGGTTGTGGGTGCCTGTAATCCCAGCTACTTGGGAGGCTGAGGCAAGAGAATCGTTTGAACCTGGGAGGCAGAGGTTGCAGTGAGCCAAGATTGCACCATTGCACTCCAGCCTGGGCAACAAGAGTGAAACTCCGTCTCAAAAAAAAAAAAAAAAAAAAAGAGGCAGAGTCTCACTGTGTTGCTGAGGCTGGTCTCAAACTCTTGGACTCAAGAGATTCTCCCTCTTCTGCCTCCCTAAATGCTGGGATTACAGGTATGAGCCACCGCGCCAGGCTGCAACTATCTTTTTTGAGAGTAGACAGGCTGTTTTCTGGGCACTTTGGGTGAGAGGAGTTGCTGGGAACTGACCTGGGAAAGAAAGCATCTTGTAGGAGGCCCCTCAACAGGAGCCCTTTGGAGCTTCTGAGGCAAAAACACGAAAAAGAGAAATTGGCTGGGCATGATGGCTCATGCCTATAATCCCAGCATTTTGGAAGCCAAGGTGGGCAGATCACCTGAGGTCAGGAGTTCGAGACTAGCCTGGCCAACGTGGTGAAACCCCATCTCTACTAAAAATACAAAAATTAGCTGGTGTGGTGGCGGGCGCCGTAATCCCACCTTCTCTGGAGGCTGAGGCAGGAGAATTGCTTGAACCCGGGAGGCGGAAATTGCAGTGAGCTAAGATTGCACCATTGCACTCCAGCCTGGGCCACAAGAGCAAAACACCATCTCAAATAATAATAAATAAATAAATAGATAGATAGATACCTGTGAATGTCAAGAAAATTAGGTACTGCAATCAGCTTCATTTCCATCCTTGGGCTGTAGCCAGAGTTGTATCAGAGGGAGAAGCCCTTGGGTGGCTTGTTTGTTTGTTTTGTTTTTTTGAGACAGTCCTGCACTATTGCCCAGGCTGGAGCGCCGTGGCGCGATCCCAGCTCACTGCAACCTCTGCCTCCCAGGTTCAAGTGATTCTCCTGTCCCAGTCTCCCAAGTAGCTGGGATTATAGGCACCTGCCACCATGCCCAGCTAATTTGTTGTATTTTTAGTAGAGACGGGGTTTCACCATGTTGGCCAGGCTGGTCTCGAACTCCTGACCTCGTTGATTCGCCCGGCTCAGCCTCCCAAAGTGCTGGGATTACAGGCGTGAGCCACCACGCCTGGCCCTGTGTGGCTTTTTGGGCCTCAGGCCCATAGGCCTCCCACCACATCTGCCCCTGGGTAGCCACATACAGTTCCAGGAACATCTGAGGAGCCAAAGATGTTGATTGTTCCAGGGACATGCTTGGATGCTTGGGCTGTGTCACCCTCACCAAACCTGGCAGGAACACAGTAGTTAATTTTTTTTTTTTTTTTTGAGATGGAGTCTTGCTTTGTCGTCCACGCTGGAGTGCAGCGGCGTGATCTCGGGTCACTCCGCCTCTTGGGTTCACGCCATTCTCCTGCCTCAGCCTCCCGAGTAGCTGGGATTACAGGCTCCTGTCACCATGCCCGGCTAGTTTTTTGTATTTTTAGTAGAGATGGGGTTTCACCCTGTTAGCCAGGATGATCCTGATCTCCTGATCTCATGATCCACCTGCCTCAGCCTCCCAAAGTGCTGGGATTACAGGCATGAGTCACTGCACCCGGCCTAACTTTTTTTTTTAAGCCTTAGGAATAAATTAAGAAACAGTATCTTTTTCTGATGATCCCCAGAGACAGGCAGTGTAATTGTAATTAACGCAGAATTATTAGGAGATAAGTTTACTGTTCATTCTACAAAGACACTTAACTCATGGAACACTGAGTCACTCTAACCCTTGACTTCATTACACAAAATGAAACACTTCTGAAGAAATACAGAATTTCTTAACTCACGGCAGGATCAAAGAACAAAGGCTCCTGCTTTGGCATTTCAAAGTTGAACAGAGTTCTCAATAAGAAGGCCACAGTCAAATACTAATGGAATCTCAACTCTAAATTAAAATGACTAATCATTAAACTGTTCAACTTAGAGTAATAAAAGATTTCTAGATACAGACCCCGCTGGCCTATAGTCAGTCTGGGAAGGGCTAGAAAGAACCAACCCATTGTGTGGCTTCCGTATCTTCCTTGCACAAGCAATGAAACCCAGCAGGGAAAGCAGTGGAGCTGGCAGAGGGCAGGGTGAGAAGACACCCAGTGAGGACTGACGGGAGAGGAGAGGCCAGGGCAGCCTCAGGTACAGCTCATACCTGAACTTCCTTGGCCTCAGAGAGGGTTGCTGTGATTGCCCATGGCTCCCTACAGGCCACCAGAGGCCCTTGGTCTGGAAATGAGAGTGAGAGCAGTTTAGGCTGGTGTCTGGCAGCCCTGCCACAGGTGTCCCGGGAAAATTCAACTCCTCCATAATGAGACTTTGATGGGACACACATCCCTGAAAATAATGTAAAAAATAAGAAACAAGAACCATTGCTTTCTACAGTGGTCCACTCAGCGGCCCCAGTGTCATTTACTGTACTGGCTTGGAAATGGGCAAATTCTGGAAACTATCCATCCCATGAGGATTTTCCCCTTCATATAATACAGGAAAGGGAAAAACCAGTTTGAATGGGTGGTGTTTATTCAAAATAATCTTGTGAGAGCCTTAGGAACTAAAAAGATGGTATGTATCTGATTTTCATATCTTCTTTTTTTTTTTTATTTTTGAGAAAGAGTCTCACTCTGTCGCCCAGGCTGGAGTGCAGTGGCATGATCTCGGCTCACTGCAACCTTTAACTCCCGGGTTCAAGTGATTCTTCTGCCTCAGCCTCCAGGACAGCTGGGACTACAGGCACGTGCCACCAGACCCACCTAATTTTTGTATTTTTAGTAGAGACGGGGTGTCACCATATTGCATATTGGCCAGGCTGGTCTCGAACTCCTGACCTTTGATCCACCCGCCTGGGCCTCCCAAGTGCTGGGATTACAGGCGTTAGCCACTGCGCCCGGCCCTGATTTTTTTTTTTTTTTTTTTTTTGAGACGGAGTTTTTCTCTGTCACCCAGGCTGGAGTGCAGTGGTGCGATCTTGGCTCACTGCAAGCTCTGCCTCCCGGGTTCATGCCATTCTCCTGCCTCAGCCTCCCGAGTAGCTGGGACAACAGGCGCCCGCGACCATGCCTGGCTAACTTTTTCTGTTTTTAGTAGAGACAGGGTTTCACCATGTTAGCCAGGATGTTCTCGATCTCCTGATCTCGTGATCCGCCCGCCTCGGCCTCCCAAAGTGCTGGGATTACAGGCGTGAGCCACCGCGCCCGGCCTTTTTTTTTTTTTTCTTTGAGATGGAGTCTCGCTCTGTCGCCCAGGATGGAGTGCAGTGGTGCGATCTCGGCCCACTGCAAGCTCTGCCTCACTCTGTCGCTCAGGATGGAGTGCAGTGGCACGATCTCGGCCCACTGCAAGCTCCACCTCCCGGGTTCTCGCCATTCTCCTGCCTCAGCCTCCCAAGTAGCTGGGACTACAGGCACCTGCCACCACGCCCGGCTAATTTTTTTTTTTTGTATTTTTAGTAGAGACAGGGTTTCACTGTGTTAGCCAGGATGGTCTCAATCTCCTGACCTAGTGATCCGCCCACCTCGGCCTCCCAAAGTGCTGGGATTACAGGCATGAGCCACTGCGCCCGGCCTCTCATTTTAATTTTTAAGAGACAAGGTCTTGGTCTGTCACTCAGGCTGGAGTGCAGTGGCACAATCATAGCTCACTGTAACCTCAAACTCCTGGGCTCAAGTGATCCTCCCATCTCAGCCTTCCAAGTAGCTGAGACCACAGGTGCACGCCACCATGTCCAGCTAATTTTTTTTTTTTTTTTTTTTTGGTAGAGATAGGGTCTCACAGGCCGGGCGTGGTGGCTCACATCTGTAATCCCAGCACTTTGGGATGCTGAAGCGGGCAGATCACCTGGGGTCGGGAGTTCGAGACCAGCCTGACCAATATGGAGAAAGCCATCTCTACTAAATATACAAAATTAGCCAGGTGTGGTGGCGTATGCCTGTAATCCCAGCTACTTGGGAGGCTGAGGCAGGAGAATCGCTTGAACCCGGGAGGTGGAGGTTGCAGTGAGCTGAGATCACGCCATTGCACTCCAGCATGGGCAACAAGAGTGAAACTCCTCAAAAAACAAAAGGGCTGGGTGCGGTGGCTCACGCCTGTAATCCCAGCACTTTGGGAGGCCGAGGCGGGCGGATCACGAGGTCAGGAGATCGAGACCATCCTGGCTAACACAGTGAAACCCTGTCTGTACTAAAAATACAAAAAATTAGCCAGGCGTGGTGGCAGGCACCTGTAATCCCAGCTACTTGGGAGGCTGAGGCAGGAGAATGGTGTGAACCCGGGAGGAGGAGCTTGCATTGCAGTGAGCCGAGATCGAGCCACTGCACTCCAGCCTGGGTGACAGAGCGAGACTCTGTCTCAATAAAAAAAAAAAAAAAAAAAAAAAAAAAAAAAAGAGATGGGGTCTCACCATGTTGCCCAGGTTAGTCTTGAGCTCCTGGCCTCAAGCAATCCTCCTGCCTCAGCCTCCCCAAGTGCTAGGATTACAAGTGTGCCTGGCTTCTATTTCATTTCCTAAGTAAACTTAAAAAATTAAACCGGGACATCAGTTTGATAAACTTGAAAGAAAAAATAGGCCAGGCGCAGTGGCTCATGCCTGTAATCCCAGCATTTTGTGAGGCTGAGGCAGGCAGATCATGAGGTCAGGAGTTCGAGACCAGCCTGGCCAACATAGTGACACTCCCATCTCTACTAAAAATACAAAAATTAGCTGGGTGTGGTGGTGGGCGCCTGTAATCCCAGCTACTTGGGAGGCTGAGGCAGAATTGCTTGAACCCAGGAGGCAGAGGTTGCAGTGAACTGAGATCACACCACTGCACTCTAGCCTGGGTGACAGAGCAATACTCCATCTCGGTTGGGGGTGGGGGTGGAAAGAAAGAAAAAAAATATATGCTTT
This sequence comes from Homo sapiens, assembly GCF_000001405.40. Taxonomy (NCBI): domain Eukaryota; kingdom Metazoa; phylum Chordata; class Mammalia; order Primates; family Hominidae; genus Homo; species Homo sapiens. The sequence goes on along the minus strand of NC_000003.12, from coordinate 49,258,100 downwards.
TAAATGTTTTATCTTATTTCTGATAACAAAAAATACTTGTGTTGCAAAAACTCAAAAACTTCAGCAAGATAAAAATGGAAAGCCAAAGTCCCATATAAGCCCACTGCTCTTCAGAAATACAAGGTCTACAATATTATTAGTTTTAAGAAAGTGCTTGAAAAACAGGACAAGGGAAAAAGCAACCAGGAAGAAAAATGGCTTGTGAGCAGTGATATGCTCTGGACATTTGCTAGTGAATGTCACCTCTTTCACTGGCAGGCTTATCATTTTATTTTCTCTGTTCACAAGAAGATTTAGGGTGTCCTGTAATATGTCTACTGATCAAAAAATGCAAACATTCTGGTAGCATAAGTGGCTAAAAATAAGAAAGAAAAAAATCCTGAGGCCTGAAAATGTATTGGTCATGTGTAGGGAATATTTTAAAGACCCAAAAATGTTGTTTGGAGTCATGCTGCCACCGCAACAGTTTTATGAGAGCCCTTCTGCTACACAGTATTCCATAAGGAGGCCTGCCTGCCTTTCGCCAAAGTACAGGCACCCTGCTCCAGATGCCCCACAACCAGGCTGCTGCCTCAGTTTTCATCAGCACCATTTTCACATTTCATTCCAATAAATAAGGATGCACTTAATCCTTGTCAGGGGCAGCACCTGGTACCCAGAATGCTGGACCTTCCCTGCCCTCGTGCTCATTGCCCCACCTCAGCAGGGCCTCTGACCCTGGGTACTTGGCAGGCTTCAGGGACTTTCTGCTGTTGGCCAGCCCAAATGTCCTGCAATTTCTCTTTCTAGCTGAGACCAATAAATCAACTGTGGACTGGTCAGAAGCCATCATCATCACTGCTATCAAAACCCAGGTCATAGAGCAAATTCTTTCCTGCCTCCTTGCATAGAGGGGTCTCTGAACATCCGAGATTGAGGTCACTGAACCAGCTCATCTGGTGGTCCCCCTGGGAACTGCTGGAAAGTAGCCAGTTGTCTTGGGAAGAGCACCTGCTGAGCTGCAAGAGTCTTCCCTGCACTGCCCTTACTGTCTTATTGGGCATGACTGTTCCTCCCAGAATAGGGCAGACTGGTTTTCTGGGGCTCCTGGGACACTGCAGATGCAGAGGCTGAGCACGGGGTTCCTGCTGCCCCAGGAAGGGGCTTTGAGGGACAGAAATTGCAGGCTGAGGACTCTGATATTTGGAATTGAATTTACAGGTCTGGATTGGGATTTGTTTTTGCTTGCTGGCTATGAGCCTGCCTCTGTGGGCCCTGTGGGCCTTCCTGGGCTGCTGCTTCTTGTCTTTCCCCCGCATTTCTACAGTCCCATCTTTCTGTTTAATCACCAAATGTTCACGTGGGTCACACAAAAACATACTTTGGGCTTGATATTTTTGGCAGGCATTCTTAATGCTGGTTGAAAAGTTTATCTCCAATGATGTGAGCTGTGAGGCTCCTTGGGAAACCAGGTCCCTGTCACTGGGAATCTTATGGCCTGGGACGCTGGAACCATGGTTCTTGGCACCTGTTTTAGTAACAGCCCAGTTCTTGCAGTTAGTCTGCACCACCTTGTCCTTTACATGCCTATTTCTTTCATGGGACCCAAATGCTGGCAGTGCAGCCTCTTCTTGGAGATCATCATTCTTTGCTCCTTCACCCCAGACATCAAATTCTCCAGGCTGTAGGGAGCCCATACCAGGATTCCATGCAGCAGGGAGGGCCTGGGCCTGCCATAAAACTGGTTTCTCAGAGGTGTATTTTTCCTGCCTGGTGAGATTGAGGCTCTGGGCCAAAGGTGGCGACGTCTGAGAAGCACTGTCTTTCACTGGAGGCACTGAGATCAATCTCTTCAGCTCTGCTAGGACACTGGGCACATTCAGCTGGCCTAGCTGCTCACACAGCTGCTGGAATTCCTGACTCTGCTGAGCAACTAAAACTTCAAGGTGCTTCAGGTTGGACTTCATTTCTATAAACTCTCCTTGTCTCTGGGGAGAGAGGCAGTGAGAAAGACAGTGATGGACAGTGCAAGTCAGAAAGCACAATAAAACATGAGAACAGACCAATGGATGTGACAGCAGAACCAAGGCTTGCTCCTTGTAGGGAACCTCTCAGGGTAAGCACAATTACACTCGGGAGTTGAACCCCTGGGGCCCACATCATGTCAAGGAACCTTGGGGAAGGAAGCTAGTCTATATGCTGGCCCCTTTCCAAGTGGCCTGTGCTGGCCTCTTGTCTTAGCTGAAAATTTGCAACTTTAAAGGTTTCTCGGCCGGGCGCAGTGACTCACACCTGTAATCCCCAGCACTTTGGGAGGCTAAGGCAGGTGGATCACAAGGTCAAGAGATTGAGACCATCCTGGCCAACATGGTGAAAAACCCCCTCTCTACTAAAAATACAAAAATTAGCTGGGCGTGGTGGTGCACACCTGTAAGTCCTAGCTACTCAGGAGGCTGAGGCAGGAGAATTGCTTGAACATGGGAGGCGGAGGTTGCAGTGAACTGAGATTGCACCACCGCACGACAAAGCGAGACTCTGTCTCAAAAAAAAAAAAAAAAAAAAAGTTTCTCTCTGGGTCTAGTTCAAAGCCCAAAACACACTTAGAAAGAGGTTGGGGTTTACACTTACAGCTTCAAATCTTTTCTTCATCTCAAGGATGGCCTGCTCCATGTTGCCTTTGTCCTGGACTGCCTCAAACACCAGGTCATTCTGGGCCTGTATAGTCTCTTGTACTAAATACAAAACAGTGACAGTTCACCTCCTGAAGACTATGTATGGTATGTCCCATCTGCCCAAACCACAGAACCACAGCAGTGAAAAGGGAGGAGCTGGATGCAGACCGGAGTGGTTCCTCCAGGCTCTCCTTCCCTCCCTCCTTGACAAGATCCTGGCTAGGGCAGACCCAACCTCAGCACCTGCTGGGGACTCTGAGAATCAGTTGCCCAGACAACAGCACAAAAGCTTCTGTGGCCTTCCTTCTTGGCCCTCTCATCAGAGTGATCTTAGTAGAATGCACCCTCTGAAACCTTCATTGAAACTTTTTTTCTTTTTTTTTTTTTGAGACGGAGACTAGCTCTGTCACCCAGACTGGAGTGCAGTGATGCGATCTTGGTTCACTGCAACTTCCCCCTCCTAGGTTTGAGCGATTCTCCTGCCTCAGCTCCTAAGTAGCTGGGATTACATGCGCATGCCACCATGCCCTGCTAATTTTTGTATTTTTAGTAGAGATGGGGTTTCACTATGTTGGCCAGGCTGGTCTTGAACTTCTGACCTCCGGTGATCTGCCCGCCTCGGCCTCCCAAAGTGCTGGGATTACAGGCGTGAGCCACCATGCCCAGCCCGTTGAAACTTTCGATGGCACCCCACTGGCCACTGAACAAAATCTAAATCTTTAAATTGGCTAACAAGATCTGGGCTCACTTCCCTTTACCCATTTGTCCTCCTCCATGTCTCTGGACTCTTGTTTTCTCTCTCACCACTGGCCTTTGTGCAAAGTCTTCCCTTAGCTTCAAGTACCCTGTTTCTGTCCCTGTCATTCCCCCCGCCCCCCGCAACCAATCACCACCTTAGTCCAGCTAATTCCTATTCTTCCTTCTACTTTCAGCAGTCACCTCCTCAGAAAATACCATTTCCACTCGGCTAGGGTGTTGCTTCTCTCTGCAGGTAGCACCGTGTATGTGCCCTACCATCATTTATTGCCCTCCACTTATTTATCCCATACTTACACTTGGACCCAAATAGACTTGGGGACCTAGGTGCTAACTACATCAGGACTGATTGATTTTCCTCTTTTGCACAGTGAGATTCTGCATGCACACACACACACACACATTTATTTAATGACACATTGTGTTGCAATTTATTGCCATCCTCTTGCTAGACTACAGGTCATATGAAGATGCTTTTATATTTATTCAACGAATGTTTAATGAGCATATACTATGTGCCAGGCACTATGGATATAGCAGTTATCAAGACAGATAAAGCTAGCTGGGCGTGGAGACTCACGCCTGTAATCCCAGCACTTTGGCAGGCTGAGGCGGGCAGATCACCTGAGGTCAGGAGTTCGAAACCAGCCTAGCCAACATGATGAAATTCTGTCTCTACTAAAAATACAAAAATGAGCCAGGCGTGGCGGCGGGTGCCTGTAGTCCCAGCTACTTGGTTGGCTGAGGCATGAGAATTGCTTGAACCTGGGAGGTAGAGGTTGCAGTGAGTTGAGATCCCACCATTGCACTCCAGCCTGGGTGACAGAGCGAGACTTCATCTCAAAAAAAAAAAAAAAAAAAAAAAGACAAATAAAGCCCTCTTGAAATTGCAATCTTAGGGAAAACAGGAGGTAGTTAATGACTAATTATACAAATAACTATAAATGTAATAACTGCTCTAAAGGAAAAGCGTACTGTGCTTGAGACCATGTAACTGTAGACTTAGTCACTCTCAGGGGTAAGATTTCCCTAAGAAACTGATATTTAGCTGAATTGTCATAAAACTGTAAGGGAAAGAATATTACCAACAGAAGAAAGAGCACGTTCCAAACAGAGGAATTGAGATCAGCATGGCTGAAACATGGTGAGCAAGGGGCCCAGGAGCAGGCCACAGCTGAGGGGAGGCAGGTCACAGTTACACAGAGGGGTGAATGAGCCATGGCAAGATTGGTGGACTTGAATTCTTTTTTCTTTCTTTCTTTCTTTTTTTGAGACAGAATCTCATTCTGTCGCCTAGCTGGAGTGCAGTGGCACGATCTCAGCTCACTGCAACCTCTGCCGCCTGAGTTCAAGCAGTTCTCCAGCCTCAGCCTCCGGAGTAGCTAGGATTACAGGCATGCACCACCATGCCCAGCTATTAATTGTATTTTAATAGAGATGGGGTTTTGCCATGTTGGCCAGGCTGGTCTCAAACTCTTGACCTCAGGTGATCCACCCGCCTCAGCCTCCCAAAGTGCTGGGATTACAGGCATAAGCCACCATGCCTGGCCGAAATATACACCTTTATCTGAAAGTTTATTGTCAGACACTGTGCTAGGAGAATGGAAAACAATTTTGAACAAAACTGTCTACCTACATGATTTTTTTTTTTTTTGAGACTGAGTCTCATTCTATTGCCAGGCTGGAGTGCAGTAGTGCAATCTCAGCTCACTGCAACCTCTGCCTCTGGGTTCAAGCAATTCTCCTGCCTCAGCCTCCCAAGTAGCTGGGACTTTAGGCACGCAACACCATGCCCAGCTAATTTTTGTATTTTTAGTAGAGACAGGGTCCACCATGTTGGCCAGGATGATCTCGATCTCTTGACTTCATGATTCGCCCACCTCGGCCTCCCAAAGTGCTGGAATTACAGGAGTGAGCCACCATGCCCGGCCGAATTCTACAGTCTAGAAGAGGGAAAAAATAATAAACAGGCTGGGCACAGTGGCTCACACCTATAATCCCAGCACTTTGGGAAGCCACTGAGGCGGGAGGATTGCTTGGGCCCAGGAGTTCTAGACCAGCCTGGGCAACATAGTGAGATCCTGTCTCTACAAAATGAAAAATAAAAATTAGCTGGGTGGGGTGGTATGTGCCTGTGGTCCTAGCTACTCGGGAGGCTGAGGTGGGAGAATTGCTTGATCCCAGGAGGTCAAAGCTACAGTCAGCTGTGATTGTGCCACTGCACTCCAGTTTTGATGACAGAGGGAGAACCTATCTCAAAAATAAAAAAAAAGAAAAGAAAAAAGCAGTAAGAAATGGTACATTTTATGTTATGTGTATTTTTACCACAATTTTTAAAAAGTGGGTCCAGGGCTGTGCCACCCCACTGGCAATGCTGGCTGCCTTCTGGAAACTGCATATGCCTCACTCCCTCAGTGTGTAAATTCACAAACACTAATGGATAACAACAGAAAATGGCATGAAAACAGTAGGAATCAGCAATTTTGCACAGGAAGTTTTGGGAAATGTTTACTGTAGTCTCCCTGCAGTTGGGAAAAAATTGAACAAACAAGATGAATTTGGTGGCAGGGCGTGGTGGCTCACGCCTGTAATCTCAGCACTTTGGGAGGCCGAGGCGGGTGGATCACCTGAGGTCGGGAGTTCGAGACCAGCCTGACCAACATGGAGAAACCCGGCCTCTACTAAAAATACAAAATTAGCCGGGTGTGGCGGCAGATGCCTGTAATCCCAGCTACTCGGGAGGCTGAGGCAGGAGAATCTCTTGATATAATCTCGTGATATAAAAACTAAGTAGGCCAGGCACGGTAGCTCCGCCCGTAATCCCAGCACTTCGGGTGGCCGACGCGGGCAGATCAGCTGAGATCAGGAGTTTGAGAACAGCCTGACCAACATGGAGAAACCCCGTCTCTACTAAAAATACAAAAATTAGCAGTGCGTGGTGTCGCATGCCTGTAGTCCCAGCTACTCGGGAGGCTGAGGCAGGAGAATCGCTTGAACCCGGGAGGCAGAGGTTGCGGTGAGCCGAGATCGCGCCATTGCACTCCAGCCTGGGCAACAAAAGCAAAACTCCATCTCAAAAAAAAAGACAAAAAAACCAACAACTAAGTAAAGTCTGAGCGCAGCAGCTCACACCAGTAATCCCAGCACTTTGGGGAGGCCAAAGCTGGCGGATCACAAGGTCTGGAGATCAAGACCTTCCTGGCCAACATGGTGAACCCCGTCTCTACTAAAAATACAAAAATTAGCTGGGCATGGTGATGCACGCCTGTAGTCCCAGCTACTCAGGAGGCTGAGGCAGGAGAAACACTTGAACCCAGGAGGCAGAGGTTGCAGTGAGCTGAGATTGTGCCACTACACTCCAGCCTGGCGACAGAGAGAGACTCCACCTCAAAAAAAAAAAAAAAAATTAGCCAGGCATGGTGGCATGTGCCTGTAGTCCCAGCTACTCAGGAGGCTGAGACAGGAGAACTGCTTGAACCTAGGAAGGGGAGGTTGCAGTGAGCTGAGATCGCACCACTGCACTCCAGCCTGTGTGACAGAGAGAGACTCTGTCTCAAAACAAACCAACCAACCAACAAACAAAAACTAAGTAAAATATATTGAGACGTGAAAATGGAACCGCTAAACTAACATGAAACAATTTAATCTAGCATAGTTTTTTTATTTTTTTGAGATGGAGTCTTACTCTGTCGCCCAGGCTGGAGTGCAGTGGCGCGATCTTGGCTCACCGCAACCTCTGCCTCCAGGGTTCAAGCGATTCTCCTGCCTCAGCCTCCTGAGTAGCTGGAGGCATGCGCCACCACGCCCGGCTAATTTTTGTATTTGTAGTAGAGACGGGGTTTTACCATGTTGGTCAGGCTGGTCTCCTACTTCTGATCTTGTGATCTGCCCGCCTCGGCCTCCCAAAGTGCTGGGATTACAGGCGTGAGCTGCTGTGTCTGGCCCAAAGAATTTTTTAGAAAGCAAATTTTCCCATATTTCTCACCACAGGTACAAGTTCAATTCCATGTGTCAATCAATTAGAAAGAGGCTATTTACTTAGGTATTGGATTCCTGCTCCTAAACCCAATTAGTCAAATATTCTTCAGACATCCATGTAGATATTTATAGTAGAGAGCAAATGTAATTATCCTTCCATAGAGAAGTTCCTAAATAGTAATGTTTCTTAGCAACAGTGGGCATTACTGACCCTCACAAAAGCAGAGCATGAGAAAGGCAAGCAAAGTGTTTGATTCTGGATTAAGTGCTCAGAAAGCATCCATCTGAGGTCCCATACATTCAGTTCTTGTCCCCAGGGCAACATATGTTTGGCGTCTTCTCTTTTATAGGAGCTTTTGTATCAAACTCATTACATTCAAAGTCTATCCATATTTTTTCTTTTAAAAAAATTTAGTTATGAAAATAACTGAAAACCATAATAGTATAAAAAGGCATACATTGAAAAATGATTGAATCTCTCCTCTGCAAACCTTGGTCTCTCTTCCTGGATTTAACATTATCATCGGTTTCTGGAATTTTACATTAATACGTGTGCATATCTGTATATACATTATAGGTCCTGTGTTTGTTTGTGTATGTGTGTCTAGAAGAGTATTTATTTCATTTTTGCTTTGACTATAAACATTAGATATTTTTAGCTTTTATGTAAAAATGCCATTTAAAATCCATTTCCATATTCTGGACAATATCTGTTTTCCTGTTAAGATGATTTTTAAACAATTTGTTTTTATTTTAGCAACTTGGTAAGGCCTCAATTGAGATGAGATCAGATTGTGATGCAAGCTTTTCCCCGGATGGCCAGTGATTTTCCTTTTACTCTGTAGTTTTATTCTCCCTCAGGTGCTGATGAGAGCCTAACAAAAGATCTGGCAGCCTCCTTGTATAAGATGAGACCACCTCCAACTTTTTTAGGGATACTCTTCCCAGTTTTCACTGGCTGGTCACACTTTCCAACAAGATGTATCCTGGAGCACGCGAAGAGCACCTTTTTGTTGTTTTAATTTAACAATGAACAGATATTTCCATTCTACCATATTCATATAGATGGATCTCACTCTTCTTAACAATTATATCTATTTTGCTTAGAAAGGCTTTTCCCATTCTAAAATTATAAAAATGTTGTCCATGGCCGGGCGTGGTGGCTTACACCTATAATCTCAGCACTTTGGGAGGCTGAGGTAGGTGGATATGAGGTCAAGAGTTTGAGACCATCCTGGCTAACATGGTGAAACCTTGTCTCTACTAAAAATATAAAATTTAGCTGGGCGTGGTGGTGTGTGCCTATAGTCCCAGCTACTTGGGAGGCTGAGGCAGGAGAATCGCTTGAACCCGGGAGGCAGAGGCTGCAGTGAGCCAAGATCACGCCACTGCACTTCAGCCTGGGTGACAGAGCGAAACTCCATCTCAAAAAAAAAAAAATGTTGTCCATGTTTTCTTCTAGTTCTTTTTATAATTTATCACCAGACTTAACATATGAGGTAAAGTAGTATACAAGAGGCTTTGGTAATTAACTTTATTACTGTGGTCCTTAGTGTCCTCAGCTGAAGAACAGGAAGAGTTAGATTAGATGGCCACAGTGACCCTTCTGGCTGGGCAGGCTGACTGGGAAAATATTTAATGACCTCATCTGTGAAGGCACCAATTACATAACAACACAGACAGCACTTTCACACAGTATCTTTACTTCCCTATTCCCTGATGAGCACATGAGTAGAGACTGAAAGCTTGCAGAATGCACTGAGGTGGAGTTCAATGCTCTAGAATAGCTGGACTGGACCTGGCCATATGCTAGAGGATTTGTCTGGTTCCTCTCTCAATGATTAATTTTCTGCTCATCATCATTTCCTACCAAGAAAGAGAATTATTCTGGATAGGCTACTTGTGCTCATTTTCAAGAATGACCTGTCCTAATTCATGTGATACTGCTGTGTCTGTTACTGAGTCTTTTTTCTTTCTTTTTCTTTTTTGAGACAGAGTTTCGCTCTTGTTGCCCAGGCTGGAGTGCTATGGCGCAATCTCAGCTCACTGAAACCTCTGCCTCCCAGGTTCAAGTGATTCTCCTGCCTCCCAAGTAGCTAGGATTAAAGGCCTGCACCAGCACGCCTGGCTAATTTTGTATTTTTTTTTTAGTAGAGATGGGTTTTCACCATATTGGTCAGGCTGGTCTCAAACTCCTGACCTCAAGTGATCCACCCACCTCGGCCTCCCAAAGTGCTGGGATTACAAGTGTGAGTCACTGTGCCTGGGCTTTTGTTTTGTTTTGTTTTGTTTTGTTTTTGAGAGAGTCTGGTTCTATCGCCCAGGCTGGAGTGCAGTGGCAGGATCTCGGCTCACTGCAACCTCCCCATCCTGGGTTCACGTCATTCTGCCTCAGCCTCCTGAGTAGCTGGGACTACAGGTGCCCGCCACCACGCCCAGCTAATTTTTTGTATTTTTAGTAGACATGGGGTTTCACCGTGTTAGCCAAGATGGTCTTGATCTCCTGACCCCGTGATCTGCCCGCCTTGGCCTCCCAAAGTGCTGGGATTACAGGCGTGAGCCACCACACCTGGCCTTTTTTTTTTTTTTTTGAGATGGAGTCTCACTCTATCGTCCAGGCTGGAGTGCAGTGGCGCCATCTCGGCTCACTACAACCTCCACCTCCCAGGTTCAAACGATTCTCCTGTCTCAGCCTCCCAAGTAGCTGGAATTACAGGCTCCAGCCATCACGCATGGCTAATTTATGTATTTTTAGTAGAGACGGGTTTTCACCATGTTGGACAGACTGGTCTCAAACTCTTGACCTCAAGTGATTCACCTGCCTTGGCCTCCCAAAGTGCTGGAATTACAGACATGAACCACCACGCCCACCCTTGAATCTATTTTTTTTTTTCATTTTATTTATTTAGTTTTAGTTTTAGTGTTTAGAGACAGGGTCTTGCTCTAGCTCCCAGGCTGGAGTGCAGTGGCACCATCTTGGCTCACAGCAGCTTCGACGTCCCAGACTCAAGCGATCCTCCCACCTCACCCTCCCTAGTACCTGGGACTACAGGCATATGTCCCATGCCCTGCTGGTTTTGTTTATTTTTTGTAGACACAAAGTCTCCTTATGTTTCCCAGGCTGGTCTCAAACTCCTGGACTCAAGCAATCCACCCACCTTGGCCTCCCAAAGTGCTGGGATTAGGCTGGGCGTGGTGTCTCACGCCTATAATCCCAGCACTTTGGGAGGCCGAAACAGGCTGATCACCTGAGGTCAGGAGTTCAAAACCAGCCTGGCCAACATGATGAAACCTTGTCTCTAGTAAAAATACAAAAAAATAGCCAGGTGTGGTGGCATGCACCTGCATGAGACTGGTGCAGGAGAGACTCATGCAGGAGACTGGCTTGAACCCGGGAGGAAGAGGTTGCAGTGAACCGAGATCGTGCTACTGCACTCCAGCCTGGGTGACAGAGCGAGACTCCATCTCAAAAAAACAAAAACAAAAACACAAAGTGCTGGGATTATAGGCAGGAGCCACCACGCCCGGCCTCTCTTCTGAGTCTTACCCTTTGAAAATTAAGGAACCTGCCAGGCGCGGTAGCTCACGCCTGTAATCCCAGCACTTTGGGAGGCCGAGGTGGGCAGATCACCTGATATTAGGAGTTCGAGACCAGCCTGGCCAACATGGTGAAACCCCGTCTCTACTAAAAATACAAAAATTAGCCAGGCATGGTGGCAGGCACCTGTAATCCCAGCTACTCAGGAGACTGAGGCAGGAGAATCGCTTGAACCTGGGAGGCAGAGGTTGCACAAGTTCGCGCCATCGCACTCCAGCCTGGGGGACAAGAGTGAGAGTTCGTCTCAAAAAAAAAAAAAGAAAAGAAAAAAAGAAAAGCAAAAGAAAATTAAGGAATGGATCCCTTTGCCTACTCTAAGCCAGATGCAGTTTTAGTTCTTTCTCTGCCTTGATCTTGTGTTGGGGCCTCAGGCACTTCCTTTCCCTTTTCTGGGATTTAAACGCCATACTTTTGCTGCAATCCTCCTTTTTTGTACTTCACCCAGTTTTATTATTATTATTATTATTTGATACAGGGAGTTTCACTCTGTTGTTCAGGCTGGAGTACAGTGGCACGATCTCAGCTCACTGCAACCTCTGCCTCCTGGGTTCAAGCGATTCTCCTGCCTCAGCCTCCCAAGTAGCTGGGATTACAGGTGTCTGCCACCACGCCTGGCTAATTTTTTTTGCATTTTTAGTAGAGACGGGCTTTCGTCATTTTGGCCAGGCTGGTCTCGAACTCCTGGCCTCAAGTGATCCTCCCGCCTTAGCCTCCCAAAGTGCTGGGATTATAGGCATGAGCCACTGTGCCCGGCCCACCCAGTTTTAAATGTAAAACAAAAACAGAGTACTTTCCTTGGGTACTTATAAATGACTTACTCTATCATGTTATACAAAGGAAGCATCCCTGATTTGCTTCTGCCGTCTGTCTTGCTACTTCTTGTGGGGTTAACAGTTTCAAGGCTTCCAGAACAAGTTTTTTTTTTTTTTTTTTTTTTTGACGGAGTCTCGCTCTGTCGTCCAGGCTGGAGTGCAGTGGCGCCATCTCAGCTCACTGCCACCTCCGCCTCCCAGATTCAAGCAGTTCTTCTGCCTCAGCCTCCCGAGTAGCTGGGACTACAGGCGCCCACCACCACACCCAGCTAATTTTTGTATTTTTAGTAGAGATGGGGTTTCACCATATTAGACAGGCCAGACTTGAACTCCTGACCTTGTGATCTGCCCGCCTCGGCCTCCCAAAGTGCTAGGATTACAAGTGGGAGCCACTGTGCCCGGCCCCAGAACAAGTTTCTAAACAGATGCATATGCCCTGTGTGTGGGATGCCCAGGTTGAAATCCAGCAGACAGTACAGTGCTTCTATGCAGACAGTTGGGGATTAATTTTTAGGCCACAAAAAGGCATTAATTTTTGTAAATTATGAGCAGTCCACCCCATGGCATTTGTGTAAGTTGATTTCAACTTGTTTATAAAATAAACACACAGACAAATGCAAACAAGTACAGATGCATAGTCATCAGCTCATCGTTTTGCTAGGAAACAGGTGGTTCTAGAGAAGTATTCACCCAAGGAGAACTGTATATTTACTCTCTTCTGTTTATAGGGCAAGGGCCATGGTTTCATCTAAATGTAAACCACTAATTGGTGGAGCACAGGATTTTATAAACCACAAACTATAAGTAAAATTGAGAATGGGGCTGGGCGTGGTGGCTCATGCCTGTAATCCCAGCACTTTGGGAGGCTGAGGCGGGCAGATCACGAGGTCAGGAGATGGAGACCATCCTGGCTAACACAGTGAAACCCCGTCTCTACTAAAAATTTTAAAAATTAGCCAGCCGTGGTGGCAGACGCCTGTAGTCCCAGCTACTTAGGAGGCTGAGGCAGGAGAATGGCGTGAACCCGGGAGGCGGAGCTTGCAGTGAGCCGAGATTGCGCCACTGCACTCCAGCCTGGGTGACAGAGCGAGACTCTGTCTCAAAAAAAAAAAAAAAATTGAGAATGATGCTGTGATTCACAACACAGCTCTCACTGAAACCAAGGCAGCAAGAAGAGCAGCAGGTACTACAGTATTTCTAACTCCTAAGGGGGCAGTCAGTGTCTATAGACAGCACAGGCAGCAATTTGAGACTCAAGGATGTTGCTGACTCACTTCAGGCAGTGAGATGAGAAACCTAGCAGAGCTACCTGCCCTGAGGCAACATGGTTACCAGGTGGGGGATTAGTGCCTCACAAAAGGCATCATGGGACCAGAGCATTGTCACATAGAGGTGGGCCTCACTACCCAGCTCAGTGTGCTCCACATCTCTTCAGGACTAACCCTATATACCCATCCTCTCATCTGAAACCCTGTGAGGAACCTCACCACTGGAAACCAGGCTGGGGTCAGAAAGTTCATGTTCATCATTCACCAGTGCCCTCTGCTGATACCTCAAACATGAGGCACTCACATGTCTTGGCCACAGTCTCCAAAGAATCCAAAATAGATTGGCTTCTTGAACTGAGATGGTCCTCAGACTTTTCCACAGACGTCTGCAACTAAGAAACCCAAAATTATGAAATAATTCACAGGCTATTGCCTTATTCTACTATCTTAGAGAATTGTCATTTCATGATAAATAGGGATAGTTAAAATATTGCTATTCTACATTAACTAAAGCCAATACAATATAAATATTAAACTTCTTAAAATATAAGATGTTCTAACTCCTTGAAAAGTATCTGTACTTACCCTGAGAATGCTTTCTCTAACATTAGAAACAAAGTTGTATAGAGTCTCACTAGAATAGGAGGGAAAAAAGAAAACAAATCTTTATGAAATATTGAAGTGATAAGTAACATAAATGATTCCATAAATATGGCAGATCTCTACCTAGCATAGCATCAAAACATTGCTTGATTAGATCTGAAGACTTGACCCTGAGAAACCTTAGTGCCCAGCAGGGAAAAAAAAAGAGAGTCCCAGCATCTTGGGAGGCTAAGGCAGGTGGATCACAAGGTCAGGAGTTCAAGACCAGCCTGGCCAAGACAGTGAAACCCCGTCTCTACTAAAAATACAAAAATTAGCCAGGCGTGGTGGTGGGCACCTGTAATTCCAGCTACTGGGGAGGCTGAGACAGGAGAATTCCTTGAACCTGGGAGGCGGAGGTTGCAGTGAGCCAAGATCATGCCACTGCACTCCAGCCTGGGAGACAGAGCGAGACTCCACCTCAAAATAAAATAAAAAGTTAAAAAAAAAAAAAAGAGAGAACACAGACTTCCTATGACCACTGCTAAGGCAAATCGCATTTTTCTTTTTAAAATCCATATTCATATACATATTTATATGTAAATATTAATATGAAAATATTCATTTCTAATGAAAAAGAAGCTATCACAGTTATTCCTCAACTATACATACTACTCTTTTTTTTTTTTTTTTTTTTTGAGACAGAGTCTCGCTCCGTCACCCAGGCTGGAGTGCAGTGGCACGATCTCGGCTCACTGCAAGCTCTGCCTCCTGGATTCACACCATTCTCCTGCCTCAGCCTCCCAAGTAGCTGGGACTACAGGCTCCCGCCACCACGCCCGGCTAATTTTTTGAATTTTTAGTAGAGACGGGGTTTCATCGTGTTAGCAAGGATGGTCTCAATCTCCTGACCTCGTGATCCGCCTGCCTCGGTCTCCCAAAGTGCTGGGATTACAGCCGTGAGCCACCGCGCCTGGCCACATCCAGTTCTTAAAAAAAGACTCACACATGGGCTGGGCATGGTGGCTTACACCTGTAATCCCATCACTTTGGGAGGCTGAGGCCGGTGGATCACCTGAGGTCAGGAGTTTGAGACCAGCCTGGCCAACATGCTGAAACCCCGTCTCTACTAAAAATACAAAAATATTAGCTGGGCATGGTGTCACGCGCCTGTGGTCCCAGCTACTTGGGAGGCTGGGGCACTTGAATCGCTTGAACCCAGGCGGCAGAGGTTACAGTGAGCCAAGATCTTGCCACTATACTCCAGCCTGGGCAACAGAGTGAGACTCCATCTCAATAAACAAAACAAAACAAAAGCCAAAGAATTCATGCATTGTATGATGAAAACTCATGGACATGAACAGAAGATCAACAGACACTGGGGCCTAGTTGAGGTGAAGGGTGGAGGAGGGAAAGGATCAGAAAAAAAAATAGCTATTGGGTACTATGCTTAGTACCTGGGTGATGAAATAATCTGTACAACAAACATCTGTGACAAGAGTCTACCTATGTAACAAACCTGCACATATACCCCTGAACCTAAAATAAAAGTTTAAAAAAA
Organism: Homo sapiens; assembly: GCF_000001405.40. NCBI lineage: Eukaryota > Metazoa > Chordata > Mammalia > Primates > Hominidae > Homo > Homo sapiens. The sequence goes on along the minus strand of NC_000003.12, from coordinate 49,242,894 downwards.
TTCAAAAAAGTTTTTGAATGTAAAATTTAAACGATTTCATGCATTCTATTCTTTTTTGTTGTTGTTGTTGTTTTTTTGCTTGTTTGTTTGAGATGGAGTTTCACTCTTGTCTCCCAGGCTGTAGTGCAATGGTGCAATCTAGGCTCCCTGCAACCTCCGCCTCCTGGGTTCAAGTGATTCTCCTGTCTCAGCCTCCTGAGTAGCTGGGATTACAGGCACCCGCCACCGTGCCTGGCCACATTCTATTCTAGACTCTAAAATAAATAATGTTGTCCAACTTCCTAATCCTGATGATCTGAAAAGAAAAATCAGGGGGCAGATGTTTAGGAAAAATAAGTGTAACATTACTTGAATATTACATTTCTCTTAGAAATCCTCTAGTTTTTATTTTTCAGAGAGAAAAAAATTGTGGTATGTAAATCTACCACAAATCATATTGACAAGAAGGCAATTAAGAATAACTAGGAGGCTGGGTATGGTGGCTCATGCCTGTAATCCCAGCACTTTGAGAGGTCGAGGTGGGACGACTGCTTGAGCCCAGGAGTTCAAGACCAGCCTGGACAACATAGTGAGACACTATCTCTGAAAAAAAAAAATTAGGTGGCCACAGCTGTGTGTGCCTCTGATCGAAGCTACTTGGGAAGCTAAGGTGGGAAGACTGCGGTGGCTCATGCTTGTAATGCCAGCACTTTGGGAGGCCGAAGTGGGCAGATCACCTGAGGTCAGGAGTTCGTGACCAGCCTGGCCAACATGGCGAACCCCGTCTCTACTGAAAATACAAAAATGAGCTGGGCATGCTGGCATGCGCTTGTGATCCCAGCTACTCGGGAGGCTGTGGCAGGAGAATCACTTGAACCCAGGAGGCGGATGTTTCAGTGAGCCGAGATTGTGCCATTGCACTCCAGTCTGGACAACAAGAGTGAAACTCCATCTCAGAAAAAAATAATAATAAAATAAATAATAATAATAATAATGGCCAGGCACAGTGGCTCACGCCTATAATTCCAGCATTTTGGGAGGCTGAGATGGGTGGATCAACTGAGGTCAGGAGTTTGTGACCAGCCTGGCCAACATGGTAAAACCCTGTCTCTACTAAAAATACAAAAATTAGCCAGGCATGGTGGCAGGCGCCTGTAGTCCCAGCTACTCAGGAGGCTGAGGCAGGAGAATCGCTTGAACCTGGGAGGCAGAGGTTGCAGTGAGCCAAGATTGTGCCACTGCACTCCAGCCTGGCGACAGAGCAAGACTCCGTCAAAAAAAAAAAATCAATCTATAATTCTCTCTCTCCCTCTTTCTCTTTCTCCCTCTTTCTCTGTGTGTCTGTTTGTGTGTCTGTGTGTGTGTGTGTGTGTGTGTATGTGTGTGTAAGTCCTATGGTTTGGTTTCTCTGGAGAACTCTAATACATGCTATTATGCTAAAATTGAATTATTTAATTACTGACACTCTATGTCTTGTTTTACTCAGAAAAGGTGAGTTCTTTCATCCATTTGAAAGGTTTACATACCTGTCACATTTGTCTTTTGCCCTTTTCTTTTTCTCCTCAAACTGTTCCAAGAGGCCTTTTGATTTTCCAACTGACAAAGGAGGAGGAAATAAACCTCCATCTTTTATATCTCCTCCGAACAGCTGGGGCTTTGTCTGGTACTTTGTGAAAATGCTAGGTTCACCCTGTTAAATGAAAAAAATATATAGCATTTCACACATAAAAATATTTATAGCATTCACTATTTTCTGTACAATGCAGAGTCACATTTAAGTGCAAACCATATTGCTGTAACGTAACATAGCAAGTAGTATTTCCATTTTATCTTTGTATACACCAGAAAATTATATTTAAAATAAAGCAACTGTTTTTATTAATATAGATTTTTGCCTTACCAGCCCAGAGATATTTTAAATGTCAACCAAAATAGCTTAGAATCAATTGCATAAATTTAAAGGCAAGAACAGAGAACCATTTATGCTATTTCTGACATGATGTGTTAAAGTTTTCATAATCATAATTTTAACTCAAATTGCTGTTGCTCAGCTGCTAGTGAACTGAACTCATATTGGTAAGTTTGATGTGGACTGGACAGTGGGCATGCTGACAAATGGTGAGCCACTTTCTGCATTCTTTGGCAAAATTCTGAAACATTCAGGGAGGTCATTTATTCCTTCATATCACTAGATACCAATTTTTGTACTGAAATACTTATTTCAGAGCATACTTTACTAACTTAAAGCACCGACTGGCTGGGCATGGTGGCTCACCCCTGTACTCCCAACACTTTGTTTGGGAGGCCGAGGTGGGTGGATCACAAGGTCAGGAGTTTGAGACCAACCTGACCAATGTGATGAAACCCCGTCACTACTAGAAATACAAAAATTGGTCGGGTGTGGTGGCTCATGCCTGTAATCCCAGCACTTTGGGAGGCCGAGGCGGGCGGATCACCTGAGGTCAGGAGTTTGAGACCAGCCTGCTCAACTTGGCGAAACCCTGTCTCTACTAAAATACAAAAAATTAGCCGGGCATGCTGGCAGGCGCCTGTAATCCCAACTACTCAGGAGGCTGAGGCAGGAGAATTGCTTTAACACAGAAGGAGGAGGTTGCAGTGAGCCAAGATTGCACCACTGCATTCCAGCCTGGGCGACAAGAGTGAAACTCCGTCTCAAAACAGAAACAAAAACAAAAACAAAAATTAGCTGGGCGTGGTGGCACACACCTGTAATCACAGCTACTCGGGAGGCTGAGGCAGGAGAATCTCTTGAACCTGGGAAGAGGAGGTTGCAGTGAGCCAAGATCGTGCCACTGCACTCTAGCCCGGGTGACAGAGTGCGACTCTGTCTCAAAAGAAAAGAAAAGAAAAGAAAAGAAAAAAAAGCACCAACTTAATCTTATTTGTTAAGTCCCTATTTGATGCATGTAAGTTTATATATAAAACTTGAGCCCAGGCTGGGCACAGTGGCTTACGCCTATAATCCCAGCACTTTGGGAGGCCGAAGTGGGCAGATCACCTGAGGTGGGGAGTTCAAGAACAGCCTGACCAACATGGAGAAACCCCGTCTCTACTAAAAATACAAAATTAGCCAGGCGTGGTGCGCATGCCTGTAATCCCAGCTACTCAGGAGACTGAGGCAGGAGAATTGCTTAAACCTGGAAGGCAGAGGTTGTGGTGAGCCGAGATCGTACCATTGCACTCCAGTCTGGGCAACCAGAGCAAAACTCCGTCTCAAAAAAAAAAAAAAAATCCCTTGAGCCCAGGAGTTCAAGACCAGCCTGGGCAACATGGCTAAACCCCATCCCTACAAAAAATATAAAAATTAGCTGGTGCAGCTGGGCACGGGGGCTCACGCCTGTAATCCCAGAACTTTGGGAGGCTGAGGCAGGTGGGTCATGAGGTCAGGAGATTGAGACCATCCTGGCTGACATGGTGAAATCCTGTCTCTACTAAAAATACAAAAATTAGCTGGGCGTGGTGGTGCACGCCCATAGTCCCATCTACTCAGGAGACTGAGGCAGGAGAATCGCTTGAACCCGGGAGGCAGAGGTTGTAGTGAGCTGAGATCATGCCACTGCACTCCAGTCTGGCAACAGTGAGGCTCCCTCTCAAAAAAAAAAAGAAAAAAATTAGCTTGGTGTGGCCAGGCATGGTAGCTCACACCTGTAATCCCAGCACTTTGGGAGGCCAATGCAGGTGGATCACTTGAGGTCAGGAGTTTGAGACCAGCCTAGCCAACACAGTGAAACCCTGTCTCTACTAAAAATACAAAAATTAGCTGGGCATGGGGGCAGGCGCCTATAATCCCAGCCACTCAGGAGGCTGAGGCATGATAATTGCTTGCACCCAGGAGGCAGAGGTTGCAGTGAGCTGAGATCACACTGAAGCAGGAGATGTAAAGAGAAAAACAAGTTTTCTCTTGCTGGGCTGACTCACTCCAAGACCTAGCAATAGGCAGCAGAGCTCTGGCAGGGCTTTGATAACACTATGTGCAAAACCAGAGCCCTCAAGGAATGTGCTCCAGAGTCCCCTCTCCTCCCATTCCCAGGCGAGGGTGGGAAAGCAGGTTTTTCTCTTTTCCCAACTTCCCCCTCCCCTTTGATAATCCTTCCTTAGTGATACTCAAGGTTACTTCACAGAGTTTTACAATTCCTGTTTCTCTTCTGTGCAACATGACAAGGTCACAAGACGAGCTTGAGTAAGATATGTACCAGATGCAAAGCCTGCTTTAGTTTGATAAGTTCCTGTTTTCCTTCCAATGCAGCTGCGAGGTCACGAGCTATGCTAGGATGATGAAACCTGTCACTGTTTGATTAACTGCCTTTGTTCTGCTTCTGTATGCCCACTTGCCTGCACTATACACTTCATGCCACCAAATTCCCTCCACGCCATTCAAACTGGCCAATCCCCTTTCAGAAATGTGTATAAAAGTCAAGCCCTGTTTCTGTTCAGGTCTCAGCCTTTTGGATGCGAATCCGCTGAGCCGGTGCACACCTTAATAAAATCCTCCTGTTTTATCCATTTGGTCTCTCTGGTCCTCTGATTCCTGCCACAGCACCACTGCACTACAGCCTGGGTGACAGAGGGAAAAACTCTGTCTCAAAAACAAAACAAAACAAAACAAAACAAAACTACATTTAGTTATAGGTGCCTCCAAAATCAAAATGTTTTTGACTCACAAGAAAACACAGATTGATCTCAAAGAATCAGGCTGGGCATGGTGGCTCACACCTGTAATCCCAGCACTTTGGGCAGCTGAGGTGAGCAGATCATCTGAGGTTAGGAGCTCAAGACTAGCCCGCCAACATGGAGAAACACTGTCTCTACTAAAAACGCAAAAATCAGCCGTGTGTGGTGGCACACACCTATAATCCCAGCTACTAGGGAGGCTGAGACAGGAGAATTACTTGAACCTGGAAGGCGAAGTTTGCAGTCAGTGAACTGAGATCATGCCACTGGACCTCGGCCCAGGTGACAGAGCAAGACTCTGTCTCAAAAAAAAAAAAAAAAAAAAAAAAAAAAAAAGGAAAAGACAGGTTAATCTCAAAACATCAAGGATTCAAGAGACTCTGTTCCTCATTCTGGCCTTTACTCACTAACCTAGGCCTCAGAATCCTCATCTCCTTCTTCTTCAAGGACATAATGTAGTATAGTTGACTAAAGTATACAGATTACATGAAGTTTATTATTTAAAAAAGTCTGTCTAAAATAAAATTTGTTATTTTATTTCTATTTTATGAAAACTATTTTTACTTATAAATTCTCACAAACAATAGTATGACTAGCCTTAGGCAAATATATATGTATATATATTTGCCTCTCCCTAGGATTGGTCAAGGAATTGACACTATTTTACGTTGCTTTGTAATAGAAGAAACCGCAAATATAAATGTTGCCATTTCAGACTATTAAGTCAAATGAGTCACTAATCAAGCACAAATCCCTTTAGGAGAGTAATCCTTACAGATGTACAATTCTAAAACATATTCCAACAGAATAAGTAATTTTTTTAAGGCTAGAAACTAAGTATTGGTTGTCGGGTTTTTTTGTTTTGTTTGTTTGTTTTGAGACAGAGTCATGCTCTATCTCCCAGGATAGAGTTCAGTGGTTTGATCTCGGCTCACTGCAACCTCTACCTCCTGAGTTCAAGCGATTCTCTGCCTCAGCCTCCCGAGTAGCTGGGATTACAGGCGCCTGCCACCACACCCGGCTAATTTTTGTATTTTTAGTAGAGGCGGGGTTCCACCATCTTGGCCAGGCTGGTCTTGAACTCCTGACCTTGTGATCCACCTGCCTCGGCCTCCCAAATTGCTGGCATTACAGGCATGAGCCACAACACCTGGCCTTGTTTGTTTTTTTTTTGAGACAGGTTCTCACTCTGTCACCCAGGCTGGAGTACACTGGCAGAATCATGGGTCACTGCAGCCTTGACTTCCTGGGCTCAAGCAATCCTCCTGCCTCAGCCACCACACTCAGCTAATTTTTGTACTTTTTGTAGAGATGGGGTTTTGCCATGTTGCCCAGGCTGGTCTCAAACTCCTGGGCTCAAGGGATCCACTTGCCTCAGCCTCCCCAAGTGCAGGGATTACAGGTGTCAGCCATTGCACCTGGCCAGAATAAGTATTCTTTATAGTTTATCTCCATAATGACTGTGAAATGTGTGCAGATCAATTCTGGAAACCAGACTCACCTCCAGATAGTTCTGTTGTGACTGTTTTGAATGTCTCAAGTGGGCACCAAAGTCCAAGGGTGCTGATAGGGTTTCTGAATTTTCTGGACAGAACTGAGATCCAAAGAGGAACTGGGAATCACTGAGACTGGAATAATCATTTTGATTATTATTCCAGTTGGATGACTTCTTGTTCCTGAAATTTAGCAAAAAAAAGTGTATCAAATAGACAAATATCCTGAACAAATGAAATCATAGTTCACAGCTGTCCATTTCAGAACATTTTGGGCAGAATGATAGCTTGTTCTGACCTTCAAGTCCCCTGTATATTGTCAGTACAATGAAACACAAGGAAATTCTGAATACCACACATTTTTATTACTATCTGGGAACAACCAGATGGAAACTCAAACAGAAAGGATTGACATCATCATTCTTTGTATAACAGCATTCTGGGCTACAACACCATATTGGAAATTACAGTTCATAAAATTGTAGAGATTAAAAGAATGTTATCATTTTATTTTATTGTTTTGAGACAGGATCCTACTCTGTCGCCCAGGCTGGAGTGCAGTGGCATGATCTCGGCTCACTGCAGCCTCAGCCTCCTGGGTAGCTAGGACTACAGGTATGTGCTACCACACCAGGCTAATTTTTGTATTTATAGTTGAGATGGGGTTTCACCATGTTGACCAGGCTGGTCTTGAACTCCTGACCTCAGGTGATTCGCCCATCTCAGCCTCCCAAATTGCTGGGATTACAGGTGTGAGCCACCGTGCAGGGCCAAGAATGTTATCTTTTTTTTTTTTTTTTTGAGACAGAGTCTCACTCTGTTGCCCAGGCTGGCATGCAGTGGTGCAATCTTGGCCCACTGCAACCTCCACCTCCCGGGTTCAAGCCATTCTCCTGCCTCAGCCTCCTGAGTAGCTGGGATTACAGGCATCTGCCACCACATGTGGTCAATTTTTGTATTTTTAATAGAGATGGGGTTTCACCATGTTGGCCAGGCTGGTCTCTCGAACTCCTGACCTCAGGTAATCTGCTCACCTCAGGCTCCCAAAGTGCTGGGATGACAGTCATGAGCCATTGCACCCAGCCAAGAATGTTATCTTTTTAAAAGATCAATCTGTTCATCATTAAAATAGATAAATAAAATAAGGTACATGCATTAGCTGATTCAGCAGCCAGAAGCATTAAGTTAGATTTATATATAATCGGCCGGGTGCGGTGGCTCACGCCTGTAATCCCAGCACTTTGGGAGGCCGAGGAGGGTGGATCATGAGGTCAGGAGATCGAGACCATCCTGGCTAACATGGTGAAACCCCATCTCTACTAAAAAATACAAAAAAATTAGCCAGGCCTGATGGTGGGTGCCTGTAATCCCAGCTACTTGGGAGGCTGAGACAGGAGAATGGCATGAACCCAGGAGGCGGAGCTTGTAGTCAGCCAAATTTGCACCACTGCACTCCAGCCTGGGCAACAGAGTAAGACTCCTCAAAAAAAAAAAAAAAAGATTTATATATAATCACATGGGATTTTGAGACTTCTCAAAAACATAGTTTTGAGTACAAGAAAAGGTAAAAATTGGATGAACTTGGCCAGGCACGGTGGCTCACGCCTGTAATCCTAGCTAGCACTTTGGGAGGCGAGGTGGGCAGATCACAAGGTTAGGAGTTCGAGACCAGCCTGACCAACATGGTGAAACCCTGTCTCTACTAAAAATACAAAAATTAGCTGGGTATGGTGGCAGACACCTGTAATCCCAGCTACTTGGGAGGCTGAGGCAGAAGAATCACTGGAACCCGGGAGGCAGAGGTTGCAGTGAGCCGAGATTGTGCCACTGCACTCCAGCCTGGGTGATACAGTGAGACTCAGTCTCAAAAAAAAAAAAAGAATTAACTCTATTACAGTTCATTTATGTAAATTTTTAAACCTACATTATACACACCAAACAATTATGTAACTGAGTGTATAGAAAGTAATTGGAGGGTACACATTAATTTTAGTGTGTGTGCCTACAGGGAAGGAACAGAGCAGGGCTGAAGGGAGAGAAGGAGGCATAATAAAACAATCACAGATAGGCCTTGTTATGGACTGGATGTGTCCCCCACAAATTCATATGTTGCTATGATGGTATCATTGTAACAACCCTGATGTGATAGTATTTGGAGATGGGTCCTTAAGGAGGTAATGAGGGTTAGATGAAGTCATGAAGGTAGGGTTCTTATGATAGGATTGGTGTCCTTATAAAAAGGGACACCAGAGCCTGGGCGTGGTGGCTCATGCCTGTAATCCTAGCACTTTGGGAGGCCGAGGTGGGCAGACTACCTGAGCTCAGGAGTTCGAGACCAGCCTGGGCAACACTGTGAAATCTCATCTCTACTAAAATTAAAAAAAAAAAATTAGCTGGGCATGGCGGTGTGTGCCTGTACAGTCCCACCTAATCAGGAGGCTGAGGCAGGAGAATCACTTGAACCAGGGAGCTGGAGGTTGCAGTGAGATAAGATTGTGCCACACTGCACTCCAGCCTGGTGAGAGAGTGACTCCGTCAAAAAAACCAAAAAAAAAAAAAAAAAAAAAACAACAACAAAAGACATCTGTGTAACAATTTGTGTTACTTAACTGTTGCATAACCTGAGAAAGCATGCTTTTCCTTTTTTTTCTCAGCCCCGAACAGAGTTTGACCCACATATTTATTGACAACAAGCCAGTGATAAGCATTATTTCTATAGATTATAGATTAACTAAAAGTATTCCTTATGGGAAACAAAGGGATGGGCCGAAACAAATGGATGGGCTCTGGCTAGTTATCTGCAGCAGGAACATGTCCTTAAGGTACGGATTGCTCATGCTATTGTTTGTGGTTTAGGAATGCCTGGAAGTGGTTTTCCGCCCTCGGTGGGCCAAGTGTTCCTTGCCCTCATTCTGGTAAACCCACAACCTTCAGCATGGGCATCATGGCCATAATGAACATGTCACAGTGCTGCAGAGATTTTGTTTATGGCCAGTTTTGGGGCCTGTTTATGGCCAGATTTGGGGGCCTGTTCCCAACATGTCCCCCTTTTTTGTTTTGCAAAACGATAAAAGCAAAGGTAGCTTTGTCATGGTGAGCTACTTCTCGCAGGAGTTGGGATCTGCATCTGCAGACTATACAAAGACAAACAACACAGATTAAAAGCACAATCATCATTGAAATCACAGGGCCTCCAAGTGTCTTTATCTATTTCAATGGGTTAATAGCTGCTAATCTGTCTGATGCTCCTTCAAACCCTCCAGTTCCTGGCATTAAGGTCAGGTGTGCCTGGGATGCTTTAAATATTTGTTCTTTTAATTTTGCAACATCCAAAGACAAGTTTGTAGAGTGTCCTTCTAGATGCTTTTTTATTCTTTTCCAAATTTCAATCTTATTTAAGAGCCATTAATAGTTTCCACAAATCCTTATGTTTAGCTCCTACAGCAGGCCATAACATTTGAGGGTGAAGTGCCACTATACTGCCATGTTTCCAGATAACAGGAACTCTTGCCATATTTCTTACAATTTCTACCATCTGACCGTTTTGTTTAAACCAGCTGAACATAGTGTGGCCGTGGCACGCTGACTGAGAGGTGCAATTCAAGCTTGGTCCCTTAGGGGACCAATCAATAACGATTCCACAGGAATCGTTACGCAGCACCTGTGCCTATTCTGCAATGCAATCTTCCCAAACAAGTACATTCATTATTTCTGACCAGGTCCAATTCTGTTTACAAATAGGTTTTTGAGGGCTGTATGCCTCAATTATAGGAGCAGATTTATTATGGTAAATACTGAGACCAGAAAGCATGTGTAAATGTGTCATAGAGTCATTACATCCAGGCGTTATTGCCAGCCAAGATTGATAAATACGCCCAATAAATATAATTGTTCTCTGTGTCAGCCCTTGTTGAAGGAATACTCATGGCAATGGTGATCACCGCTATCATAACTATCATTAAATTACAATTGTGACTGGTTGTCCTGCTTTCCTAAGGTTTTCTTCCACCATCTGTGACAGCTTCTTGATCTGTCCCCAGGTAGGTGGCTGTGTTCGATGGGTGTTGCTTGTGACAGTTGGGGTTCTCCTCAGCATCAGTCTCAACATGGCTGCAACTGGTGGGTCTTTGGGATCCTCCCAAAACCTTTTCCTGGGTATCTGGCTCATAGTTAAGGCTTTAAATGTCTTGATGGCACCCAAATTGGCTGTTGATTCCGTCTTGGAGAAACACAAGCATAACCACTACCCCAAGTTATTATTTTACCTATTTACCAACTTTTTGTTATCAGATCTCTCCACCAAACCAGTTGTTCTGCTTCTGTCTTTGTAGCTGGTTTCTGTAGATGCTGTTCAGCTGCTGATAGCATCTGGCCTTTAGGCAGGCTCCAAAAATTTAAAGTCAATCATGCTAGATTCAATTGTATATGGGGTGTCCTGTAGTCCCTGTTTCTCCCCTTTTGCTTTTGCCACTACTGTTTCAGGGAGAGATTCATCCTTTCTACTATGGCTTGTCCTTGAGAATTATATGGAATGTCAGTAATGTGTTTAATATTCCATAGAGAGAAAAATGTAGCTAGAGCTTGGCTAGTACAGCCTGGGGCATTATCTGTTTTAATAGAAGCTGGAATATCCATCACTGCAAAACACTGCAAAAGGTGACATTTAACACAGGCAGAAGACTCTCCTGATTGGCATGTAGCCCAAAGTAAGAAAAGGTGTCCACGCATACATGTACATAAGCTAGTCTCCCAAACGACGGAACATGTGTGACATCCATTTGCCAAAGAGAATTAGGTTCCAATCCTTGAGGATTAATTCCTCCTGTAAAAGATGAGGAATGCACCATTTGGCAAGTTGGGCATCGCTGGATGATAGCTTTAGCTTCTTTCCAGGTAATGCTGTATCTGCGTTTGAGACCAGAGGCATTAACAAGGGTTAAATTGTGAAAATGTTTGGCATTAGATATTGCAGTAGCAACTAGGCAATCAGCCATTTGATTTCCTTCAGTTAAAGGTCCTGGAAGAGGCATATGAGCCCTAATATGAGTAATGTAAAAAGGGTGCATTCTACTCCTAACTGCTGTTTGCAATTGGGCAAATGAAGTCATCAGTTGTTCATCTGTATGAAATCATTAACTGCACATTTTCAATTAATTGTGTGGAATGAACCATGAAGAATCCAAAATCACATTAATAGGCATATCAAAAACAGTCAATACCTCAATTACAGCTACAAGCTCCACTTTTTGAGCTGAAGTATAAGGCATCTGAAAAACTTTACCTTTCAAGCCAGAATAAGAAGCTTTACCATTTGTAGACCCATCTGTAAAAACATTCTCAGCACCTTCAATTGGTTTAAATTTCGTTATTTTAGGGAGAATCCAATTAGTTAATTTCAAAAATGGAAACAGTTTTGTTTTAGGAAAATGATTATCGAGAATACTCACAAAGTCAGCTAAATGGGTTTGCCAAGTAAGACTATTTATAAAAGCTTGCTGTATTTGTGCCTTCGTGAGAGGGACAATAATTTTTCCAAGATCATATCCATGTAATTTAACAATCCAAGTTCTCCCATTTCCTATCATAGTAGCGATTTGATCCAAATAAGAAGTTAGAGTCTGTGAATTAGTATTTGGAAGAAAAAGCCATTCTACTAAGTCCTGCTGTTGGGCAATAACATCAGTAGGTGAATGATGAGCTGGAAAAATTAGCAAATCTAGAGTCTTCTCTGTATCTATTCTATTTATTTGAGCCTTATGGACTTGCTTTTCAATCAGCTGTAACTCTGCCTCAGCCTCCTTTGTTAATTGTTGAGGGCTAGTGAGACTAGGACCTCCTCTAAAGATAGAAAATAGATTACTCATGGCATAGGTAGGAATGCCTAGAACAGGTTGTATCCAATTAATGTCCCCTAGTAATTTTTGAAAGTCATTTTATGTTTTCAATTGATCCCTACATATGGTTACTTTCTGTGGCACAATAGTAGTGTCATTTACCAAGGTCGCCAAGTAGGAGTAAGGAGTATTAGTCTGAATTTTGTCAGAAGCTATAAATAAACCAGTGTGAGAAATCGAATTTTGCAAGTGGTCATAACATTGGAGCAATATTTCTTGAGTGGGGGCAGTACAAAATATATCATCCATATAATGAATAATGTAACACTGTGAAAATTTTTTACAAGTAGGTTCAATTGCTTGCCCTACATAAGTCCGGCAAATTGTTGGACTGTTTAACATGACTTGTGACAACACTTTCCAGTGAAAATGCTTAGCAGGCTGCAGGTTGTTTACTGCAGGAATTGTAAATGCAAACCATTCACAGTCTTGCTCAGCTAAGGGGTAGTAAAGAAACAGTCTTTTAAATCTATGACTATTAAAGGCCAGTTTTTCGGAATCATAGCAGGAGAAGGCAATCCTGGCTGTAATGTCCCCATAGGTCGTGTAACTGAATTAATCAGTTAACATTCTCCATTTACCTGATTTTTTCTTAATAACAAAGACTGGAGAATTCCAAAGGGAAAATGTTGGAGCTATGTGTCCTTTTTCTAATTGTTCAGTAAGTAAGTACTCTAAAGCCTCCAGTTTCTCTTTACTTAGCAGCCATTGTTCTATCAAAATTGGCTTATCTGTTAACCATTTTAAAGGTATAGGTTCTTGAGGCTTAACAATGTCCGCCATCAAAAATGATATCCTAAACCTTGGCAGGAACTTTGTCTTTCCACTTGAAGCGGTTCCTTCAAACCTTGCAAATTTTCTCCTAGTCCCATACCAGGGACATACCCTATTTCATGCATCATATGTTGACTTTGAGGGCTGTAAAACTGCTCAGGAATTAGAACTTGTGCTCCCCATCGTTGTAATAAATCTCTTCCCCATAAATTTATAGGTACAGAAGTTATAATTGGTTGAATAGTCCCAGGTTGTCCATCAGGCCCTTCACAATGCAAAATATAACTACTTTGATATACTTCAGGGGCTTTACCAACTCCAACTATGTTAAATTAAGTGGGTTGAATTGGCCATGTTGACGGCCATGCTGAAGAGAAATGATTGAAATGTCCATTCCTGTATCTACTAAACCTTTAAATTTCTTTCCCTGAATAGTTATTTCACAGGTATGATGTTTATCAGTAATTTGATTCACCCAATAAGCTGCTTTGCCTTATCTGTGCTTCCAAATAATCCTGTTCATTTAATTTCACTTTCCCCATTTCTACATACGGCACAATCAGAAGTTGTGCTATGCGCTCTCCTGGCTCTGCTTTCCAGGGAACAGAAGTAGATATAACAATTTGAATTTCCCCATTGTAATCTGAATCAATGACTCCTGTTTGTACTTGCACTCCTTTTAAATTTAAAGTAGATCTACCTGGAAGTAATCCTATCATCACCGCTGGCAAGGGTCCACAGACCCGTTGGAACTTTTGCGGGGTTTCCCCAGGCAGAAGGCTCACAGCTTTTGTGCAGCATAAAACTGAGAGGTGAAGCCAGCTGGACTTCCTGGGTCTAGTGGGGACTTGGGAGAACTTTTCTGTCTAGCTAGAGGATTGTAAATGCACCAATCAGTGCTCTGTGTCTAGCTAAAGGACTGTAAATGCAGCAATCAGCACTCTGTAAAAACGCACCAATCAGCGCTATGTGTCTAGCTAAAGGATTGTAAACGCACCAATCAGCACTCTGTAAAAACGCACCAATCAGCACTCTGTGTCTAGCTATAGGATTGTAAATGCACCAATCAGCACTCTGTAAAATGGCCCAATCAGCACTCTGTAAAATGGACCAGTCATCTCTCTGTAAAATGGACCAATCAGCAGGATGTGGGTAGGGCCAAATAAGGGAGTAAAAGCTGGCCACCCCAGCCAGCAAAGGCAACCCGCTCAGGTCTCCTTCCACACTGTGGAAACTTTGTTCTTTTGCTCTTCACAATAAATCTTGCTGCTGCTCACTCTTTGGGTCCACACCACCTTTAAGAGCTGTGACACTCGCCACAAAGATCCATGGCTTCACTCCTGAAGTCAGCAAGACCACAAACCCACTGGAAGGAAGAAACTCCAGAGACATCTAAACGTCTGAAGGAACAAACTCCGGACATACCATCTTTAAGAGCTGTAACACTCATCGCGAAGGTCCACAGCTTCATTCCTGAAGTCTGCGAGACCAAGAACCCACTGGAAGGAATACATTCTGGACACATTTTGGCGCCCAATGTGGGGCCTTCACCAAGCAGTGAGTACCATCAGACCCCTTTCGCTTGCTATTCTGTTCTATTTTTCCTTAGAATTCAGGGGCTAAATACCGGGCACCTGTCGGCCAGTTAAAAGTGACTAGCGTGGCCGCTGGACTAAAGACATGGCTGTCAGGCTTTCTAGGAAAGGGCTCTCTAACAACCCCTGACTCTTCGGAGTGGAGAGCATTGGTTTGCCTGGAACCAGCTTCTGCTTTTCCTGTACTTCCGGGCTGAGATAAAGGTTGACAGAGAGGAAAGCCATTCAGTTCTGGGGTCCCGACAACAAGTTGGTTGACCCTGCGGCTGTGAGTAGAACTCTCAAAGTCATGTCACCCAAGGGAGACTCACCCATCTATCCTATCTATCCTGACACTTGCCTCCTGGGTCCTAATGCTTGTCAGATAAACTTTCTCTCACCTCTCTTCTCCGAGGCTAGTCCTGCTTCTAAAAACCACTCCTTGTCTGGTGCTTTTCTAGTTTCTCTTGTAATAATGATTTCTAGTATAAACTCCAGGACTCTATTCCCTTCTTTAGGCACCTGGGCTCACCAATAAGAAAGACATAATTTTTGCCCAAAGCTCCGTCGTAGGGGGGACTATCTGGAATTTTAGGATCCCTCCTCAGACTAGCAGGCCTAACAAAAGCTATTCCTGAAGCTAGGATATGGGGAGCTTCAGAAATGATATCCTTCCTATTCAAGTGAGGATAAAAGGTGTCACTCTACCAACCCTGGAGATCCCTCCCCTCCCTCAGGGTATGGCCCTCCATTTCATTTTGGGGGCATAACATCTTTATAGGACGGGGCAAAGTCCCAGTACTAACAGGAGAATGCTTAGGACTCTAACAGGTTTTCAAGAATGCATTGGTAAGGGCCACTAAATCTGATTTTTCTCAGTCCGCTTTGTGATCTAGGAAGACAGGCAAGGGTGCAGGTTTTCGAGAATGTGTCAGTAAGGGCCACTAAATCTGATCTTCCTCAGTCCTCCTTGTGGTCTAGGAGGAAAACTACTGTTTCTGCTGCTGCGTCGGTGAGTGCAATATTCCAATCAGCAGGGTCCAGGGACCATTGGGGGTTCTTGGACTGGGGGTAGAAACAAACAAACCAAAACCATGGGCGGTTTTGTCTTTCAGATGGGAAACACTCAGGCATCAACAGGCTCAGCCCTGAAATGCATCCTAAGCCATTGGGACCAATTTGACCTGCAAACCCTGAAAAAGTGGTGGCTCATTTTTTTCTGCACTATGGCCTGGCCCCGATATTCTCTGATGGGGAAAAATGGCCATCTGAGGGAAGTATAAATTACAATACTATCCTGCAGCTTAACCTTTTCTGTAAGAGTGAAGGCAAATGGAGTGAAATATCTTATGTCCAAGCTTTCTTTTCATTGAAGGAGAATACACAACTATGCAAAGCTTGCAATTTACATCCCACAGGAGGGCCTCTCAGCTTACCTCCATATCCTAGCCTCCCTATAGCTCCCCTTCCTATTAATGAGAAGCCTCCTTTAATCTCCCCTGCCCAGAAGAAAACAAGCAAAGAAATCTCCAAAGGACCACAAAAACCCCCAGGTTATCGGTTACGTCCCCTTCAAGCTGTAGGGGGAGGGGAATTTGGCCCAACCCAGGTACATGTCCACTTCTCCCTCTCTGATTTAAAGCAGATCAAGGTAGATCTGGGGAAGATTTCAGATGATCCTGATAGGTATATAGATGTCCTACAGGGTTTAGGGCAGACCCTCGATCTCTCTTGGAGAGATGTCATGCTATTGTTAGATCAAACCCTGGCCTTTAATGAAAAGAATGCGGCTTTAGCTGCAGCCCAAGAGTTTGGAGATACCTGGTATCTTAGTGAAGTAAATGACAGAATGACAGCTGAAGAAAGGGACAAATTCCCTACCGGTCAGCAAGCTATCCCCAGTATGGATCCCCACTGGGACCTTGACTCAGATCATGGGGACTGGAATCACAAACATCTGTTGACCTGTGTTCTAGAAGGACTAAGGAGAATTAGGAAAAAGCCCATGAATTATTCAATGATGTCCACCATAACTCAGGGAAAGGAAGAAAATCCTTCTGCCTTCCTCGCGCGGTTACGGGAAGCCTTAAGAAAATATACTCCCCTGTCACCTGACTCACTCGAGGGTCAATTGATCCTAAAAGATAAGTTTATTACCCAATCAGTTGCAGATATCAGGAGAAAGTTCCAAAAGTGAGCCCTGGGCCCTGAACAAAATCTGGAGGCATTATTAAACCTGGCTACCTCGGTGTAGGGACCAAGAGGAACAGGCCCAAAAGGAAAAGTGAGATCAGAGAAAGGCTGCAGCCTTAGTCATGGCACTCAGACAAACCAACCTTGGTGGTTCAGAGAGGACAGAAAATGGAGCATGCCAATTACCTGGTAGGGCTTGTTACCAGTGTGGTTTGCAAGGACACTTTAAAAGAGTGTCCAATGAGAAACGAGCTGCCCCTTCACTTATGTCCATTATGCCAAGGCAATCACTGGAAGGTGCACTACCCCAGAGGACAAAGGTCCTCTGGGCCACAAGCCCCCAACCAGATGATCCAACAACAGGACTGAGGGTGCCCGGGGCAAGCGCCAGCTCATGTCATCACCCTCACTGAGCCCTGGGTATGTATAACCATCGAGGGCCAGGAAATTGACTTCCTCCTGAACACCGGCACGGCCTTCTCAGTGTTAATCTCCTGTCCCGGGCGACTGTCCTCAAGGTCTGTTACCATCCAAGGAGTACTGGGACAGCCTGTAACCAGGTATTTCTCCCACCTTCTCAGTTGTAATTGGGAGACTTTGCTCTTTTCACATGTCTTTCTTGTTGTGCCTGAAAGTCCCACACCCTTATTAGGGAGGGATATATTAGCCAAAGCTGGAGCTATTATCTACATGAATATGGGGGAATAAGTTACCCATTTGTTGTCCCCTACCGGTGGAGGGAATCAACCCTGAAGTTTGGGCATTGGAAGGAACAAACTCAAGCTCCAGCCTTAAGCCTTCCCACAGGACAAAACTTTTCTTTTTTTTTTTTTGAGACGGAGTCTCACTCTGTCACCCAGGCTGGGATGCGATGGCGCAATCTCTGCTCACTGCAACCTCTGCCTCCTGGGTTCAAGTGATTCTCCTGCCTCAGCCTCCTGAGTGGCTGGGATTACAGGCACCCACCACCATGCCCAGCTAATTTTTTATTTTTAGTAGAGACGGGGTTTCACCATGTTGGTCAGGCTGGTCTTGAACTCCTGACCTGATGATCTGCCCGCCTCAGCCTCCCAAAGTGCTGGGATTACAGGCGTGAGCCACTGCGCCCAGCCAAAACTTCTCTTTATACATCACAGAGAGAGCAGGGATAGCTCTTGGAGTCCTTACTCAGACCCGCAGGACAACCCCATAACCAGTGGCATACCTAAATAAAGAAACTGATGTAGTAGCAAAAGGCTGGCCTCACTGTTTACGGGTAGTTGCGGCAGTGGCCGTCTTAGTGACAGAGGCTATCAAAATAATACAAGGAAAGAATCTCACTGTCTGGACTACTCATGTAAATGGCATACTAGGTGTCAAAGGAAGTTTATCGCTATCAGACAACTGCCTACTTAGATACCAGGTGCTACTCCTTGAGGGAATGGCCCTTCAAATACATACATGCGTAGCCCTCAACCCTGCCACTTTTCTCCCAGAGGATGGGGAACCAATCAAGTGTGACTGCCAACAAATTATAGTCCAGACTTATGCCGCTCAAGATGATATCTTAGAAGTCCCCTTAGCTAATCCTGACCTTAACCTATATACCGATGGAAGTTCATTTGTGGAGAATGGGATACGAAGGGCAGGTTATGCCATAGTTAGTGATGTAACCATACTTGAAAGTAAGCCTCTTCCCCCAGGGACCAGCGCCCAGTTAGCAGAACTAGTGGCACTTACCAGAGCCTTAGAACTGGGAAAAAGAAAAAGAATAAATGTGTATACAGATAGCAAGTATGGTTATCTAATCCTACATGCCCATGCTGCAATATAGAAAGAAAGGGAGTTCCTAACCTCTGGGAAGAACCCCCATTAAATACCACAAGGAAATTATGGAGTTATTGCACACAGTGCAAAAACCCAAGGAGGTGGCAGTCTTACACTGCCAAAGCCATCAGAAAGGTGAGGGAGAAAAGGCAGAAGGAAACCGTCAGGCAGATGCTGAGGCCAAAATTGCTGCCAGGTGGAACCTCCCATTAGAAATACCTACGGAAGGATCCTTGGTATGGAACAACTCCCTCCACGAGATTAAGCCCCAGTATTCCCCGACTGAAACAGAATGGGGACTTTCATGGGGGCATAGTTTTCTCCCCTCGGGGTGGTTAACAACAGAAGAAGGAAAGGTACTTATGCCTAAAGCCAGACACCAGAAAATACTTAAAACGCTCCACCAAACTTTTCATATGGGTATTGAAAACACTCATCAAATGGCCAAATCCCTATCTACAGGGCCAAATCTCTTCCGGGCCATCCAACAGGTAGTCAAAGCCTGTGAGGTGTGCCAAAGGAAGAATCCTTTGGTCCATCGTAAGGTCCCTTTGGGGGAACAAAGAATAGGTCACTATCCTGGAGAGGACTGGCAGTTAGACTTCACCCATATCCCTAAGTCAAACGGATTTCAATACTTGTTGGTCTGTGTTGATACCTTTACAAATTGGATAGATGCTTTTCCCTGCAAGACAGAGAAGGCTCAGGAAGCAATTAAAGTCCTAATACATGAAATAATTTCTAGATTTGGGCTTCCCCAAAGCTTACAGACCAACAATGGTCCGGCTTTTTTTTTTTTGAGACGGAGTCTCACTCTCTCTCCCAGGCTGGAGTGCAGTGGCGTGATCTCGGCTCACTGCAAGCTCTGCCTCCCGGGTTCGCGCCATTCTCCTGCCTCAGCCTCCCGAGTAGCTGGGACTATAGGTGCCCACGACCACACCCAGCTAATTTTTTTTATTTTTAGTAGAGACGGGGTTTCACCGTGTTAGCCAGGATGGTCTCAATCTCCTGACCTCGTGATCCGCCCGCCTCGGTCTCCCAAAGTGCTGGGATTACAGGCATAAGCCACACACCTGGCCAATGGTCAGGCTTTTAAAGCCATGATAACTCAGGGAATTTCGAGGGCACTAGGGATACAATATCACCTTCACTGTGCCTGGAGGCCACAATCCTCAGGGAAGGTCGAGAAAGCAAATGAAACACTCAAAAAGCACTTAAGGAAACTAACACAAGAAACTCATCTCCCATGGCCTAGTCTTTTGCCCATGGCCTTGTTAAGAATCTGAAATTCTCCTCACAATATGGGGCTCAGTCCATATGAAATGCTGTATGGACAACCTTTTATCACAAATGACCTCCTACTTGATCAGGAAACGGCCAACTTGGTCAAATACATAACTTCTTTGGCAAAATATCAATGAAACCTTAAAAACCTACCTGAAGGATGTCACAGAGAAAAGGGAACAGAGTTGTTTCAACCAGGAGATCTAGTGTTGGTCAAATCTCTCCCATCTACCTCTCCATCTATGGATTATTTGTAGGAAGGACCATACTCGGTAATCCTTTCTAACCCCACTGCAGTTAAGGTGGCAGGAGTGGAATCTTGGATTCACTACAATTGAGTTAAATTTTGGACACCCCCTGCGGAACCTGCAGGACCGTCAGTTCAGGAGTCCCAAGATCACCCAGACCAGCCTCAATAAACTTGCGAACCATTGGAGGACTTGCATCTCCTATTTTGAAAGGAAATATCCCAGACTAAAAAGGCTCCTACCACTGATCCTGAGGAAAAACCCTTTCCTCCTTAAAAAAGATAAGTGAAAACCTACATAATCTTTAATACCTCTCCTTGCCCCTTTAATGGAATCCTTTTACTATTTCATAATATTATTAAGCAGCATACTAACCATACTCTTTACGATAGGACTACATACTATAGCTCCTGCTGGGATGCAAATCCTAATCACATCAACCTTTTTTCTATCTTCCTTCCTTCTGACAGCAATTTACTCCCACCTTTAACTCAGACTGGATAAAATGATCTCGTGTTCCAGAGCACCCTCCTTACCTTCCTATTTACTCTTTGCCTATCTATCCCTCCTGCTTCCTTGGACACCTCATACAATTGCCCCTCCCCTTCCCCTAGCTCCTAATTACCTGTACAAGACTCTCAACTTAACCCACTCTCTGTTAAACCAGTCCAATCCTTCCCTGGCAAATGACTGTTGGCTTTGTAGCTCTCTATCCGTCAGCGCAGAGCCATACAACTAATACCCCTACTTATAGGGTTAGGAACAGCTATGGCTACAGAAACCAGAATAGCCAGTTTATCTACTTCATTATGCTACTACCACAGACTCTCAAAGGATTTCTCAGACAGTTTGCAAGAAATGACGAAATCTATCCTTACTCTACAATCCCAAATAGACTCTTTGGCATCACTAACTCTCCAAAACTGCTGAGACCTAGACCTCCTCACTGCTGAGAAAGGAGGACTCTGCACCTTCTTAGGGTAAGAGTGCTGTTTTTACACTAACCAGTCAGCGATAGTACAAGATGCCACCCGGCGTTTATAGGAAAAGGCTTCTGAAATCAGACAGTGCCTTTCAAACTCTTATACCAGCCTCTGGAGTTGGGCGACAAGGCTTCTCCCCTTTCTAGGCCTCCTGACAGCCATCTTGCTATTACTCGCCTTCGGGCCCTGTGTTTTAACATCCTTGTCAAATTTGTTTCCTCTAGTATCGAGGCCATCAGTCTATAGATGGTCTTACAAATGGAACCCCAAATGAGCTCAACTAACAACTTCTACCAAGGACCCCTGGATTGACCCACTGGCCCTTTGGCTGGCCTAGAGAGTTCCCCTCTGGAGGACACTACCACAGCAGGGCCCCTTCTTCGCCCCTAACCAGCAGGAAGTAGCTATAGCGGTCATCACCCAATTCCCAACAGCAGTTGGGGTGTCCTGTTTAGAGGGGGGATTGAGAGGTGAATCCAGCTGGACTTCCTGGGTCGAGTGGGGACTTGGAGAACTTTTCTGCCTAGCTAGAGGATTGTAACTGCACCAATCAGCGCTCTGTGTCTAGCTAAAGGATTGTAAATGCACCATCAGCACTCTGTAAAAAACGCACCAATCAGCACTATGTGTATAGCTAAAGGATTGTAAACGCACTAATCAGCACTCTGTAAAAATGCACCAATCAGTGCTCTGTGTCTAGCTAAAGGATTGTAAACGCACCAATCAGCACTCTGTAAAAATACACCAATCAGCGCTCTGTGTCTAGCTAAAGGATTGTAAATGCACCAATCAGCACTCTGTAAAAATGCACCAATCAGCACTCTGTAAAAACACACCAGTCAGCACTCTGTGTCTAGCTAAAGGATTGTAAATGCACCAATCAGCACTCTGTAAAATGGCCCAATCAGCACTCTGTAAAATGGGCCAATCAGCTCACTGTAAAGTGGACCAATCAGCAGAATGTGGGCAGGGCCAAATTATGGAATAAATGCTGGCCACTGGAGCCAGCAGCGGCAACCCGTTCGGGTCCCCTTCCACATTGTGGAAGATTTGTTCTTTTGCTGCTGCTCACTCTTTGGGTCCACGCCACCTTTTATTTTTTATTTTTTGATGGAGTCTTGAACTGTCGCCCAGGCTGGAGTACAGTGGCGCTATCTCAGCTCACTGCAAGCTCTGCCTCCCAGGTTCATGCCATTCTCCTGCCTCAGCCTCCTGAGTAGCTGGAACTACAGGTGCCCACCACCACGCCCGGCTAATTTTTTATATTTTTAGTAGAGATGGGGTTTCACTGTGTCAGCCAGTATAGTCTTGATCTCCTGACCTCATGATCCGCCCACCTCAGCCTCCCAAAGTGCTGGGATTACAGTCATGAGCCACCATGGCTGGCTGGGTCTGCACCACCTTTAAGAGCTGTGACACTCGCCACAAAGATCCATGGCTTCACTCCTAAAGTCAGCAAGACCACAAATCCACTGGAAGGAAGAAACTCCAGACACATCTTAACATCTGAAGGAACAAACTCCGGACACACCATCTTTAAGAGCTGTAACACTCACCACTAAGGTCTGCGGCTTCATTCCTGAAGTCAGCGAGACCAAGAACCTGCTGGAAGGAATAAATTCTGGACACAAATCTACTGCGGCACTACCAGCTGTGGTGGGGGACAGGCATTGTACACAGATGAGGGAATTGCCTGAGCCGGAAATGCCCCAGTTTGGAACAGGGCCCGGGACGGGACCCTCATGGCATTTCCCGAATTTAAAAGGAAAAGGCTCAAATGTAGCTATAATATTTCCCTGTTGATCTGTGGGGTGTATCCTAACAGAGAACTGCCAAGCCTCTATATCACCCTCTTGTCTAGCTTGCTGAATTCCTGCCTGAATAGAACTGAGAGCAGTTGCTCAAGGTGCTGCTCAGTCACTGGGGCAACCACTTTTCACCCAGTGTCCTCCGGAAAAGAAAGATCTGGAGGCTCAGGCCACTCTTTTTCTTCAAAATAAGGAGGGGGTGCAGAAGGGTAGGGATGAAACTCTTCCTCCTTTGCCACTTTAGCTTTAGCTGGCAAGCAAACCTGCTCCATTACCTCTTCTATTACTTTGTTATACTTTCCTTCCTCCTCATCATTAGTATGAAAGGTTCCAAGGTGGAACGAACCAGAGCCCACACTTGTCCCATTGTTACCCTGATGCTTCCGAGCTCCCCTTCTTACTCACCACAGGGATTGCTTAAGAGTACTCAGGTGTCCTCCAGCTTAGCTCTACGTTTTCCAACCATTGCTCTGGTGACCCTTCGGCCAGGGTTCGAGCCCCACGTATGGGCACCACTTGCTGAGACCAGCTCGGTTGTGGAGACCCTAACCCAGCGGCACTAGAAGAATTAAAGACACACACACAGAAATATAGAGTGTGGAAAGGGAAATCAGGGGACTCACAGCCTTCAGAGCTGACAGCCCCGAACAGAGTTTGACCCACATATTTATTGACAGCAAGCCAGTGATAAGCATTATTTCTATAGATTATATATTAACTAAAAGTATTCCTTACGGGAAACAAAGGGATGGGCCAAAACAAAGGGATGGACTCTGGCTAGTTATCTGCAGCAGGAACATGTCCTTAAGGCACAAATCATTCATGCTATTGGTTGTGGTTTAGGATTGCCTTTAAGCAGTTTTCTGCCCTGGGTGGGTGAGGTGTTCCTTGCCCTCATTCCGGTAAACCCACCACCTTCAGCGTGGGCGTCAAGGCCATCATGAACATGTCACACTGCTGTGGAGATTTTGTTTTTGGCCAGTTTTGAGGCCCGTTTATGGCCAGACTTGGGGGCCTGTTCCCAACAATGGGGTTTCACCATGTTGGCCAGGCTGGTCTCAAACTCCTGACCTCAAGTGATGCATCCGCCTCAGCCTTCCAAAGTGCTGGGATTACAAGCATGAGCCTCTTATTTTTTATTTATTCATTTTTTGAGACAGGATCTTGCTCTGTCACCCAGGCTGGAATGCAATGGCATGATCCCATCTCACTGCAACCTCTGCTCAGGTGATCCTCCCAACTCAGCCTCCCTAGTAGGCATGCATCACCACGCCCAGCTAATTTTTTTATTTTTTGTAGAGACAGGGTTTTGTCATTGTAAGGTACACGGATGTGCTTTAGTCAAGGAATAGGCCGAGGCAGATATCCAGGCCTGCATGACTCAGCAAGTTTGGCATGCAAGCACATAACTCCACTTGTTATATAACCTGTTTGTGTAAGTTCATACTTGGCTCTATGCCACTATTGTCTGAAAAAGGTATAACTGCAGCCAAGAGCAGTGGCTCACGTCTATAATCCCAGCACTTTGAGAGGCCAAGGTGGGCGGATCATAAGGTCAGGAGTTTGAAATCAGCCTGGCCAACATGGTGAAATCCCATCTCTACTAAAAATACAAAAATTAGCCGGGTGTGGTGGCATGTGCTTGTAATCCCTGCTACTTGGGAGTCTGAGGCAAGAGAATCACTAGAACCCAGAAGGCAGAGGCTGCAGTGAGCCAAGATTGCATCCACTGCACTCCAGCCTGGGCAACAGAGCAAGACTATCTCAAAAAAAAAAAAAAAAAAAAAAAAGGTATTAACTGTCCTGCTGACACTGTACAGGGGTCTCTTGGGGGCTTGGCTTGGCTCAGCTCAACATGGCTTGACATGGTGGGCATGCTGGCACCCAGAGAAAGAGAGAGAGAGAGCCGGAGCTGTCCTTCTTTGCAGACGGAGAGGTGGGAACCAGGATACACCTCAGCTTGCTTGTGCCCAGAGAAAGAGTTAAGCTGCTGACCCTGAAGGGAAGGGAGAGCCAGCTGCGCAGCTGCTCATGGGGGCAGCCAGCTCAAGCAGCCAAGACAGCAGGGCGGAGAGTGTGAGAGTAAGCTGCTAATAAGAAAGCCAGTGTGAGAGTAAGCTGCTAATGAGAAAGCTGCAGAATAAAACCATATTCATCTGCCTACAGACCCCCAAATGTTCTTTCTGCTTATCCACCCACTCCCCTTGGACTTCAGCATGGGCTGGACCCAGACCCGGGAACTGACAGTCATGTTGCCCAGGCTGGTCTCTATTACCATCTGAGCTCTGCCTTCTGTCAGATCAGTACCAGTATTAGATTCTAACAGGAGCACAAACCCTATTGTGAACTGCACATGCAAGGGATCTAGGTTGTGCGCTCCTTATGAGAATCTGATGCCTGATGATCTGTCACTGTCTCCCATCACCCACAAATGGGACCGTCTAGTTGCAGGAAAGCAAACTCAGGGCTCCCACTAATTCTACATCACAGTGAGCTGTATAATTTTTTCTTTTTTTTTTTTTTTATTATACTTTAAGTTCTAGGGTACATGTGCACAACGTGCAGGTTTATTACTTAGGTATACATGTGCCATGTTGGTTTGCTGCACCCATCAACTCCTCATTTACATTAGGTATTTCTCCTAATGCTATCCCTCCCCCAGCCCCCCAGCCCCCCACCCCCCAACCAGCCTGGTGTGTGATGTTCCCTATCCTGTGTCCATGTGTTCTCATTGTTCAACTCCCACTTGAGTGAGAACATGTGGTGTTTGGTTTTCTGTCCTTGTGATAGTTTGCTTAGAATGATGGTTTCCAGCTTTATCCATGTCCCTGAAAAGGACATGAACTCATTCTTTTTTATGGCTGCATAGTATTCCATGGTGTATATGTGCCACATTTTCTTAATCCAGTCTCTCATTGATAAACATTTGGGTTAGTTCCAAGTCTTTGCTATTGTTAACAGTGCCACAATAAATATACATGTGCATGTGTCTTTATCAGTTAATGATTTATAATCCTTTAGGTATATGCCCAGTAATGGGATTGCTGAGTCAAATGGTATTTCTATTCCAGATCCTTGAGGAATTGCCACACTGTCTTCCACAATGGTTGAACTAATGTACACTCCCACCAACAGTGTAAAAGTGTTCCTATTTCTCCACATCCTCTCCAGCATCTGTTGTTTCCTGACTTTTTAATGATCGCCATTCTAACTGGCTTGAGATGGTATCTCATTGTGGTTTTTGACTTGCATTTCTCTGACGACAAGTGATGATGAGCATTTCTGCATATGTCTGTTGGTTGCATAAATGTCTTATTTTGAGAAGTGTCTGTTCATATTCTTTGCCCACTTTTTGATGGGGTTTTTTTTCTTGTGAATTTGTTTAATTTCTTTGTAGATTCTGGATATTAGCCCTTTATCAGATGTGTAGATTGCAAAAATTTTCTCCCATTCCGTAGGGTGCCTGTTCACTCTGATGATAATTTCTTTTGCTGTGCATAGCTCTTTAGTTTAGTTAGATCCCATTTGTCTATTTTGGCTTTTGTTGCCATTGCTTTTGGTGTTTTAGTCATGAAGTCTTTGCCCATGCCTATGTCCTGAATGGTATTGCCTAGGTTTCCTTCTAGGGTTTTTATGGTGTTAGGCCTTACATTTAAGCAATTCTCGTCCCTCAGCCTCCCGGGTAGCTGGGATTACAGGAGCCCACCACCACACCCGGCTAATTTTTGTATTTTTTGGTAAAGACAAGGTTTCGCCATGTTGGCCAGGCTGGTCTCAAACTCCTGACCTCAAGCAATATGCCTGCCTCGGCCTCCCAAAGTGCTGGGATTACAGGTGTGAGCCACTGTGCCTGACCATAATTATTCTATTATATATTACAATGTAATAATAGAAACAAAGTGCATGATAAATCTAATGCACTTGAATCATTCTGAAACAATTTCTCCGTATCCTGGTCTGTGGAAAAATTGTCTTCCACAAACTGGTCCCTGTTACCAAAAAGGTTAGGGACTGCTGCATTAAAACACATACACAAATCATTCCTTTATCAAATGTTAAATTCAAAGCAATTAGATAACATATAAGTACATATTGTGAGCCAAAGAAGCCTTTATAATATTAATACTACTTGTTTCTATTTTGATATAAACATTATTATTAAAACAGAAAGAGACTCTAATAGTTCAGGATAGAGAAGGGTGATTATTTTTACTCAGAAATGAAACTAGCCCTAGTCCCATAGACAGTTGTTTTTGGATAAATGTAGAAATTGACCCTTCTCCTGTTAAAGCTTGAAACTTGCATTTGTTTATCTGAGTTTCTTCCTCAGAAAAGGACCTTCAGGCCTCTCAAAAAAGTATCAAATAACTGAAACTCACCAGATCACTGCACTAGATGCCTCCTTGCCCCTCCCTAGTTCTTGTTTTCTTACAAATTGTTACATTTCCTCCCTGCTAAATAAACCCTTAATTTTAGTCAGGGAGATGGATTTGAGGCTAAGCTCCCATCTCCTTGGCTGTAGCACCCAATTAAAGCCTTCTTCCTTGGTAATACTCCTCATCTCAGTGATTGGCTTTCTGTGTGGCGAGCAGCAGGACCTAGACTGAACCCCTGGTGTTTTGGTAACAGAAACATTCCCTGAGATAAACTAAGTAATGGGTTACAAACATATAATATGGGTAACACCATCATTGCTCAAAATAGTTCTCTATGATTTTCCTCTTGGGCCAAAGAGAATAATTAGCTAGGCTTGGTAGGCTGGGAACAGTTTTGTGAGCCTACTGAAATTATGTAGGATTTATATCTTAAAACTATGAAGGCCAGGCATGGAGTCATGCCTGTAATGCCAGCATTTTGGGAGGCTGAGGCGGTTGGATTACCTGAGGTCAGGAGTCCCAAGACCAGCCTGGCCAACATAGCGAAACCTCGTCTTTACAAAAAAACAAAAATTAGCTGGGCATGGTGGTGCATGCCTGTAATCCCAGCTACTGGGGGCGCTAAGGCAGGAGGATTGCTTGAACCTGGGAGGCAGAGGTTGCAGTGAGCCGAGATCGTGCCACTAAACTCCAGCCTGGGCAACAGAGTGAGACTCCATCTCAAAAAAAAAAAAAGAGAGAAGGCAAAAGCTTCATGACATTGGATTTGGCAATCTTGGATATGATACTGAAGGAACAAGCAGCAACAAAAACAAAAAAGTCCAACAGAGGAATTGGACTTAATGAAGATTTGCTGGGCGTGGTGTCTCATGCCTGTAATCCCAGCACTTTGGGAGGCTGAGGCGGGCAGATCACCTGAGGTCAGTTGTTTGAGATCAGACTTTCCAACATGGTGAAACCCTGTCTCTACTAAAAATACAAATATTAGCTGGGTGTGGTGGCAGGCACCTGTAATCCCAGCTACTTGGGAAGCTGAGGTGAGATAATTGCTTGAACCCAGGAGGTGAAGGTTGCAGTGAGCTGAGACCACGCCATTGCACTCCAGCCTGGGCAACAAGAGTGAAACTCCGTCTCAAAAAAAAAAAAAAAAAAAAAAAATATATATATATATATATATATATATGATCTAGAAATAAAGATAGTTTTTCACTACTCCCTATCAACTGTAAGCATTTTTTTTTTTGAGAAATTAAAAAAAACAGTGCTCTAGGTTTCTGATCGATTGATAACTTCAGGAAGGTGTTAAAGAGGAAAGAAACTATCCAGTGATAAGAGCATATAATAAGCAATTACAAATCCCTTAAATATACACTACTTCTCAGGCATACTCACTAAGTTAGCAGTGGCAAGCTTATTGCAGGATGGTAGACACCAGTGTAAGTACCTTAGTGGAGTAGTTGAGAGGACAATACCTCAATGAGCCTTGTCAATACCTAGAGTGCCTCTTAATCTCCACAGTACCCATAAACTGCACTGTACAACTGAACATATATCTGAACATCATCTCGATTTTGCTCCTTGCTATTTCAGTAGCAGTTGCCGCAACTGGACTGAGTGTCCAGATGTTGGACCTTCTCTGACACTAACAGGCCCAATGCTAGATACAAAGTCATTCCTCAGTTAACACACAGAGCTGGATTCATACCACTTTTGTAATGGACAGAATAAAAAAAGCACAAGAAGATACAGCAGATACAGAAGAGATGAAGAGAAGAAGAGTCTGTATGAGGTACCTCTGAGAGGTGACAGCATGCTGGCAGCCCTCGCTTGCTCTCGGAGCTTCCTTGGCCTTGGCGTCCACTCTGGCCATGCTTGAGGAGCCCTTCAGCCTGTCGCTGCACTATGGGAGCCCCTCTCTGGGCTAGCCGAGGTCAGAGCCAGCTCCCTCTGCTTGCAGGGAGGTGTGATGGAGAGGCACGGGCAGAAACCAGGGCTGCGCATGCACTTGCGGGCCAGCTCGAGTTCCAGGTGGGCATGGGCTTGGCAGGCCCTGCACTCAGAGCAGCCAGCCTGCGCCGCTGGCCCCAGGCAGTGAGGGGCCTAGCACCTGGGCCAGCAGCTGTGGAGGGTGCACCGGGTCCTCCAGCAGTGCCGGCCCACCATGGGCTCCTACGTGGCCCCAGCCTCCCTGACTAGCACTGCCCCCTGCTCCGTGGTGCCCGGTCCCATCGACCACCCAAGGGCTGAGGAGTGTGGGCACATGGTGTGGGACTGGCAGGCAGCTCCGCCTGCGGCCCCAGTGCAGGATCCACTAGGTGAAGCCAGCTGGGCTCCTGAGTCTAGTGGGGACTTGGAGAAACTTTATGTCTAGCTAAAGGATTGTAGATACACCAATCAGCACTCTGTGTCTAGCTCAAGGTTTGTAAATGCACCAATCAGCACTCTGTATCAGCTAATCTGGTGGGGACTTGGAGAACCTTTATGTCTAGCTAAGGAATTGTAAATACAACAATCAGCACTCTGTGCCTAGCTCAAGGTTTGTAAATGCACCAATCAGTGCTCTGTGTCTAGCTAATCTAGTGGGGACTTGGAGAACCTTTATGTCTAGCTAAGGGATTGTAAATACAACAATCAGCACTCTGTCTAGCTCAAGGTTTGCAAACACGCCAATCAGCACCCTGTGTCTAGCTCAAGGTTTGTAAATGCACCAATCAGTGCTCTGTGGGGACTTGGAGAACTTTTGTGTCTAGCTCAGGGATTGTGAACACACCAATCAGCACCCTGTCAAAACGGACCAATCAGCTCTCTGTAAAACAGACCGATCAGCTCTCTGTAAAATGGACCAATCAGCAGGATGTGGGTGGGGCCAGATAAGGGAATAAAAGGAGGATGCCCGAGCCAGCAGTGGCAACCAGCTCCGATCCTCTTCCACACTGCGGAAGATTTGTTCTTTCACTCTTTGCAATAAATCTTGCTCCTGCTCAATCTTTGGGTCCGCACTGCCTTTATGAGCTGTTAACACTCACCGCAAAGGTCTGCAGCTTCACTCCTGAGCCAGCAAGACCCCAAACCCACCAGAAGGAAGAAACTCCAAACACATCCAAACATCAGAAGGAACAAACTCTGGACATGCCGCTTTTAAGAACTGTAACACTCACCGCAAGGGTCTTTGGCCTCATTCTTGAAGTCAGTGAAACCAAGAACCCACCAATTCTGGACACACTTCCATTATTATAACCTGATGGGAAGGGAACCCTCTTTTTTTTTTTTTTTTTGAGATTGAGTCTCACTCTGTTGCCCAGGCTAGAGTGCAGTGGCGCAATCTCAGCCCACCACAAGCTCCGCCTCCCAGGTTCAAGCAGTTCTCCTGCCTCAGCCTCCCCAGTAGCTGAGATTACAGGTGCACACCACCTTGCCTGGCTACTCTTTGTATTTTTTTTTTTAGTGGAGATGGGGTTTTGCCACGTTGGCCAAGCTAGTCGTGAACTCCTGATCACCTCAGGTGATCCACCCACCTGGGCCTCTCAAAGTGCTGGGATTATAGGCGTGAGCTACCATGCCTGACCAGGAACCCATTTTCTATGAAATCAATGAAACTGGAAAATCCTTTTTTTTTTTTTTTTTTTTGAGACGGAGTCTCGCTCTGTCGCCCAGGCTGGAGTGCAGTGGCGCAATCTCGGCTCACTGCAAGCTCCACCTCCCAGGTTCACGCCATTCTCCTACCTCAGCCTCCTGAGTAGCTGGGACTATAGGCACCCGCCACCATGCCCGGCTAAATTTTTTTGTATTTTTAGTAGAGACGGGGTTTCACCGTGTTAGCCAGGATGGTCCTGATCTCCTGATCTTGTGATCTGCCCACCTTGGCCTCCCAAAGTGCTGGGATTACAGGTGTGAGCCATCATGCCCGGCCAGAAAATCCTCTTAAGGATCAGACAATATAACCAGAAAACTTACCCAGAGCCTGAAGGAATACTGAGCATCTCTTTGATATTCCAGACATTAAAATTCATTTCTTATAGTTATACCTATTAGAAAGAATAGGTGAATATTAAGAAAGTTAACAGTATAATTTTTTCCAAAGATTACTAGTGACTATTATATGTACACGAAGACATTCCAGCAGCTATATTCCCATCCAATTAGTGAAAATTTCTGTTTTTTTTTTTTGAGACGGAGTTTTGCTCTTGTCACCCAGTCTGGAGTGCCGTGGCTCGATCTTGGCTCACTGCAACCTTTGCCTCCTAGGTTCAAGCAATTCTTCTGAGTAGCTGGGATTACAAGCACCCGCCACCACACCTGGCTAATTTTTGTATCATGCCACTGTCTCAAAAAAAATAAGTAAATAAATAGAAACACAAAACCATTTATATTTGCACCCCCAAAAAAGAAATACTTAGGTATAACTGTGACAAAATATATACAATATCTATATGAGGAAAACTACAAAACTCTGATGACAGAAATCAAATTAGAACTAAATGGAAGCCGGGCGCAGTGGCTCACGCCTGTAATCCCAGCACTTTGGGAGGCCGAGGAGGGCGGATCACTAGGTCAGGAGATCAAGACCATCGTGGCTAACAGGGTGAAACCCCGTCTCTACTAAAAAATACAAAAAATTAGCCAGGCGTGGTGGTGGGTGCCTGTAGTCCCACCTACTCAGGAGGCCGGGGCAGGAGAATGGCATGAACACAAGAGGTGGAGCTTGCAGTGAGCCGAGATCGCGCCACTGCACTCCAGCCTGGGCGACAGAGCGAGACCCCAGCTCAAAAAAAAAAAAAAAAAAACTAAATGGAGAGGCCAGGAGCAGTGGCTCACATGTGTAATCCCAGCACTTTGGGAGACCGAGGCGGGTGGATCACTAGGTCAGGAGATCCAGACCATCCTGGCTAACATGGTGAAACCCTGTCTCTACTAAAAATACAAAAATTACCTGGGTGTGGTGGGACGTGCCTGTAGTCCCAGCTATTTGGGAGGCTGAGGCAGGAGAATTGCTTGAACCCAGGAGGCAGAGGTTGCAGTGAGCCAAGGTCACACGACTGCACTCCAGCCTGGGGCGACAGAGTGAGACCCCATCTCAAAAAAAAAAAAAAAAAGCCGGGCGCAGTGGCTCACGCCTGTAATCCCTGCACTTTGGGAAGCAGAGGCAGGTGGATCATTTGAGGTCAGGAGTTTGAGAACAGCCTGGCCAACATGAAGAAACCCTGTCTCTACTAAAAATACAAAAAAATTAGCTGGGTGTGGTGGCGGGTGCCTGTAATCCCAGCTACTCAGGAGGTTGAGGAGGAGAATCACTGGAACCGGGGAGGCAGAGGTTGCAGTGAGCCAAGATCGTGCCACTGCACTCCAGCCTGGGCGATCGAGTGAGACTCTGCCTCAAAAAAAAAAAATTAGCAGGGTGTGGTGGCACAAGCCTATAGTCCCACCTACTTGGGAGGCTGAGATGGGAGGATCACTTGAGCCCAAGAGGTCAAGGCTGTAGTGAGCTAAGATTGTGCCACTATACTCCAGCTTGGGCGACGAAGAAAAAAAAAATCTCAAAAAATTATCTCTCAAACTATGTCAAAAAATTAAAAATAAAAAATTTAAATAAATAAACAAGCTAGGCATGGCAACATACACCTGTAGTCTCAGCTACTTGGGAGGCTGAGGCGGCAGGATCACTTGAGCCCAGGAATTCAAGGCTTCTGTAAACTGTGATCCCACCACTGCATTCCAGCCCAGGCAACAAAGCAAGACCCTGTCTCTTAAAAAAAAAAAAAAAGAAAGAAAGAAAGAGGCTGGGTGCGGTGGCTCATGCCTGTAATCCCAGCACTTTGGGAGGCCAAGGCAAGTGGATTACGAGGTCAGGAGATCGAGACTATCCTGGTTAACACGGTGAAACCCTGTCTCTACTAAAACAATATAAAAAATTAGCCGGGCATGGTGGTGGGCTCCTGTAGTCCCAGCTACTTGGGAGGCTGAGGCAGGAGAATGGCATGAACCCGGGAGGCAGAGCTTGCAGTGAGCCGAGATCACACCACTGCACTCCAGCCTGGGCGACAGTGCAAGACTCCTTCTCAAAAAAAAAAAGACATGTCATTTGCTTTTTGCAAATACATATAAACCTCAAAATACCTTATACTCATGGAATTAGAAATACAAGCCTTTTTTTTTTTTAGATGAAGTCCCACTCTGTCACGCAGGCTGGAATGCAGTGGTGTTATCTTAGCTAACTGCAACCGCTGCCTCCCGGGCTCAAGCTATTCTCCTGCCTCAGCCTCCTGAGTAGCCGCAATTACAGGCATGTGCTGTCACTCCTGGCTAATTTTTTTTTTTTTTAAGTAGAGACAGGGTCTCACCATGTTGACCAGGTTGGGCCGAACTCCTGACCTCAAGTGATCCACCTGCCTTGGCCTCCCAAAGTGCTGGGATTACAGGCGTAAGCCACTGTGCCCAGCCAGAAATGCAAGCATTTAAAAGGCCCTTATAGTTCCAGGTATCTGACAGTGTGCCAGCATCAAAGGGGTGAGTCTAAGGAGGTCCTGTATGACTAGAAGGTAAAAAAGGTAGTCTCTCTCAGTCTACATGACCAAACTCCCCCCTTAATGTTGAGAATGAAACCAGCAACTCCAGTTAACTGGATTAAACAGGAGAGATTCAATATATGTGTGGTAGAAGATGAAGTAACATTTCTTCCTTTTGATTAGTTATCCTGCCTTTACTTGTGCAGCATGTCTGTGTTTACCACATGGTTTACCCAAGCCTGAGATGTCCATCTTCCCAGAATTCAACCAGAAGAAAGATGTCCTACAAAGGTCAGGAAGCTGTCAATTATATTCAGTCATGACTGTTCAACCCCTACCACACAAGAGGTCTTTAGATCATCCAATTTTATACTTTCTATGAAGTATGGAGTTTTCCAATGGTTTACATAAAAAGTACACTGTTCCTTGCTCTTGAGTGGATCAAGCCCCATGTACCCTCTCTGTTGGTAGTGGATTTTGAGATGTCGATGTTTAGATTTACAAAGGTTGCAACTCTGGACAGCATAAGTGGGGAAAACAGAATAGGAGCAAAGTAAGCAAGTTCTTTGTTAGCTGAATAAAGATAAAAAAAACACATAGAGGTGATTATGGGTCAAATTAGCAAAATATGGCTAAGGGTGATTTCTCAGGATGGAAAGCAAACTCTCTTCCCTCAGGCATTAGGTCTCTGACCTTGAGTCCTAGGGCAGCAGTTCCCAACCTTTTTGGCACCAGGGACAAGTTTTGTGGAAGACAATTTTTCCATGGACATTGGTTGCGGGTGGGGTTGGGGATGGTTTCAAAATGAAATTGTTCCACCTCAGATCATCAGGCATTAGAGTCTCATAAGGAGTGCACAACCTAGATCCCTTGCATGTGCAGTTCACAATAAGGTTCATGCACACTCCTATGAGAATCTAATGCTGCCACTGACCTGACAGGAGATAGAGCTCAGGCTGGCCCACTGCTCACCTCCTGCTGTGTGGCCTGGTTCCTAACAAGCCATGGACTGACTGGTACTGGTCCGGGGCCTGGGTGTTGGAGACCCCTGTTCTAGGGAACTAAATTGCATTGTAATGGAGGTCTGCTTATTCCACAGTGGCAGAAAGAAATAACTGTGTGCAGAGCAAGAACACACAGAAAAGCATGTTTCCCTTAAGAGATACAAGTTATTGCTAAACCCAAACTGATTTAGAAATATTATATGTAGAAATTTGGCCGGGCACAGTGGCTCACGCCTGTAATCCCGGCAGTTTGGGAGGCCGAGGCGGGCGGATCAAAAGGTCAGGAGATCGAGACCATCCTGGCTAACGTGGTGAAACCCCGTCTCTACTAAAAATACAAAAATTAGCCAGGCGTGGTGGCAGGCGCCTGTAGTCCCAGCTACTCAGGAGGCTGAGGCAGGAGAATGGCATGAACCCACGAAGCGGAGCTTGCAGTGAACCGCGATCGCACCACTGCACTCCACCATGGGTGACAGAGCGAGACTCCATCTCAAAAAAAAAAAAAAGAAATATTATATGTAGAAATTAATAAAGGAATCATGAGGACTATTTTTATTTAAGGAAAAGGCTAGAAATTTTTAAACGTTTACAAGGGCTGAAAAACAGACATTTCTTTAGAAACAA
The DNA here is from genome assembly GCF_000001405.40 of Homo sapiens. Taxonomy (NCBI): domain Eukaryota; kingdom Metazoa; phylum Chordata; class Mammalia; order Primates; family Hominidae; genus Homo; species Homo sapiens. Next base: position 49,207,659 of record NC_000003.12, on the reverse strand, counting down.
TCACAATTTTGAATAATGGCAGACTAAGGTATGCTACAAATTATATTGCAGAATACCTGGTTAATATTCCAGTATTAAATCGGCAGCTTCTAAAATATGCAGCATGAGTTACAAGGACTAAAACTCACCAGATCACACCTGTAATCCCAGCACTTTGGGAGGCCGAGGTGGGCAGATCACAAGGTCAAAAGATTGAGACCCTCCAGGCCAACATGGTGAAATCCTGTCTCTACTAAAAATACAAAAATTAGCTAGGCGTGGTGGCATGCACCTGTAGTCCCAGCTACTCGGGAGGCTGAGGCAGGAGAATCCCTTGAACCTGGGAGGCAGAGTTTGCAGTGAGCCGAGATCACACCACTGCACTCCCACCTAGAGACAGAGTGAGACTCCGTCTCAAAAAAAAAAAAAAACCTCACCAGAAAGAAAAAAATGCTCCGAGAACACAGGGCTGGCTGATGCATGATCTAGTTTCAACATGAAACAAGGTAATAATATAACCGGTCATCAAGTAACAAACTAAAGCAGATGAGCTTGGCTTTTCCTACCCACTCTCATCTGTCCACCTGTATTCCACACATTTTTTGTCAGAGGCTTTTTTTTTTTTTTTTTTTTGAGACAGAGTCTTGCTCTGTCACCCAGGCTGGAGTGCAATGGCACGATCTCGGCTCACTGCAACATTTGCCTCCTGGGTTCAAGCAATTCTCCTGCCTCAGCCTCCCAAGTAGTTGGGATTACAGGCATCTGCCACCACACCTAGCTAATTTTTGTATTTTTAGTAGACACAGGGTTTCACCATGTTGGCCAGGCTGGTCTTGAACTTCTGGGTCTTGAACTTCTGACCTCAGGTGATCCACCTGCCTTGGCCTCCCAAAGTGCTGAGATGACAGGTGTGTGCCACTGCATCCAGCCTGTCAGAGGCATTTGAACCAGAGCAACTCTATCTTGAGTAGGGGCTAGGTAAAATGAAGCTGGGACCTGAGCTGCATTCTCAGGAGATTAGGCATTCTTAGTCACAGGATGAGATAGGTCAGCAACGATACAGGTCACAAAGGCCCTGCTCATCACAAAAAATGCAAGAAAGTAGCTGTTCAAAACCCGCCAAATCCAAGATGGCAATTAAAGTGACCTCTGGGCCGGGTGCAGTGGTCATGCCTGTAATCCCAGCACTTTGGGAGGCCGAGGTGGGTGGATCACTTGAGGTCAGGAGTTCGAGACCAGCCTGGCCAACATGGTGAAACCCCATCTCTATTAAAAATACAAAAATGGCCGGGAGCGGTGGCTCACGCCTGTAATCCCAGAACTTTGGGAGGCCGAGGTGGGCGGATCACGAGGTCAAGAGTTCAAGACCAGCCTCACCAATATGGTGAAATCCCATCTCTACTAAAAATACAAAAATTGCTGGGCGCAGGGGCTCATGCCTGTAATCCCAGCACTTTGGGAGGCCGAGGCGGGTGGATCATGAGGTCAGGAGATCGAGACCATCCTGGCTAACATGGTGAAACCCCGTCTCTACTAAAAATACAAAAAAATTAGCCAGGCATGGTGGTGGGCGCCTGTAGTCCCACCTACTCGGGAGGCTGAGGCAGGAGAATGGCGCGAACCCAGGAAGTGGAGCTTGCAGTGAGCCGAGATCGCGCCACTGCACTCCAGCCTGGGAGACAGAGCGAGACTCCGTCTCAAAAAGAAAAAAAAGAAAGAAAGAAAAGAAAAAAAAATACAAAAATTAGCTGGACGTGGTGGCACGTGCCTGTAGTCCCAACTACTCAGGAGGCTGAGGCAAGAGAATTGCTTGAACCCAGGAGGTGGAGGTGGCAGTGAGCCGAGATTGCGCCACTGCACTCCAGCCTGGGCGACAGAGCAAGACCCCATCTCACAAAAAAAAAAAAAAAAAAATTGCCCAGGCGCAGTGGCTCACTCCTGTAATCCCAGCTACTCAGGAGGCTGACGCAGAAGAAAAGCTTGAACCAGGAGGTGGAGGCTGCAATGAGCTGAGATTGTGCCACTGTACTCCACACTCCAGCCTGGGTAACAGAGCAAACTCTGTCTCAAAAAAAAAAAAAAAATTACGGCCAGGCATAGTGGTTCACGCTGTAATCGCAGCACTCGAGGTCAGCAATTCGAGACCAGCCTGGTCAACATGGTGGAACCCCATCTCTACTAAAAATATACAAAAATTCACCAGGCGTGTTGGTACGCGCCTGTAATCTCAGCTCCTCAGGAGGCTGAGGTAGGAGAATCGCTTGAAACCAGAAGGCAGAGGTTGCAGTGAGCAGAGATTGTACCACGGCACTCCAGCCTGGGTGACAGTGTCTCAAAAAAAAAAAAAAAGTGACCTCTGGTCGCCCTCACCGCATATCATAGCTAATTATAACGCATTAGCATGCTAAAAAGACACTCCAACCAGCGCTATGACAGTTTACAAATGCCATGGCAATATCCAGAAGTTACCCTATATGATCTAAAAGGAAGAGGAAACCTGTTCTTGGAAATCTCCACCCCTTTCCCAGAAAATTGATGAATAATCCACCCCTTGTTTAGCATATGATCAAGAAATAACCATAAAAATAGCCAACCAGCCGCTTTTGGGACTGCTCTATGGAGTAGTCATTCCTTTCGTTCTTTTTTTTTTTTTGAGATGGAGTCTTGCTCTGTTGCCCAGGCTGGAGTGCAGTGGCACGATCTCGGCTCACTGCAACCTCCGCCTTCCGGGTTCAAGTGATTCTCCTGCCTCAGCCTCCTAAGTAGCTGGGACTACAGGCACCTGCCACCACGCCCGACTAATTTTTTGTATTTTTTTTTAGTAGAGATGGGGTTTCACCATATTGGCCAGGCTGATCTTCAACTCCTGACCTTGTGATCTGCCCACATCAGCCTCCCAAAGTGCTGGGATTACAGGCGTGAGCCACCACGCCCGGCCCAGTTCTTTACTTTCTTAATAAACTTGCTTTCACTCTACTCTGTAGACTTGCTCCAAATTTTCTTGTGAGACATCCAAGAACCCCTTCTTGGAGTCTGGACTGGGACCCCTTTCTGGTAACATCTTCCCCAACAAAGCATCATTTCATCTGCCTTACTTTCCTCCATAAGCTCTCAGAAAAAGCCCCTTTCAGATTACAGCTCCTCATCACCAAAATTCTTTCAGAAGGAAAGTATAAAATTTTGGGGGGATCCCTTCACATAACTAGTAATCATTAACCTCAGTTAAGGGAACTACAGTTGTCCCTCTGCATATGTGGAGGATTGGTTCCAGGACACAGCCCGACCCCAACAATATACCAAAATCCACATACACTCAAGTCCAGAAGCCAGCCCTGCAGAACTAGTATATATGAAAAACTGGCCCTCCATATATGCAGCTTTCACATGCTGAACCCACGTAGCTGAATGCTATGTTTTAAATGTCCCCTCCAAAAACTTATGTTGAAATTTAATTACCATTGTGATAGTATTAAGAGGTAGGACTGTTAAGAGGTGATTAGGCCATGAGGACTCCAGCCTCATGAATAGATTAATGTAAGTGGGTAAACCGGAGTGCATTCAGAAGTGAGTTCATTATCACTAGAGTGGGTTGTTATAAAAGTGAGCTCCAGATACTGGTACCTTGATATTGAACTTTCTAGCCTCAAAAACTGTGAGAAATAAATTTATTTAAATCACCTAGCTGTGATATTCAGTTATAGCAACACAAAACGGACTAAGACAATGTTCAAAGCCAAGATCCTCATAACTTCCCCTAAGCACTCTCCTCCTGTGGTCTTCCCATTTTATTTAAGGACACTTCCATCTTCCAGGTGCTCAGGCCAAAATCTAAGTCCTCCTCAATTCCCTTTTCTTAGTCTCACATCCAATCTGTCAGCAAATACTATACTAATTCCTTCAAAATATATCTAGAATTTGACCACTCCTCACTCCCTCCTTTCTGGCAACTGGAGGTTGCCAGATAAAATAGAATACCAAGTAAAATTTGAATTTCCCAATGTTACATGAGACATACAAAAAATATTGTTTACCTTAAATTCAAATTTAACTGGGTGTCCTGTATTTTTATTTGCTAAATGCGGCAACCCTACTCCACTGCCACCAGCCTGGATTATTGCAATGGCCTCCTAACCACTCTCCCTGATTTCACCCTTGTCCCACTCCAGTCTCTTCCCTACAAAGCAGCCAGAGTTACAGTAACCTTAAGTCAGATCACATAGTCCTTCTGCTCAAATCCTCCACTGCTCTTACCCTACACAAAATAAAAGCCAGAATTATCTATGATTACCTACAGGGGCATCTGTAATCTCCCCATAGCCCTCCACCATTCCCATCTATACCCTGTTGCATGCCTCTTATGGGGCTCCTCACTGTTGTTTTCCCTTGCTGGGCACAAGCAGTTTCATGTCGCTTTTGCGTGCTGCACCCTCATTTTGGTGCACTCCTCCCTCAGATATCAGCATGACAGACAACTCTATCTCCTTCAAATTACTTATTCAAACTTGTAACCTCTAGGCCAGGAGTGGTAGCTCACACCTGTAATCCTAGCACTTCGCGAGGCTGAGGCAGGAGGATTGTCTGAGCTCTGGAGTTCAAGACCCACCTGGGCAACATGGTGAAACCCCATCTCTACTAAAAAAAATACAAAAAATTGGCCGGGCGCGGTGGCGGGCGCCTGTAGTCCCAGCTACTCGGGAGGCTGAGGCAGGAGAATGGCGTGAACCCGGGAAGCGGAGCTTGCAGTGAGCCGAGATTGCGCCACTGCGGTCCGCAGTCCGGCCTGGGCGACAGAGCGAGACTCCGTCTCAAAAAAAAAAAAAAAAAAAAAATACAAAAAATTAGCTGGACGTGGTAGTCCACACCTGTAGTTCCAGCTACTTGGGAGGCTGAGGCAGGAGAATCGCTTGAACCCAGGAGGCGGAGGTTGCAGTGAGCCAAGACTGCGCCATCGTACTCCAGCCTGGGTGAGAGAGCGAGACTCTATCTGAAAAAAATAAAAATAATTGGCTGGGTGCGGTGGTTCACGCCTGTAATCCCAGCACTTTGGGAGGCCGAGGTGGGCAGATCACGAGGTCAGGAGATCGAGACCATCCTGGCTAACACGGTGAAACCCCATCTCTACTAAAAATATGAAACACACACACACACACACACACACACACACACACACACACACACACACACAAAATTAGCCGGGCATGGTGTCAGGCACCTGTGGTCCCAGCTACTCAGGAGGCTGAGGCAGGAGAATGGCGCGAACCCAGGAGGTGGAGCTTGCAGTGAGCAGAGATCGCGCCACTGCACTCTAGCCTGGGCGACAGAGCAAGACTCTTCTCAAAAAAAAAAAAAAAAAAAAATTAAAAAGAAGTAACCTCTTGACAATCACTATGGCTCTCCCCTGCTTTTTTCTCTGCAACACATCATCATTCTAATACACTATTACACTATTCTAATAGTGTAATACTACATCATTCTAATGTAACACTACATCATTCTAATACACTATTAACTTGTCTTTTCTGTCTCTACAGATATCCATGTTTACTAGAATGTAATATTAAGCTCTTTTGAGGACAATAATTTTTTCTTTATTTACTACTACAGCCCTAGAACCTAAAAATCATTCCTGGAACATAATAGGAGCTCTGAAAACATTTCTTGTTTAATGAGTTAAAAACTTAGGAACTAAATTACAACTAGATTTTGTGGAGCAAAACATGCCAAATAGTCACAAATTTAAAATATATGGTTTTCTTTCCTTTTGAGCTGGGGCTTCACTCTATTAACCAGGTTGGAGTGCAATGTTGCGATCTTGGCTCACTACAACCTCCACCTATCAGGCTCAAGCAATCTTCCCAACTCAGACTCCTGAGTAGCTTGGACCACAGGTGCACGCCATCATACCTGGCTAATTTTTTGTATTTTTGGTAGAGACAGAGGTTTACCATGTTGCTCAGGCAGGTCTCACGCTCCTGAGCTCAAGTGATTCACCCGCCTCGGCTTCCCAAAGTGCTGTGATTTACAGGCGTGAGCCACCACACCCAGCCCAATTTTTTTTGGGATGCAGTCTCGCTTTGTCGACCAGCCTGGAGTGGAGTGGCGCGATCTTGGCTCACTGCAACCTCCATCTCCCAGGTTCAAGTGATTCTCCTGCCTCAGCCTCCCGAGTAGCTGGGATTACAGGCGTGTGCTACCACACCTGGCTAATTTTTGTATTTTTAGTAGAGACAGGGTTTCACCATGTTGGCCAGACTGGTCTTGAACTTCTGGGTCTTGAACTTCTGACCTCAGGTGATCCACCCGCCTTGGCCTCCCAAAGTGCTGGGATTATAGGCATGAGCCACCGCGCACAGCCAACTCGGCCCAATTTTTAAAAATTGTGGTAAATGGCCGGGTGCGGTGGTTCATGCCTGTAATCCCAGCACTTTGGGAGGCTGAGAAAGGCGGATCACGAGGTCAGGAGATCGAGACCATCCTGGCTAACACGGTGAAACCCCGTTTCTACTAAAAATGCAAAAAATTAGCCGGGTGTGGTGGCGGGTGCCTGTGGTCCCAGCTACTTGGGAGGCTGAGGCAGGAGAATGGCGTGAACCTGGGAGGCGGAGCTTGCAGTGAGCAGAGATCGTGCCACTGCACTCCAGCCTGGGCAACAAAGCGAGACTCCGTCTCAAAAAAAACAAAAAACTGTGGTAAGTACACCCTTATTCTCAATATGTCTAAGAACCAGCTGGGGCTTGATGTACTCAAACTCAGGTTCATCTCTCTTTTGTACATGTATTTATCTCCATGCTACCTGTATAGGCTTTTAAATTCCCAGAGGATGGAAATCCCATCTCTCTAAAGCTCTCCTTGAAGATGCTAGTACAGCACTAGTAAGGAAGAGGTATTCGTTCTAAGGTGGAACACGGTCATTCCAAGGTAAATGAAAACTGAAATGCACAGATTAAAAACTTTCACCTCTCACTCTCTTTCCTATTAAAGGAAGCATAAAAGGGGAGAAAAAGTTGAGTGCATGCAAGGAATGGAACTATATACAAGGGAAGGGCCCTGGCAGGGTGGGTACACAAGGGAGGAACACGTGAGGGGGAGAGGACCGCCCCGATTGGCATGGACTACCTCATCTGACCACCGTCGTCAACTCTACTGCGACAATCTTTTTTCTTTTCTTTCTTTCTTTCTTTCTTTCTTTCTTTCTTTCTTTCTTTTTTTTTTTTTTGAGACCGAGTCTCACTCTGTCGCCCAGGCTGGAGTGCAGTGGCGCGATCTCAGCTCACTGCCACCTCCGCCTCCCAGGTTCTAGTGATTCTCCTGCCTCAGCCTCCCAAGTAGCTGGGATTACAGGCATGCGCCACCACGCCCTGCTAATTTTTGTATTTTTAGTAGAGACGGGTTTTCGCTATGTTGGCCAGGCTGGTCTCGAGCTCCTGACCTCAGGAGATCCGCCTGCCTCAGCCTCCCAAAGTGTGGCGTGAGCCACCGCAGCCGGCCTACTGCGAGATTCTTGAGGCTGCGATGTGAGGCCCTCCAGGTGCCCCTCCCGTTCCTCCACTGCAGAAAGTTCTAGCAGAAAAAATCAGGTCTCTTACTCAGACTTCAGGCCCCCTGTGGCCACCGGCCCGCCTCAAACACTAATGGCCGGCCGCCTCTCTCATTTTCCGCCTCTTCTCCACCTGGAGACACGCTCTGAGCTCCTAGACTAAATCCTTCTGATGTCTTTCCAGAGGCCTCACAGGGTTTTCCCTACTCATAATCAAAGAGAAATCCCAGCGGGCTTCTCTGGGTCTCCGCTCACTCTGGCTCCCGGGGCGTACCCGGTCTCACTCCTCAACTCCAGGCGGGGATCTGGGATAGGAGGTCGCGGACCCCTGCGAATCGGATGAAAACTGCTCTCCAAGGATAAGCGCGGAAGTGAAGCCTCCTTCAAGAGCCAGAGCGGCCATCGCCATAGGGAAAGAAAGGGCAGGGGAGGGACTACAAGACCAACGTCCCGGGAAAGCCCGGGAGGACCGCTGGTATCCTGAACCCAGACCCACGGCCCCATCCGGCTCCTCAGCCCCTCCCCCCGCCTTTCCCCAACCCACCCTGCCCAAAGCCCTCCTGTCCCCACCTCTGGCTGCTGGCACGCGCCCGACCTGGGGCTGCCCTGACGTGGCTTCGAGGTGGCCGCGTCCCGCTGCCTCTGCAACGGCACGCGCGGCCCCGCCCCCAGGTCCTCTTCTGACCAATAGGGATTCCGTCCTGTCCCAGGGCCCCGCCCCGCCACGACAGGCAGCTAACGGTTTTAACTGTCCTAACGGCAACTCGCGCGGCCCCGCCCCCAGGGTCTCCTCTGACCAACTGGGATTCCGTCCAGTCCCCAGGGCCCCGCCCTCGCCGCGACAGGCAGCTAACGGTTTTAACCGTACTAATGGTCTCAACCGCGCTGATTGTGGGCCCCGCCAAGCTGCCTGCCTGGCGCCACACCGCTGCACGCCACACCCAGCCCACGTGCACCCCATGCAACGTTCCCTCACACCCCCACACTCACGCCGGAATGGCCACCCTCGGCCCACCTGGCATGCAGATCTACTCACTTGTCGCTCGACCTACACTCCACTGTGTATGACCAGAACAAGGAGGCCCTGGTCCCCAGGAATGGCAAGGCGCCACCTGTGAGGACAGCATGTGGGGTGGAACTGGTGGCCAGGGGCCAGAGCACAGATGATACTTGGGTGGTCTGAGCAAGGGCAGGACAGGCGGAGCAGCTGGCACGAGAGGCGCCGTGGGCAGATGGGGACATCGAACCGGGCCCCTGGAGGAAAGAGAAAGGAGGCAAGAAATCTTCTGAGGTTTCTGGCCTGCTGGATGCTGGAGTGGCCTGAGGGCAGGGACAGTGCGGGTAGGCAGGAAGGATCTATGTAACTCTGCCTCTGGTGCTTATAGATGACTTAGAAAGCAAAAAACATGCTTGAGACCAGCCTGGGCAGCATGGCGAAACCCCAGCTCTACAAAAAATTAGTCCGGCGTGGTAACACATGCCTGTGGTCCCAGCTACTCGGAGGCTGAGGCGGGAGGATCGTTTGAACCTGGGAGGTAGAGGTTGCAGTGAGCCGAGATCGCGTCACTACACTCCAGCCTGGGCGACAGAATGAGACCCTGTCTCAAAAAACAAACAAAAACAGGATGCAATCACCAATGGAGTATAAATGGAAAGGAGATTGGATTCAGCCCCAGGACACACCAGTTTAGAGGACTTTGGAGATGAAGGAAAAGCAGCCAAGGAGTTGGAGCAAGCCTGGTCAGGAGACGGGGAAAGACACCAGGAGAATGAGGCATTCTGGAAGGCACTTGGAACTGCTTCAAAGAGGAGGCAGAGATCAGCTATGACAAATGCTGCGGATGTGTTCAGGGAAGATTAGTTAGAATTAACTTTGAGTGACCTTGGTAGGAGCAGTTACAGTGATGTAGTGAGGATGAAAACCTGATTTGTGTATGGATTCAAAAAATCAAGAGGAGAGATTTGGCATATCCATACAATGGACAACTACTAAGCAATAAAAAGGAATGAACAATGGATACAACAACATGAATAAATTTCAAAATAATTACGCTGAGTGAAAGCCAAACACAAAAGAATACATACTGTATGATCCCATTTATATAAAATTCGAGAAAATGCAAATTAATCTATAGTGACAGAAAGCAGAGGTGTGGCATTGCCTGAGGCAAATGAGTGCCATAAGGAAAGATTACGACTAGGCAGAAGGAAACTTGGGGTGATGAACATATTTACTATCTTCTTCTTCTTTTTTTTTTTTTTTGAGATGGAGTTTCACTCTCAGGAGTTTCACCCAGGCTGGAGTGCAATGGCACAATCTCGGCTCACCACAACCTCCACCTCTGAGGTTCAAGCGATTCTCCTACCTCAGCCTCCCAAGTAGCTGGGATTACAGGTGCCTGCCACCACACCCAGTTAATTTTGTATTTTTAGTAGAGACAGGGTTTCTCCATGTTGGTCAGGCTGGTCTCAAACTCCAGACCTCAGGTGATCCACCCACCTCAGCCTCCCAAAGTGCTGGGATTACAGGTGTGAGCCACCACGCCTGGCCATATTTACTCTCTTGATGGCAGTGTTTCAGAGGTGTATACATATATCGAAATGCATCAAATTGTACATTTTCAATATGTGCAGTTTATCATGTATTAATTTTACCTAAATAAAGCTATAAAAATTAAAACATGGCTGGACACCATAGCTCATGCCTGTAATCCCAGAACTTTGGGAGGCCAAGGTGGGAGGATCCCTTGAGTCCAGGAGTTTGAGGTTAGAGTGAGCCATGATCATGCCACTGCACTGAAGCCTGAGCAACAGAGCGAGACTGTCTAAAACACATTTTTTTTAAGTAAAAATGGCCTGGGCATGGTGGCTCATGCCTGTAATCCCAGCACTTTGGGAGGCCAAGGTGGGCAGATCACGAGGTCAGGAGATTGAGAACATCCTGGCTAACACGGTGAAACCCCGTCTCTACAAAAAATACAAAAAAAAAAAAAAAATTAGCCGGCTGTGGTGGCACGAGCCTGTAGCCCCAGCTACTCGGGAGGCTGAGGCAGGAGAATCGTTTGAACCTGGGAGGCGGAGGTTGCAGTGAGCCGAGATGGCGCCACGGCACTCCAGCCTGGGCAACAGAGCGAGACTCCATCTCAAAAAAAAAAAAAAAAAAAGTAAAAACGTGGCCTGGCGCAGTGGCTCACTCCTGTAATCCCAGCACCCTGGGAGGCCGAGGCGGGCAGATCACGAGGTCAGGGGATGGAGACCATCCTGGCTAACACAGCGAAACCCCGTCTCTACTAAAAATACAAAAAATTAGCCAGGCGTGGTGGTGGGCGCCTGTAGTCTCAGCTACTTGGGAGGCTGAGGCAGGAGAATGGCGTGAACCCAGGAGGCAGAGGTTGCAGTGAGCTGAGATCGCACCACTGCACTCCAGCCTGGGTGACAGAGCGAGACTCGGTCTCAAAAAAAATCAATCAATCAATCAATAAAAATACAAAGCATTAGCCAGGTGTGGTGGCGCACGCCTGTAATCCCAGCTACTGGGGAGGCTAAGCCACAAGAATCACTTGAACCCAGGAGGCAGAGGTTGCAGTGAGCCGAGGTCATGCCATTGCACTCCAGCCTGGGCGACAGAGCAAGACTTCACCTCAAAAAAAGAAAAAAAATAGCCGGGCGTGGTGGTGGGCGCCTATAGTCTCAGCTACTTGGGAGGCTGAGGCAGGAGAATGGCGTGAACCCGGGAGGTGGAGGTTGCAGTGAGCCGAGATCGCGCCACTGCACTCCAGCCTGGGCAACAGTGAGACTGTCTCAAAAAAAAAAAAAAAAGTAAAAACGTTACAGATAGAGTTGAAGCTCCATTCGGTCCTCCCTGATACCATTCCCCTTGCTCCCCTCCCCAGGTGATTTTTTTTTTTTTTTTTTGTGACGGAGTCTTACTGTCGCCCAGGCTGGAGTGCAGTGGTGCGATCTTGGCTCACTGCAAGCTCTGCCTCTCGGGTTCATGCCATTCTCAGCCTCCTGAGTAGCTGGGACTACAGGCACCTGCCACCAAGCCCAACTAATTTCTTTTTGTGTTTTTAGTAGAGATGAGGTTTTACCGTGTTAGCCAGGATATTCTCGATCTGCTGACCTTGTGATCCGCCCGCCTCGACCTCCCAAAGTACTGGGATTACAGGCATGAGCCCCCACACCTGGCCTGTATTTTTTTTTTTTTAGTAGAGATGGGGTTTCACTGTGTTAGCCAGGATGGTCTCATCTCCTGACCTCGTGATCCGCCCACCTTGGCCTCCCAAAGTGCTGTGATTACAGGCGTTAGCCACCGCGCCTGGCCCCCAGGTGATTTCTATCCTGTTATTTGTTTCCCATCATTCCTATGCACACTTTATTTATATATTTATTTATTATTTATTTATTATTTTTGTTGTTGTTGTTGTTTTGAGATGGAGTCTCACTCTGTGGCCCAGGCTGGAGTGCAGTGGCGTGATCTCAGCTCACTGCAAGCTCGGTCTCCTGGGTTCACACCATTCTCCTGCCTTAGCCTCCTGAGTAGCTGGGACTACAGGCGACTGCCACCACACCCAGCTAATTTTTTTGTCAAGTAGAGACGGGGTTTCACCGTGTTAGCCAGGATGGTCTCTATCTCCTGACCTCATGATCTGCCCGCCTTGGCCTCCCAAAGTGCTGGGATTACTGGTGTGAGCCACCACGACTGGCCTCTTTTTTTTTTTTGAGATGGAGTCTTGCTCTGTCGCTCAGGCTGGAGTGGAATGGCGTGATCTCAACTCACTGCAACCTCTGCCTTCCAGGTTCAAGCGATTCCCCTGCCTCAGCCTCCCAAGTAGCTGGGATTACAGACGCATGTCACCACGCCCAGCTAATTTTTTTGTATTTTTAGTAGAGACGGGGTTTCACCATGTTGGCCAGGCTACTCTTGAACTCCTGACCTCAGGTGATCTGCCCGCTTCGGCCTCCCAAAGTGCTGGGATTACAGGCAAGAGCCACTGCAGCCAGCCCATGCTTTTTATTTTTAATTATTACATTTTTAAAATTATTTATTTATGTAAAAATAGAGACAGGGTCTCATATTGACCAGGCTGGTCTTGAACTCCTGGACTCAAGCAACCTGCCTGCCTTGGCCTCCCCAAGTGCTGGGATTACAGGAGTGACCCATCACACCCAGCCAGTTCATATGTTTGTATCCATAAATCATAGCATTGTTTTGTATATTTGTATTATTTTATTTATTTATTTATTTGAGACGGGGTCTCATTCTGTCTCTCAGGCTGGAGTGCAGTAGCACAATCATGGCTCACTGCTGCCTCGCCCTCCCGGGGTCAAGCAATCCTCCCACCTCAGCCTCTCGAATAGTTGAGACCACAGGTGCACGTCACCATGTCTGGCTAATTTTTGTATTTTTTGTAGTGATGGGGTTTCGCCATGTTGCCCAGGCTGGTCTGTAACTCCTGGGCTGAAGCAATTCGCCCACCTCGGCCTCCCAAAGTGCTGGGATTACAGGCATGAGCCACCATGCCATGCCGATTTTATAAATGGTATACTTTGGGCTGGGCACGGTGGCTCACGCCTGTAATCTCAGCACTTTGGGAGGCCGAGGTGGGTGGATCACGAGGTCAGGAGATCGAGACCACAGTGAAACCCCCTCTCTACTAAAAATAAAAAAAATTAGCCAGGCGGGGTGGTGGGCACCTGTAGTCCCAGCTACTCAGGAGGCTGAGGCAGGAGAATGGTGTGAGCCCGGGAGGCGGAGCTTGCAGTGAGCCGAGATCACACCACTGCACTCCAGCCTGGGCAACAGAGCAAGCCTCCGTCTCAAATATATATATATATATATATATATATACACTTTGTACTTTTTTTTTTTTTTGAGATAGAGTTTCCCTCTCATTGCCTAGACTGGAGTGTAATGGCACGATCTCGACTCACTGCAACCTCTGCCTCCTGGGTTGAAGCAATTCTCCTGCCTCAGCCTCCTGAGTAGCTGGGATTACAGGTGCCTGCCACCGCACCTGGCTAATTTTTCCATTTTTAGTAGAGATGGGGTTTCACCATGTTGGCCAGGCTGGTCTTGAATTCCTGACCTCATGATCTGCCTGCCTCAGCCTCCCAAAGTGCTGGGGCTACAGACGTGAGCCACGGCACCCAGTCTGACTCAACTTCTTTTTTTTTTTTTTGAGATGGATTCTCACTCCGTCACCCAGGCTGGAGTACAGTGGCACAATCTCGGCTCACTGCAACCTCTGCCTCCCGGGTTCAAGCGATTCTTCTGCCTCAGGCTCCTGAGTAGCTGGGACTACAGGCATGCGCCACCATGCCTGGCTAATTTTTGTATTTTAAGTAGAGACGGGGTTTCACCATGTTGGCCAGGCTGGTCTCGAACTGCTAACCTCGTGATCCACCCACCTTGGCCTCCCAGAATGCTGGGATTACAGGCGTGAGCCACTGCACCTGGCCTTTTTTTTTTTTTTTTTTTTTTTTTTGGTAGAGTCTCGCTTTGTCGCCAGGCTGGAGTGCAATGGTGTGATCTCTTCCTCCTTGGCCTCCCAAGTAGCGTAGCTGGGACTACAGGCGCCACCACACCCAGCTAATTTTTGTATTTTTAGTAGAAATGGGGTTTCACCATGTTGGCCAGGCTGGTCTTGATCTCTTGACCTTGTGATCCGCCCGCCTCAGCCTCCCAAAGTGCTGGGATTACAGGCGTGAGCTACCGCTCCCGGCCAACTCAACATCTTTACGGTTTTTGTTTTGTTTTCTTTTGTTTTTGAGATGGGGGTCTCATTCTGTCACCCAGGCTGGAGTACAGTGGTGCAATCTCCATTTACTGCAGTCTCCACTTCCCGGGCTCAAGTGATCCTCCCTCCTCAGCCTCCCAAGTAGCTGGGACCGCAGGCGTGTGCCACCACACCCAGTTAATTTTTTGTATATTTGGTAGAGACAGAGTTTCACCATGTTGCCTAGGCTGGTCTCAAACTCCTGAGCTCAAACATTCTGCCCACTTCAACCTCCCAAAGTGCTGGGATTACAGACGTGAGTGACCGCACCTGGCCAACATTTTTAAGATTTACCTCTGTGGATTCTAATATCTGTAGCCCATTTATAGTAACGCTAGTAATTTCATTGTGTGACTATAGCCCAATTTTCTTATTGTCCCGTTGGTCAACACTTGGGTTGCTTACAGTTTTTCCTTTGTATAGATGCTACAGTGAATATTCATTCATTCATTCATTCATTCATTTATTGAGATGGGGTCTCATTCTGTCACCCAGGCTGGAGTGCAGTGATGTGATTATAGCTCACTTCAGCCTCAATCTCCTCAGGCTCAGGCAATCCTCCCACTTCAGTCCCCCAAATAGCTGGAACTACAGGTATATGCCACCACACCCAGCTGATTTTTGTATTTTTTGTAGAGACCAGGTTAGCCATTTTGCCCAGACTGGTCTGGAACTCCTGGGCTCAAGCGATTTGCCCACCTCGGCCTCCCAAACTGCTAGGATTACAGTTGTGAACCACCAAGCCCAGGCCAATGAACCTTTTAATACCTGTGAGTTCGCATGAGAGGGGCTCTCCAGGGTGACTACACTGGGGCAGACATTCTGGATATTAGGGCTTGTGCCATTGACACTAGCAGGGTCTTGGGTGTTTTACTGGCACATGTTTAGAGGCTGATTGTCAATTTCTTTTGGTTGTTAAAGGGGGTGAACTGTTCAAGTCCCTCTTTTACAAATAAGAGAGAATTCAGTCAAAAATTTGTCAAAGGGTAGCTCAGAATGGAACCATAATGTCAAATCTTTGCATGTTCCTTCTTCTGTTCTGTTATGCCCTATTCCTTTACTTGGCCCTTGTAACATTTCACCTGTCATGATTAGCATTCCTGGTCACCACAAACTCCTAAGAGATAAATTGTTAGAGCCTATTCTGAAGCAGTAATTTTATCCTAAAAGCCACCAACCTCTTTAACATTTCTTCTGACTCCATGAAATGCTTTCTAAATTTATATTCCTGGCAGTATGGATGCATAGGTTTTTAAATGCAGGATTTGCCTGCATTTAAAATGTTCTTTGAATATTTCATTGGCTGCGAATCCATTAGACTCTACCATGGAGCCCTGTGTGTTTCTATATATAAGGGCTCTTCAGGCTGTTAATGCCAAGGGGCAGGTTTTTCTCACAGAGAAGAACTAGGGCAGCAAGGACAAAGGGGCAACAGGTCATGTACTGTCTCAACAAACAGCAGCAGCATTGTGCAGTCACAACCTTCCCTTGTCACTAAGCAACAAAAAATTGACCTCCAGAGATTCTCTTTCCTGAAGATACCCTCCAAAAGACAAGAGGAAAGTTTGCCTTTTCTGCTCCCTTCTTGGAAAGATGCAAAGTGCTTTAGTAGGCTCCTGGGTAAGAGTGCACTTTATGTTAATCCTGGCCCCTGGCCCTCTGGTTGTACCTGAAATCTGACTGAGTCATGCCGGTGAAGTGAAAAGGTTTTCATTTGGCATCCAACCTGGAATAGGACCCTGAGCCGCCCACTTCCTCTCCACCATCTTGAGGTCACCCCTGGAGGCTGCCTAGTCTTCCTAACACTTTGCCCCCTTCCATGCATCATGGTCTCCTGAAAGCCAGTGGAAATTCCTAGTCCTCTAGCCACCCCATTTATTCCTAGTTAATTGTTTGAGCCTCCCAAGCTTTTGGAGTTTGGCTGCTCTCTAGTCTGGGAACATTTTGAGGGCAAAGATTGTGTTTTTGTCCATCTGTATTTCCCATGCTCAGCCCCACGCCTGGAAGACAATAAAGGTCTGATAAATACTGTTGAGCTAACCTGAATAGAGAGTGAGGGGTTCCTGACAGAGAAGGATAGACAGACAAAGTGATCCACGTCTTCAGTGGGATGGAAAGATATGAGGCTTTCTAGTCCTGTTAAATAGCCCATTGTGATGGCCAGAGGGCAGGCTTAGGATGGGTTCTTCTGCTCAGTGTTATAATTGTGGAGGGCCAGACACACCCATCGTCTCCAGGGAGAACTCAGGACAAAGAGGTTGGGCCATAGGAGTTCCCAGACATGATCATCCACAGAGTGTACACGTAATGACATCAGCACAGTACAGCCCCTTTCTTGGACCTCTGATAGTTGCTTATTTCTGTCTCCTGACAGTTCCTCTCTCTGAAATTCTCTCCAGGCCAGGCGCAGTGGCTCACGCCTGTAATCCCAGCACTTTGGGAGGCCAAGGTGGGCAGATCACGAGGTCAGGAGTTCGAGACCAGCCTGGCCAACATGGTGAAACCCTGTTTCTACTAAAAATACAAAAATTAGCCGGGTGTGGTGGCGGGCGCCTGTAATCCCAGATACTCGGGAGGCTGAAGCAGGAGAATTGATTGAACCCGGGAGGCAGAGGTTGCAGTGAACCAAGATCGCACCACTGCACTCCAGCCTGCAGACAGAGCAAGACTCCGTCTCAAAAAAAAAAAAAAAAAAAAAAAATTCAGCCTGGCATGATAGTGGGCGCCTGTAGTCTCAGGTACTTGGGAGGCTGAGGCAGGAGAATGACTTGAACCCGGGAGGCGGAGGTTGCAGTGAGCTGAGGTTGTGCCACTGTACTCCAGCCTGGGTGAAAGAGCAAGACTCTGTCTCAAAAAAAAAAAAAAAATTGTGGAGAGAACAACAAAGGGGATTTCTTCTCAGGCTCTTTAGGGAAGGACCACACCCCTGATCAGTGGCCCTGCCCACAAATCTCTGCTCTAAATGAATGGCACTCCTTCCCTACACATGCATAGCCCAGGTGGGTCATTACAGCTGAGGTCAACTGTCCCAATGATGGATGAAGACACTTCTATACTGGCCCATCTCCAGGAGTGTCCTAACTCCTTAGATTCTTTCTATTCTGTCAGGAACTTCCATGAGGGGCTTCTGGTCTGGCTTTCCTGGAACCCTCAGTTGGGGCCCTGAGGTCTAGGATCCATGGTGGAGATTTGAGTGAGTTTTATCCTCATTCCTGTCTTGTTATAGCACAACAATGGCTTCTATGGGCACTACAGAAGCCAATTCAAGAGTGAAAGTGCTAGAGAATACCACCTTGCAGCCAAGCCCCAGCCTCCAGCAGTGTTCCTGCAGCGATGTCAGGTACAAGGCAGACCTGAAGGCAGCGGGGGTGACTAGACCAGTTCTTGCCTCTCCCAGAACCCAAAAGCATCATCCCAGCCCTTCCATGGCTGTACTGACACCTATCCCTGGGACAGGCTTTACCTTTCTTCTCTGAGATGTCAGATCTTTCCCCTACAGACAGGGTGGAAAAGAGTGAGTGCCAAACTGAACCATATTGCTCACTGCCCCTTCTAGATGGACAAAGGGTAAGGGCCTAGCCGGGGTGGGTAGCTACAGGCAAAGAGCCTCTAGAACCCAGGAAGTAAGCCTTGAGTTTTGCTGACAACTACCTTCACATTCAGATTCCTTAATGCTAAGAAAGCCCATGGTCCATTCCACAGCCAGCTTCACAGTCCAGGTCCTTAGAAATTAGTAGGAGGCCTCCTCTGGTCAGGGAAGTAGTACAGGAGGCAGCTGGTTACTGGCCTACACATTTGGCCAGGGAATACTGGAAAGGAGTGATGGCTGAGATAGCCTGGAGTGGCTATAGCAGGCTTCTGGAGAATGGGAAAGGGATACAGGGCCCTAGGCCCTTTACTACTTACAAGCCTGGAGACAAGGAAGGGGCACTGTGTATCATAAATCAGGGTCACAGCTGGGCGAGGTGGCTCACGCCTGTAATCCTAGCACTTTGGGAGGCCAGGGCAGGTGGATCACTTGAGGTCAGGAGCTCGAAACCAGTCTGGCCAACATGGTGAAACCCCATCTCTACTAAAAATACAAAAAAAAAAAATAGGCAAGGTGCGGTGGCTCATGCCTGTAATCCCAGAACTTTGGGAGGCCGAGGTGGGAGGATCACCTGAGGTCGGTAGTTCAAGACCAGCCTGACCAACATGGAGAAACCCCATCTCTACTAAAAATACAAAATTAGCTGGGCTTGGTGGCGCATGCCTCTAATCCCAGCTATTCGGGAGGCTAAGGCAGGAGAATGGCTTGAACCCAGGAGGTGGAAGTTGCAGTGAGCCAAGATCAGATAGCGCCATTGCATTCCAGCCTGGGCAACAAGAGCAAAACTCCGTCTCAAAAAAAAAAAAAAAAATAACCGGGCATGGTGATGCACACCTGTAATCCCAGCTACTCAGGAGGCTGAGGTAGGCAGAATCGCTTGAACCTGGGAGGCAGAAGTTGCAGTGAGCCAAGATGGCACCACCACACTCCAGCCTGGGTGACAGAGTGAGACTCGGTCTCAAAAAATGAAATAACATAAAAAATAAATAAATAAATCGGAGTCACAACAGTAACAAGCATACTCAAAACAGCAGAACTCGGAAGGGTATGTTTACAAAAGATTGCTTGTGACAGCCTCAGATAAAGGCATTCCCACAGGCTGGTAACAACCAAGTGGTTAGTACTACTGAGCCCAAAGGGGGACAAGGGGGAGGCATGGCTTCTGGAATCGAGAAGGAGATAAAGGTATGAAAAGGGTCACCCTGACAGGATCAGTGATCCTAGGTACAGAGACATAGCCAGGTGGGATGTGGCCTAGGAGGGAGCCAAGAGAAGAAACACCTCCTCTCTCTTTTCCTCCATGTCCTCCCAGGGTTCCCTGGTGGCCAGAACAAAGGGAGCCTAGTGTGGGGTGCAGTCAGGTCAGCCTCCGGAGCAACAACTGGGTAGAAGAAAGGCCCAGAGGGACCTGAAGGGGTGCCTAAAACAGGTACCACCCACTGCACCTTCTTGCTTCCCAGCCTTTTGCCAGGTCCTACTTGATCTGCCATCTGGATTTTCTATGAATTGCTTTCCCAGGCTGAGACCAGGGTCCTGAAGGCTGCTATTTTATGGAAACTGAACTTCCTTAGCATATACACTTGCAAGGGCTGCCTGCTACAGCCTACCAAGCCAGGCCCAGATGCAGCTCCATACTGCCCATCCAGGGCCACCTCCCTTTTGAGAGTGAAGGGATCTGGGAAGTACAGAAAGAGAAGCAACACAGAGACTTCCTGCTGTATGTTTGTCATTGCCCTCAGTGGCAGCTCTCCTCCCAGAGACTGGAACATCCTATCAATCTGTTAAACTCATTCCTCAGAAACAGACATGTAAGGGGCATGTTTTGGCTGCTGATCAATGTAAGGACTTGCTACATAAAAAATTTACTAGCATTATCAGCAGCCCCAAGTAGCATAATCTGTGTCTTGGATTCAGGTTATATAAATGTCAAATCTCACAGTTCTTTCTAGGTCTAAAGCTGTTTTAATTAATAGGACTGCTCAGAGAAGTTGCACATTTTCTTTTTGCACTGGCTGAGAGGTACCAGGTTTCAGCTGGCAGATTCTAGCTATTGTTTAAAGCCTTTCCAAGATGTAGCATCCACTCTCCTTTGGTTTGTAAAATTTTTGTCCATGACATACAGATGCAAGAAAATTATGGGTTTTTTTTTCATTTTTTTTCTAAAGCAGATTAATCTATTTCCAGCCGTCAACTGCCTGATTCTTGGGAAATATAATTCTGGTTCTCTTAGTTCCTCAGGTTGGACAGGAATCCTGTCTGGTTGGGTGCATGTTCTTCACCTGTGGTGCCATGATTGCTGGGCCCTTGCTGCCATCCCATCCCTCAGTTTGCCAAGGAGCTTCCTCTCTTAGTGCAGACTGCCCAGCCTCCACAGGGGCCCTTAGCCCTCCCACATGCAAATACTGCCCCTTCCAAAGAAGCCCACTTCTCTTCCAAGTCCTCTTAAGATGGAATCCCAGTCCTAGCTCTACCTGCTCAGAAACCATGGATTTTACCACCTCGTTGGAAAAGGAGCCTTGAATGATTAAGAAACAAAGATGCTAGTGATCATTCTTTGCAGGGCAAGAATACCCAGAATTGCCTGGGTAGAGAGGAAATGACTGTGCTTCTCACCAAGCTCCCACAGTTTTGAGAGAACAAAACTCATTGGGCGTCAATAAATTATCCTGCCACTATAGGAATAGTGAATTTCCAGTCAGAGGTGCCTCCGACAGGAAAGACATGTACATTCTAGGGCTAAGTGTAATTCAGTAGCTGAGGATAGACAATGGGAGAAATTTGGGGGTCAATTGAAACTTGCCCCAGACTCCTAGATTTTATTTTAATTGAAACTTTCATTGAAATAATTATCAATTCATAAGCAGTTGTAAAAAATAATAGAGATTTCTTTTACACTTTGCCTGGTTACCTTCAATGGTAACATCTTGCAAAGCTATAGTATAATATCACAACAAGGACATTGACATTGATTTAATCACTAAAGTTCATTCAAATTTCCTTAGTTTTACTTCTGCGTGCGTGCGTGCGTGCGTGTGTGTGTATTAAGAGCTATGGGCGGGGCGTGGTGGCTATAGGCTGGGTGCGGTGGCTCACGCCTGTTATCCCAGCACTTTGGGAGGCCAAGGCAGGCGGATCACGAGGTCAGGAGATCAAGACCATCCTGGCTAACATGGTGAAACCCCATCTCTACGAAAAATACAAAAAATTAGACAAGCATGGTGGCGGGCGCCTGTAGTCCCAGCTACTTGGGAGGCTGAGGCAGGAGAATGGTGTGAACCCGGGAGGCGGAGGTTGCAGTGAGCCGCGATCGCACCACTGCACTCCAGCCTGGGCGACAGACTGAGACTCCATCTCCAAAAAAAAAAAAAAAATTAGCCAGGTGTGGTGGCAGGCGCCTGTAGTCCCAGCTACTCAGGAGGCTGAGGCAGGAGAATGGCGTGAACACGGGAGGTGGAGCTTGCAGTGAGCTGAGATCGCAACACTGCACTCCAGGCTACACCTGTAATCCCAGCACTTTGGGAGGCCAAGGCGGGTGTATCACCTGAGGTCGGGAGTTCAAGACCAGCCTGACCAACATGGAGAAACCCTGTCTCTACTAAAAATACAAAATTAGCCAGGGTGGTGGTGCATGCCTGTAATCCCAGCTACTTGGGAGGCTGAGGCAGGAGAATTGCTCGAACCCGGGAGGCGGAGGTTGTGGTGAGCCGAGATTGCGCCATTGCACTTCAGCCTGGGCAACAACAGCAAAACTCTGTGTCAAAAAAAAAAAAAAAAAAGAGCTATAAAATTATAGCCGGGCGCGGTGACTCACGCCCATAATCCCTGCACTTTGGGAGGCTCAGGCGGGTGGATCATGAGGTCAGGAGTTTGAGACTGGCCAACATAGTGAAACCCCATCTTTACTAAAAATACAAAAAATTGGCAGGGAGTGGTGGCTGGCACCTGTAATCCAAACTACTTGGGAGGCTGAGGCAGGAGAATAGCTTGAACCCAGGAGGCAGAGGTTGCAGTGAGCTGAGATCGAGCCACTGTACTCCAGCCCAGGCAACAGTGCGAGACTCCGTCTCGGGGAAAAAAAAAAAAAAAGCTTTAAAATTTTATCACCTGTGTAGTTTTGTGTATCTAACACCACAGTTGACTGTGATGGTAGACCAACATCACAAGGGATCCCTGGTGCTGCTCTGGTTTTTTTGTTGTTTTTTTGTTTTGTTTTTGGAGTTCCGCTCTTGTTGCCCAGGCTGGAGTGCAATGGTGTGATCTTGGCTCACTGAAACCTCTGCCTCCCGGGTTCAAGCAAATCTCCCACCTCAGCCTCCTGAGTAGCTGGGATTACAGGTACCCACCACCGTGTCCAGCTAATTTTTTTTATTTTTAGTAGAGACAGGGTTTCACCATATTTCCCTGGTTGGTCTCAACCTCCTGATCTCGGGTGATCCACCTGCCTTGGCTTCCCAAAGTGTCAGGATTACAGGTGTGAGCCACCCTGCTTGGTCTATGTAATTTTTTTTTTTCTTTAAGACAGAGTCTTGCTCTGTCACCTAGGCTGGAGTGCAGTGTCGTGATCTCGGCTCACCACAACCTCTGCCTCCCGGGTTCAAGTGACTCTCCTGCCTCAGCCTCCTGAGTAGCTGGGATTACAGGCATGCACCACCACACCCGGCTAATTTTGTATTTTTAGAAGAGATGGGGTTTCTCCATGTTGGTCAGGCTGGTCTTGAACTCCCGACCTCAGGTGATCCACCCACCTCGGCCCCCCAAAGTTACAGGCCTGAGCCACTGCGCCTGGCCCCCATTTCTAAATCAATCAATCTTCCATTTCTAAAATTTTGTCACTTAAAAATGTTATAGGTCGGGCGCAGTGGCTCACGCCTGTAATCCCAGCACTTGGGAGGCCGAGGTGGGTGGATTGCTTAAGGCCAGGAGTTTAAGACCAGCCTGGCCAACATAGTGAAACCCCATCTCTACTAAAAATACAAAAAATTTGCTGAGGTTGGTGGCTCACGCCTGTAATCATAGCTACTCGGGAGGCTGAGGCAGGAGAAGTGCTTGAATCTGGGAGGCAGAGGTTGTGGTGTGCTGAGATCACGCCACTGCACTCCGGCCTAGGTAAGAGAGCAAGACTCCATCTCAAAAAAAAAAAAAAAAAAAATTACATAGGCCAGGTGCGGTGGGTCATGCCTGTAATCCCAACACTTTGGGAAGCCAAGGCAGTGGACTGCTCAAGGTCAGGAGTTCAAGACCAACCAGGGCAATATGGTGAAACCCTATCTCTGGTAAAAATACAAAAATTAGCCAGTGTGGTGGCACATGCCTGTAATCCCAGCTACTTGGGAGGCGGAGGCATAAGAACCTCTTGAACCTGGGAGGTGGAGGTTGCAGCAAGCCAAAATCACACCACTGCACTCTAGCCTGTGCTACACGTGAGACTCTGTCTCAAAAAAATAAATTAAATTAAATAAAATTGAAATGTTATATAAAGCTGGGCACAGTGGCTCATGCCTCTAATCCCAGCACTTTGGGAGGCCAAGGCAAGAGGATTGCTTGAGCCCAAGAGTTCAAGATCAGCCTGTGCAACATAATGAGACCTCATCTCTTAAAAAAAGTTAAACAATTAGCCAGGCATGATGGCATGCACCTGTGGTACCAGCTACTCCAGAGGCTGAGGTAGGAGGATTGCTTAAGCCCAGGAGGTCAAGGCTGAAGTGAGCCATGATTGTGTCACCGCACTCCAGCCTGGCAACAGAGTGAGACCTTGTCTCAAAAACAGTTATATAAATAGAATAATACAATATGCACCCTTTGGAGACTGGCTATTTTTGCAGCATAATTTCCTAGAGATTCATCCAAATTATTGTGTGTATCAATAGTTCATTTATTTTCATTTACTGAGTAGTATTTCCTTGGTACCAATGTACCAGTTTGTTTAATCATTCATCTGTTAAAGGATATCTGACCTGATTCCAGTTTTTGGCTCATACAAATAAAGCTGTTAAGAATATTTGTATATAAACTTTTGGTTGAACATATGTTTTTGTCTCTCTGGGATAAATGCCCAGGAATACAATTGCTGGGTCATGTGGTAGTTGCATGTTTAGTGTTTTTGTTGTTTTGTTTTGTTTTCGAGACAGAGTCTCACTCTGTCGGCCAGGCTGGAGTGCAGTGGCACGATCTCAGCTCACTGCAACCTCCGCCTCCCGGGCTCAAGCAATCTCATTACAGGTGTGTGCCACCATGCCCAGCTAATTTTTGTATTTTTAGTAGAGACAGGGTTTCACCATATTGGCCAGGCTGGTCTTGAACTCCTGACCTCAGGTTATCCACCCACCTCAGCCTACCAAAGTGCTGGGATTACAGGATGAGCCACCGCGCCCGGCTGCATGTTTAGTTTTTAAAAGAAACTGCCAAACTGTTTTTGAGAGTGGCTTTACCACTTTATATTCCTACCAGCAATGCATGAATGATCTGGTTTCTCTGCATTCTCACCAATACCTGATGTTGTCTCCATTTTCAATTGGAGCCATTCTGATAGATGTGTAGTGATATCTTATTGTGGTTTTAATTTGCATTTCCCTGATGTTTAATGATGAATATCTTTTTGAGAGGTGACAGCGTGCTGGCAGCCCTCACAGCCCTTGCTTGCTCTCGGCACCTCCTCTGCCTGGACTCCCACTTTGGGGCACTTGAGGAGCCCTTCAGCCCGCCGCTGCGCTGTGGGAGCCCCTTCCTGGGCTTGCCGAGGCCCGAGACGGCTCCCTCAGCTCGCGGGGAGGTATGGAGGGAGAGGCCAGAGGGGGAACTGGGGCTGCGCGCTGTACTTGCCGGCCAGCGTGAGTTCCGGGTGGGCATGGGCTCAGCGGGCTGCACTCGGAGTGGCTGGCCCCCCCGCCCCGGGCAGTGAGGGGCTTAGCACCTGGGCCAGCAGCTGCTGTGCTGAATTTCTCGCCAGGCCTTAGCTGCCTTCCCGCGGGGCAGGGCTCGGGACCTGCAGCCTGCCATGCCTGAACCTCCCCCTTCACTCCCTGGGCTCCTGTGCAGCCCGAGCCTCCCCAACAAGCGCCGCCCCCTGCTCCATGGCATCCAGTCCCATTGACCACCCAAGGGCTGAGAAGTGTGGGCACACGGCGCGGGACTGGCAGGCAGCTCCACCTGCAGCCCCAGTGCGGGATCCACTGGGTGAAGCCAGCTGGGCTCCTGAGTCTGGTGGGGACTTGGAGAACCTTTATGTCTAGCTAAGGGATTGTAAATACACCAATGGGCACTCTGTATCTAGCTCAAGGTTTGTAAACACACCAATCAGCACCCTGTGTCTAGCTCAGGGTTTGTGAATGCACCAATTGACATTCTGTATCTAGCTACTCTGGTGGGGGACTTGGAGAACCTTTGTGTCCACACTCTGTATCTAGCTAATCTGGTGGGGAAGTGGAGAACCTTTGTGTCTAGCTCAGGGATTGTAAACGCACCAATCAGTGCCCTGTCAAAACAGACTACTGGGCTCTACCAATCAGCAGGATGTGGGTGGGGCCAGATAAGAGCATAAAAGCAGGCTGCCCCAGCCAGCAGTGGCAACCCGCTTTGGTCCCCTTCCACGCTGTGGAGGCTTTGTTCTTTCACTCCTTGCAATAAATCTTGCTGCTGCTCACTCTTTGGGTCCACGCTGCCTTTATGAGTTGTAACACTCACCACGAAGGTCTGCAGCTTCACTCCTGAAGCCAGTGAGACCACGAACCCACCCGGAGGAACGAACAACTCCAGACGCGCCGCCTGAAGAGCTGTAACACTCACCGCGGAGGTCTGCAGCTTCACTCCTGAGCCAGCGAGACCACGAACCCACCAGAAGGAAGAAACTGGGAACACATCCGAACGTCAGAAGGAACAAACTCCGGACATGCCGCCTTTAAGAACTGTTAACACTCACCGCGAGGGTCCGCGGCTTCAGTCTTGATGTCAGTGAGACGAAGAACCCACCCATTCCGGACACATTTTCATGTGTTATTTGTCGTCTGTAAATCTTCTTTGGTTAGATGTCTTCATGTTTGTCCATTTTCTAATTAGACTGTGATTTTACTGTTGAGTTGAGAGACTTCCTTATATATTCTAGTCCTCTGTTGGATATATGGTTTATAAATATTTTCTCCCAGTCTGTAGCTTGGTTCGCAGTGGCACGATCATGGCTCATTGCACCCTTGACCTCTTAAGCTCATGTGATCCTTCCACTTCAGCTTTCCTAGTTGCTGGGACCACAGGTATGCACCACCACGCCTGGCTAATTTGTTATTTTTTGTAGAGACAGTGTCTGGGAGCCTTTCCACACTGCCCAGGCCGGTCTTGAACTCCTGGGCTCAAGCAATCTTTCCTCCTTGGCCTCTCAAAGTCCTGGGATTACGGGTGTAAGCCACTGCACGGCCTCAGCTTGCTTTTTTTTTTTTTTTTTTCTTGGAGATAGAGTCTCTCTGTTGCCAAGGCTGGAGTGCAGTGGTGAGATCTCGGCTCACTGCAACCTCCACCACCCAAGTTCAAGCAATTCTCCTGCCTCAGCCTTTCGAGTAGCTGGGATTACAGGCGCCCACCACCACACCTAGCTAATTTTTGTATTTTCAGTAGAGACAAGGTTTCACCATGTTGGCCAGGCTGGTCTCGAATTCCTGGCTTCAAGTGATCTATCCGCCTCTGCCTCCCAAACTGCTGGGATTATAGGCATGAGCCACTGTGCCCAGCCTCAGCTTGCATTTTGAGGAATGAAAGCTTCCCACCTTCTTGGAGTTTTCATTCTGCTTGAAGACTACCATCAGACTGTCTAAGGCAGGCGGTTCTAAAAAGGGAACTCTTTTTTTTTTTTTTTTTTTTTTGAGACGGAGTCTCACTCTGTCGCCCAGGCTGGAGTGCAGTGGTGTGATCTCAGCTAACTACAAGCTCCACCTCCCGGGTTCACGCCATTCTCCTGCCTCAACCTCCCGAGTAGCTGGGACTACAGGCGCCCGCCATCACACCCAGCACATTTTTTGTATTTTTAGTAGAGACGGGGTTTCACCATGATAGCCAGGATGGTCTCGATCTCCTGACCTCGTGATCCGCCCGCCTCGGCCTCCCAAAGTGCTGGGATTACAGGCGTGAGCCACCGCACCTGGCCTAAAAAGGGAACTCTTAAACACACATACAATAAGCTCTACTCTGAAGATTCTGGTTCAGGGATGGAGCCAGCCCCTGTATTTTATCTGGGGACCTGCTGTCAGCCATTACCTATACTCCCAAGCCAGCCAAGCCTGACCTCACCAGATCTGGCCACTTCAGGTCTACAGCAGGAGAAACTGAGTGACTGGAGAGGGAATGGCTCTGCAGGCAGAAGCCAAGCACAAAGGCAAGAAGGTGTTCTTGGGACAGATTCCTGCTGAAGTCTGGAGGCCTAAGAGATGGGCTTTCTCTGCATGGGAGTGGAGCAAGGCTCTCTAGCTCCAACTGAGCCAAAGTAAATGCCCTGGGGCCAGGACCTTCTGTCCCTGTTCATTAATTTTTTTTTTTCTGTTGCCCAGGCTGGAGTGCAGTGGCTCAATCTTAGCTCACTGCAACCTCTGCCTCCCAGGTTTAAGCAATTCTCCTGCTTCAGCCTCCTGAGTAGCTGGGATTACAGCCAAACACCATCACACCCAGCTAATTTTTTTGTGTGTTTTAGTAGAGACGGGGTTTCACCATGTTGGCCAGGTTGGTCTCGAACTCCTGACCTCAAGTGATCTGTCCGCCTCGGCCTCCCAAAGTGCTGGGATTACAGGCATGAGCCACCAAGCCCGGCTAATTTTTGTATTTTTAGTAAAAACGGGGTTTCACTATGTTGGCCAGGCTGGTCTCAAACTCCTGACCTCAGGTGATCCACCCGCCTCGGCCTCCCAAAGTGCTGGGATTACAGGTGTGAGCCACCGTGCCCAGCCTGTTTATTGATTTAACAGCAACATTTATTGAGCTGTGTCAGGCATTATTCTCAGTGCTGAAGTTATAGATGTGAGCAAGACAGACCGCCTTTGCCCACAAGCAGCTTATGTTTAATGGCGGGGCATGAGATGTTCTAATCAGTGGGGGTAACATCACATAGAACAATATAGTATGTTAGCAGGTGAAAAATGCAGGGTTAGGGTGATGGAACTATTGGCCTAGTGCTCAAGGAAGGAAAAGAGGGAGGTGTGAGGGAATTATATGGCCAGGAGAAGGAACAGGTGGTGCAAAGCCCTAAGTGGGAGCACCTGGTGTGTCTGAGGAGCAGTGAGGAAATCAGTGTGGCTGGAGGTAACAGAAGGACCAATATCATGTGGGTCTCACAGACCACTATGATGACTTTGGCTATCACAAATAGGAGGAACTGTTGTGGATTTTCAGCAAATGAGATGTGATCTCATTTATGTACTAACAGAATTATGCTGGCTGCTAAGCAGACAGCAGACTGGAGGGGTAAGTTTGAAAGCAGGGACACCAGGCAGGAAGCTCTTGCAATAATTCAGGCAAGAGAGTAATGTGGCTTGGATCGGGGAAAAGAGTGGGCATGCTGAGATGTGGTCTGGTCCTGGGCACATTTTGACCACAGTATCAACAGGATACTTGCATATTCAATGTGGGGTATGAGAGAAGAGAATCAAGGGGACTCAAGGTGTTTGACAGGATCTGGCTGCCGTGGTCTGAGCTGGGGGAGGCTATAGGTGGAGTGTGTCTGGGGATGACCCAAAGCTCAGTCATATGTTTGGAGATGCTCAATTAGGCATTTACATGGAGATGTGGAGTAGGCAGTTGTCTACTGAACCCAAAGTTCAGGAGAAAGTTTGAGCTGGAGATAGAAATTCCAGTTTTCAGATGGCATTTAGAGCCAAGAGGCTGGGTATGTTGATGGGGGAGTAAGTGTGGATGCAGGGGAGGAGAGGACTAGAGTCCTGGGCAATCAAGAGTTAAGGCCCAACTTGAAACTTGGCCACTGCTCCCCTGATGGGAGGATGTTCTAGCAGATGCCTCCTTATTGAGGACCCTCCTCAATAAGGGTTCCACGGGCTTCTGCTTCAGGGCAAGTCCCAGGTTGAGATATCCCAGGACTGAAGTGTTGCTTTAATTAGTCTCTGCCCTCTGTCTGTTGGCAGTTTAGCAGCTTAGGGGCAGTGGCTCCTGGTGACTTCCCTCCATTAAGGACCCTGAGGCAGTGATCCAGGTAAGGGTGGGTAAATAAGCATCATTTTCCCCATTCACCTTCTTTCTCACTGTCTTTCAAGGAGCCGGCGCAGCGACACTTCTTCTCCAAGCACGACAACCGTACTTCCTTTGACAAAGTGAGTGCCGAAGACAGGAAGAATGGCAGGCAGTCCCCCAGCCTAAGCTGAAGTCTGGACAGAGCAGATGGTAGGGTGGAGGGGATGACACTGAGGGAGGGCTCCTTATGAAGGCAGAGGAGTGGCTGTCTTCCCCCACAAACTTTCTCCTCTGGGAAACAGCCTATTCCCCCAAACAGAGACATCTCTATGTTGGTTTCCTCTGCCAACTTGCCAGACAATATGCAAGTATCCTGTGGGCCACTAACTTTCTGGGTGCTTCACCTTAGAATGAAAGACATCACTGGGGAGGCAGGCCAAGGAGGCCAGGGTACAGGCCAAGACAGCCAGGCATAGGACAGGTATCACCAAGCAGACTTGGGGTTAGGAGGGGCCCAAGAAGGTGCTTGGTGCCAGGAATGTGGGCCAAGGGCCCATACCGTTGAGGAGGGTCCCTATTGCCTGCTGCAGGGAATCGGAAGGCGGAAGGACCTGGAGCGCCTGTGGCAGCGGCACACCTTCCTGCGCTGGGCACCCTGTGAGATAGAGTTGCGCCAGCAGGGGCCCCTGGAATCTTCTTACCAGGCTGATTTCAGGCCAGGCCCAGGACTCAGTGGCCTCCCCCAGCACCTCATCCACTTTGTGCAGGTCCAGCCTTCCCATACCAGGACCACCTACCAGCAGAACTTCTGCTGCCCATCCCAGGGTGGCCACTATGGCAGCTACAAGGTAGGGCCCCAGGCGCCGGTCACTGACGTACTGCCTGACCTCCCAGGGATCCCAAGACCCAAGCTGCTGCAGCACTACCTTCATGCTGGGGTCTCTGAGTGTCTAAACTGGTCCAGAGCATTAAACAAGGACAGCTGACACAGCAGCCTGTCTGTGCTTGCAGCCCACAATGGGATGTAGCCCAAGAGGCTGAAAGGTAGTAGTAGGCTGCCAGGTCCTGTGCCTGTCTCCCATGGCACTTGTGCCCATGGTGTGTTTCTGTGCTGGGCATGGGAGGTGCTGCTCTGGGATCCCTGCCACTAAGTGAGAAAGGGTAAGGCCTGCAGGAGGCTAAGAGTCCAGGAGGATTGCTATAGCCACATCAGGTGGGTTCCAGGGCCCCAAGTACTACTCTGTTCTTGCAGTAAACCCAGCTGTAGAGAGGAAGATTAGAGGGCAGTCCCCAGCCTAAGTTGAAGTCAGGACAGAGCAGGTGGCAGGGTGAAGGGGGTGACACTGAGGGAGGGCTCCTTATGAAGGCAGCGGAGTGACTAACTTCCCCACAACCTTTCTCCTCTGGGAAACAGCCCATTCCCCCAGAGACATCTCTGTGTTGGTTTCCTCTGCCAGCGTGCCAGACAATGTGCAAATATCCTGTGGGCCACTGACTTTCTAGGTGCTTCACCCTAGAATGAAAGGCATCACTGGGGAAGCAGGTCAAGTACTCAGTTTAGCTATGGGGAAAGCAGACCCCAGAGACCAGTACTAGTGGGCGACAAAGGCTGGAAGAAGGAAGAGTTGGCAGCTTTCTCAGGAGGCAGCTGCCTTTGAGGGGTTTGTTGGGTGGCCACACAGTCCTGTCCAAGAGACGGCTGCCCCACAGCTGAGACAGAAAGAGACTGCCCTGGGCCACAGAACCCACTGCACCACCCCTCCCTGTGGGGGTGAGCAGAGACCCTAAGGAGACACTCTGTAACTTGGATCTGGAGGTCTTCCTAACCTTGTGGTATTCTGTTGTTTTCTGAGCACTTCTCTGGTCATCTTATCCTGCCATCCTTTGGTGACATGTGACAGCCCTTCCTTACTGCCCTAGTGCTCTCTAATCCCCAGGACAGTAAGGAGGCGCTGTCATCACATGTTGCCAAAGAATAAGCTGAGGCTCAGATGGAACAGAAACACCAAATCACTTTGGGAACACCGACCAGATCCAAGAGGCTCCTTCTGGACCCTCATCCCTAGGGGCATTGAGACCCCCAAAGGAAGGCAGGGGCAGTGGAAACAAGGGAGTTCACACCAGGGTCCACACACTAGGTTTTAGCAGCACTTTTACTTCCACATCCAAACTCCCTGGGTCCTCACAACAGCCCTGTGAGGTAGGTAGGGTAGGAAGGTTTCAGAGATCCCCATTTATAGATGAGGATGCTGAGGCACAGAGAGGTGAAGTGACTTGTCCAAGGTCATACAACCAGCAGTGTAGAGGGCTCAAAGCCAGCATTCCTCCACTTGAACTCCTGCGCTCCGGCCCTCTGGCAGTTCCCACATCCTCTCTATTCTCTCTGTGTCCCCCACCCTCTCAACTCTCCTGGGTCTGCAGGGACCCTAAAGGCAGCCTGGCAGCTGAGATTTTTCAGGAATGGCAACTGGGGTAGGCCTGGTCAACTCCAGATAGGAACTGACCCTGAAGAGCATGAGGCCAGCTTTGCTTCTCCCCATTTCCCAGTTGGATGGAAGGCCTAGTAGGTCCCAGGGCAAGGATGGAGCTAGGCATGATTCATGAACGAATGGTGATAAAGGTAGGTGTAAGCATATGTGTGTCCTGCACTAAAGACAAAGGCTCCCCTAACCCAAGGCCCCAAGGCAGTGTTTCAAGTGCTCACCCCCATGCCTCTCTCATCCCACAGAGCCACAGTGAGTGTCCTCAGCAGCAAAAGGAGCCATAGAAATAGCTGCCTCTGGCAATGAGCTGCTCCAGTGGACAGCTCCCACCAAGCCTTCAGACCCCATCACGCAGACACAGTGCCTCCACGGCTTGACTGGGGCCCTGGGCCACACCCCCAATAACAAACAGCCGGGGCCCAGCCTGCAGACTAGAGCAGGAGCAGCGGGCAGTGGGCATGGCAGGCAATGCCTCCCAGCGCCGCCGTGCAAGGCTAAAGCTCTCCACAGAGCCCAAAGGACATGGCTGGTTTCCTGCAAGAAGGAGAGAGAAGGCTGTGAGAGGCACAGGCCGTAGGGACTCCAGGCCCTTCTGCTCCCTAAGCCCAGAGAATAGCCCAGTAGTTATCACCCCAGGATGAGCTATCAGGGCCTTGCTCCTCATTGCCTATGTTCATCATTTGTTCATTCATTTATGTTTCTATATGTTCTCTTGACTGTGCATACAGTGGTCATTTGTCCTGCTGCTGTCTCGTAGACCCTTGCTGGTGCTTGACAGAGCCCCCAGTCACTGAGGAACACCCTGAGTGCTGGGCCAGGCAGACCACATCCTGCCTACTTCATAGATAGGGAAAAGAGCTCACAAAGCCCTGACCCCTGGAGTGCCTGGAGATGGGCAGAAGGTGACACACATGCTGGGGGCTAGTCTTTCCTGTCTTGGGACTCCCTCCTCTCCCCAGCCCCATAGAGACTTACCAAGGCCCCCAATGGCCACAATGTGGCCCCCAAGGGACCCAACCACAAAGTCTGCCCTCTTATCCCTCATGCGCAGGCTGCGGGGCAATTTGGTCCAGGACCCTGCAGGAGAGGGGAGGTCAGATCTAGTCATGTACACACTATGCCCCTCCATCCCACAGAGAGCGGGAGGACAGCCCAGAACAGCCACTGCTCACCATGCTCCAGGTCAAACATCTCCACAGTGTTGACAAAGTGTGGGCGAGAGTAGAAGTTGTGGGGCCCAGGCTGCTGCAGGCCACCCAGGCTAAAGACGCTGCCTTCAGCCATGGCGCAGCCAGCAAAGGCCCGACGGCTGGGTAGGCTTGGATGCCGGGTCCATGTACGGGCCTCCAGATCAAAGGCTTCAAAAGCAGTCACCGGGAGCTTGCCCTGGCGGCCCCCTGTCAATGGAATTGGGGTACCTGGGAAGGAGCCCAGGAGGCTTGGTGGGCTCCTTGCTCACTAGGTTGCTAATCTGCCTGCCTCAGCCTCCCACATCCTGCTGTGTGCACACTTGCACATGAATCATCCACCCTACAGTCCCTCAGGTACTGGGGTTTGGTTTTCCAACCACAGCAAGACCACCAGGGGTCAGAGCCTCAGAGCAGGCATGGATCACCCCAACAAAGCTTCTCTTGTTTTGCCATCCTGGACTGAGCCTGATCCCTATCCCAGCCAACCTATGAGGATGAGGATTTCTAGACTCTGAGCCCCCTTCCCACATTCCCCAGGCCCTTACCCAGGACATAGATCTTGTTCCCGTGCAGGAAGGTGGAGGCCCCATAGCAGGGTGTGGGCATGGAGGGTAGCGAAAGCCAGCAGTCCCGACGGGGCTCATACACACGTACCTGGGCCTGGGGGGCCGTGTCAGGGCCCATTCCCCCCAGAGCATACACCATACCATCTGCATAGAAAAGAGTAGTTCAGATTGTACCTCAGCCTGCCAGGGTACCCCACCCTGACAGCTGCCCTGGTAAGTCCTGGGGGTGGCTGGAGACCCATGTGTTTATAGCATCCCTCCCCAGCAACAGACACTCTACTACCTGCCTGCAGTGGGGGCTGGGAGATCTGGGATTCCTACTCTGGCCAGGGCCCCTCCGAGTAAAGAGCAGGAGGCAGCCGATCTAATTATAATCCGACTCTGTCTCCCTGGAGATGCTATGGCAACAGAGTCTGGCATCCAAGCAGGGCTGGCCTGGGCTGGTGGTCAGACCTGGAGGCCACAAGGTGGGGACTCCCCTCGGGGAGGAAGATGGGGGGATGGCTTAAGCCAGGGGTAAGAAACATGGGGATCTGCTTAGCACAGAGCTCAGTCTGGGGAGGAGGACTGGGGACCAGCTGGAGTTGGAGATGGGGCTGGGAGAGGAATGGCTTGGGTCTGCTGGGTAAAGATACTGTCCACAAGCCTTCTGCCCCAGGATCCCTGCCAGCACCTCTGTGTGACACTCTTTCATTATAGTAGGTTCTTGCCCTCTGTTAAACCCTCAGAGTCAGCTACGACATGTCTGGGGGCCTTAGGGTAATGGGCCAGTCAGCTGGGGGCTTCCATGGCAACCATCCCAGATCAGCTTGGCCTTTGTCCATATCAGGCTCCCTGGCGTGTGGGAAGGGTTGGGGGTGGGGCAGGAAGTCTAAGCACAGGCTCTGAGCCAAGGCCCTACTCCTCTCCCCCACCCCAGACTATTTATAACCCTGGGAGTCATTAGGCCATCCCACCCCCATCTCTTAGAAATGAGGAGTGGGGCAGGAACATGGCTGGGGTCTCCCATCATCCTGGGATCGGCTTGGGCTCTGCCTCCCACCTTAGCCAGAAAAGGCAGTTAATAGAAGGCAGCAGCTCAAATCTAGGTTGGAAAGGATACAGGGGACAAGGCCACATCCTGGGCACCCATGTAAAAATTACAGCTCTTGTTCAGTCTCTGAGGGTAAGGGACTAAGTCAGGAAATAATAAAAGGTGTTAGGGTACCTGAAGTGCCTTCCTTGGGAGGCCACTCACCTCTCTCCACAGTTGCAACCCCCATGGCTGCTTGAGGGAGGGTGGCCCGACGCTCCCAGCGGCCCTCATCCATCAGGAAGGCCTCTACAGCAGCTACCGGGCTCTGGACCTCATCCACACCACCCACCACTAGCACCTGCTTGCCCAGAACTACCGCAGCTGCACCAGCCCGGGCAGTGGGCAGGGGTGCCAGTGCCAGCCATGTGTGCGAGGCCATGTCCAGTGTCTCAGCAGTGTCCAGGGGCAGTCCAGCCCGGCCACAACCCCCCAACACCAGCAGGTGCCCATCTTGGTGTGCCACTGTGCCATAGACCCGGCAAGTGGGCATGGGGGGGAACACTTGCCAAGCAAAGGCCCGGCCACCTCCTGCAGACATGGTGTTCACTGCCAGTGGCAGGCCATGCTGTCTGCTCAGACTGTAGGCCTCACTGGGGAGGCATGACAGGGCCTCATCTTGATTCTGCCAGGGCCACAAGAGGTATATGACCAGTCCAGGGACCTTGCCTTCACCTGGAGGAAAGAGGGAAAACAGGGGTCAGGGCACTGACCGGCCCCTCAGGAAACAAATAAGCAGCCTGTAGCTAAGGGCAGGGCTGGCCCAAAATCACTGGTGGGAAAGGCAGGGGGAGAACCCAACCCCTCTGGCTAGCACACCACTGTGGAGGCCCTCCTGGAGTGGGAAGGAGGGCAGGCCCCAGGTACCCAGGAGCCTTTCCCCTTTCCCATGGAGGCATGAAGGATTCTCCTTCTCACCCACTACCCAAACCACTCAGCAACTGGGTCAAATCTGGGTCTAGGAGGGCAGTAGTAAGGTGACTAGAACAGGACTCTCCATCCAGGACCCTTCCTTTCCCCTCAACAAGCCTCACGCTGGTCCTGCATGAGGGGAGTCCTTACTGGCTTCCAGGGTGCCCTGGGCAGCCTGGGGGTCCCCACGCCTGCTGTCAGGGGTCAGACTCCAGAGTATCCTTACAACATCCTGGGGGCCATTCCACAGGGTTAATTTAAACCATTCCCACTAGTAAAAGACCAGAGTCAGGGTGTGTTTCAGACTAGGGGGAGGACTAAACACCAGGGTTCCACACTCTCCTCTCGAGGTCCCCCCTCAGGAGTTTGCCCATTCCAAACCCCCCCAGAAGCCAGATTCCCTGGTGTCCAGAAGTGGGGTTGGGGCGGGGGGCCGTTGGAGAAATCTCATGACCACAGGACTCCAGGGTCTGAGTCCAGGGCGTTTCCACCAGGAATGGGCAGCTGGACTTCTGGGTTCCCTCGCAGGAGATCCCCAAGTTCTCCAGCCACCCCTTTCTCTTGGTGGCTACACTCCTGGACCCCTGGCAGGAGGGCCTCTTGGCCCCAAACTTCCAGCTCAAGGATGTGGGGGGCGGGTCTGGGCTAACGCGCTTGGGGTTCTACACCCCGCGCCCCAAACTTCCCCTGAGCGCGGTTCCCGCGGGACTCACCCGCCGGTGCTCCGATGCTGCCAGGGTACGGGGTCCGCCGTTCCGCCTCCGTTGACGCGGGATCTGGCTGGGGCTGAAGTCGGGCTCTGGCGGGGCTCCGGCACTGCTCCGGCGCGGGGCGGGGCTGGGCCAGGTCCGCCCCTCGCCCCCCTCCCCCTCCGACTCAGGGAAACCTCCTCTCGCCTTAACCCTGCACATGCCGCAGCTGGAGCAGGGCGTGCCGATCTACGGTCATATGCAAACGGACAGATAAACGGACACTTGGACACTGGGCCTGACAGAATTTAGCGTCCGACCTCGGGCAAGAGTAGAAATGAGGCAGCGGCGAGCGACACAACACGTGTATGGCAAGGGGCAGTTCTGAGCCCGACCCAGCCTGGGTGCGCAGGCTGTGTCGAGCAGGCCAGCCGAACCCGAGGGCTTGAGGGGCCGGCGCCTGCCCACCTCCGCGGAGCTCCCAGGAGCCCAATTACAGGCTTCCCGGCGGCGCCCCCTGGAGGCCACTGGGGACATGGCCTGGGCCTCTGTCGTGTGGGGGCAGCCTGGGGCGCCCTTACCTGGGCATAAAGCAGGAATAGGTCTTACAGTGTACACTGAGGCTAGCGGGGGTGGAGGAACAGAAGGCACTGGCCCTTCTACAAACCTGGGTGGGGAGAATTCCTGGAAGGAGTGATACTGAGCAGAGAATGTGCTGGAAGAGTCAGAGGCCAGGGGACCTCCCAGTGGGTCACTCTGGCCTCATCCTGTAGGGCCTGAGAGACCTGGGCTACTCTGGGACCCAAGGCACATTATAACTATCAATTTTTAGTATCCTGAGCTTGCCTCTAACCAATTCTGGGGTCAAGCAAGAGCAAACTAGTGTGACAGGGGCCCACCTACCTCAGGCCCAGACCTTGGCCCTGCCTATCTTCTGAGCATTCAGAGTATTAGCTAAGTCTTCAAGCTGAGGGCCCATTTGTACAGGTCAGTGGTACCTGTGGGAAGAGGTCCTTGCAGTTGTCTGTGTCTGCTCACTGCCTTGTCCCCCTTTCATGGACAGTGCTTATCTTAGTTTCCCCCAAAGCAGACCTGGACAAAGATATACATGCATATAGTTAGTATGGGAGGTGAGGCCAAGAAACACCAGCAGTGGCAAGGAGACAAGGAAAGCAGCCAATAAAGGAAGTGTCATCAAGCAAGCTACCACTGTGGGCCATTGGGACCAAATCCTGCTGGGGATTCTGGGAGCCAGCGTAGAACATAGGCCTTACATCATTGCTGCCCCCAAGAACAAGGGGAGCTGAGATACTCATTCTCAAATCTCCATTAGTCATGGGTTGAGAGCTGTTTGGGGGCATTACCTATTAACTCCCTGGCCTCCCTCACATCTGGCCTTCCCAGAAGTCTATGGGTAGACCCTCCCGCATGACCGGAGAAGAGAGCCTTTGCTCTTTTCAGGGACTGTCAGTTGGATTCAGTCGGCCTGCACAGAAATGGTGGTGCCAAGGCTGGTTACAGACTGCACAGACCCTGACTTGAAGGCCTCAATCCTCCTTGTCCCACTTCACCTTGGACTTGCTCCTCAGTGCCCTCACTTGGGGCACTGTTTCCACCCTCTTGTGATTGCCAATAGGCTTCCAAGAGGCTCACACTGCTCTGCAGCCCCCTTCACATTTGCTACTGTTCCCTTTCCAAGCTCCCTCCTCCTCCTTTCCAGCAATTAAACACTTACAAGCCACTTGCCTTTAGATACCTCCCAACACCCCAAGTCTCTCTAGTCTCCCCTTCCTCCACTCCAGTCAAACTCTTGAAGCCATCTGTCCTCACAGGCTCCACCTCCTTGTTACTTGTCACCTCAATGTGCTGCCACTCCTCCCCAAAAATTGTTCTTGGAAAAGTCATCATGAAATACCATATAGCTAAAACTATATGTGCCTGTGGTCCTTAACTAAATCTTGCTAGCATCTTCAAAGTTTTGCCCCTTGTGACCTCAACTCCCTCCTGCTGTTTGTCCTGCCTCTGAGAATCTTTATTTTTTATCTATTTATTTTTTTTTTGAGACGGAGTCTTGCTCTGTCACTCAGGCTGGAGTGCAGTGGTGCCATCTCCACTCACTGCAAGCTCCGCCTCCCAGGTTCATGCCATTCTCCTGTCTAAGCCTCCCGAGTAGCTGGGACTACAGGGGCCCGCCACCATGCCCGGCTAATTTTTTTTTTTTTGTATTTCTAGTAGAGATGGAGTTTCACCGTGTTAGCCAGGATGGTCTCGATCTCCTGACCTCGTGATCCGCCCACCTCAGCCTCCCAAAGTGCTGGGATTACAGGCATGAGCCACCGCGCCCAGCCCACCTCTCAAAATCTTTTTTTTGAAACGGAGTTTCACTCTTGTTGCCCAGGCTAGGGTGCAGTGGCGTGATCTCAGCTTACTGCCACCTCCGCCTTCCGGTGGTTTCAAATGATTCTCCTGCCTCAGCCTCCCGAGTAGCTGGGACTACAGGCACGTGCCACCATGCCCAGCTAATTTTTTGTATTTTTAGTAGACATGGGGTTTCACCATGTTGGCCAGGATGGTCTCCATCTCTTGACTGCGGGATCCGTCCGCCTTGGCCTCCCAAAGTGCTGGAATTACAGGCATGAGTCACCGCGCCTGGCCTAGAATCTTTTGCAGGCTCTGCTTCTTCTCCATCACCAGGAATTGGCTCCTCAAGATTCAACCCTGGCTTTTCTCCCTGGCACACATATTTCCTCTTGGGGCAGTCCCTCCCAGGCCACTGCCTTCATTCACATCTAAAGCTCCATCACATCTCTCTGCTCAGATAGAGCTGGGTCCAGGATCCACTGAGAACCATATAAGGCTGGAGGGGCAGGTGGCTCACACGTGTAATACTAGCACTTTGGGAGGCTGAGGTGGGCAGATCACCTGAGGTCAGGAGTTCAAGACCAGCCTGGCCAACATGGTGAAACCCCAGCTTGACTAAAAATACAAAAAATTGGCCAGGCACAGTGGCTCACGCCTGTAATCCCAGCACTTTGGGAGGCCAAGGTGGGTGGATCATTTGAGGTCAGGAGCTTGAGACCAGCCTGGCCAACATGGTGAAACCCCACCTCTACTAAAAATACAAAAATTAGCCAGGTGTGATGGCAGGCGCCTGTAGTCCCAGCTACTCTGGAGGCTGAGGTAGGAGAATTGCTTGAACCTGGGAGGCAGAGGTTGCAGTGAGCTGAGATCACGCCACTGCACTCCAGCCTGGGCAACAAAGGAGACTGTCTCAAAAAAAAAAAAAAAAAAAAAAAAAAGGAAGAAGAAGGAAAAAAAGAACCATATAAGATGCCAAATGGAAAGCAAAGATTGGGTCCTGGGATCACCCTGTGTTCTCTCCCATCTCATCCTGTCTGGTCCCAGTTGTGCCTGTAGGCTCAGCAGCCACTAGAGTCCAGGTCAAGTCAGACTGCACTCTGATGAGCGCTCCCAAAGAGTTCCATCTAGGGCATACTGGGCACCAGGAGGCAAAAAGTTCGGCCCTACCACCCCCAAAGGGAGCTAGGTACCCCCATGATCCTTATCCCTAATCTCTATCATTTCCCCAGTTCTCATGTCTGGAAGGGACACAGCACAGCCGGAGGATGGACCTACCCTTCCTGGTTTTCCATTTGCCCTAACTTCTGAGCTGAACATCACCAGAGAGGGGTCTGGATATAACTGTACTGTTGCTATCCCTGGAGGATGGGCTCTGGCTCTCCATGGAAGGGGTTTCTGTTTGCACAGCCATGGCCCACCTGCACACAGGAGGCCAACACTGCCGGCTTTGGAGAAGCTGCAGAAGGTAACTGGTTGAATCGGTCCTGAATAAGTGAACAGTCAATCTTCAACCATGGACGGCCAGAGACTGGACTCACCCACAGCTGGGGACTGGGGGCACCAAGGTGGGGCTTCCTGACTGCACCCCATGAGATCCTGGCCCCTGGGACCCTACTCTTGCTTTCTCTCCACCAGGAAAAAAAGGCTAGAAGCACTGACCCCAGAGGAACAGGAGATTTTGCAGTTCCTGCTAGATACCTTGGCTATACTTAAAAGCAGCGAGGACCTCACCATTAGTGCTGAGGCCCTGGGAAGCTAAGAGGCACCAGATGAGGCCTATGGCACTGCTGGGTGGACTAGGCACTTGTCTTTAGGAGTGCCTGGACCCCTCTGTATAAGCAGGGAAAATACAGAGCAACCAGAGGATCCTGGTTGGAAAAAGGGCAGGAAAAAGGGCTAGTACCCAGTCCCTAAATGAAGCATCCCGCCACCCTCCTGTGATTGCCAATAGGCTTCCACCTGACCCCAACTACCAAATAAGGCACCACTGCAAGGGTCAGAGTCCAAGAGTTGTGGCAATATTTCTGCCTCCTGGCTCAGGCTCTGACCCTAGTGCAAATGCCCCCACTACCTCATCCATGAAACCAGGGCTCCCAGGATGGTTCCCAACCTGGACTTGCAAACCTCTGACTAATGGGACCTTTGGTCAGAGCTGTGGAGACCACTCTGACCTCTCACTGAAGTCACAGACCCCTAGGGTTGATTTTGACCTGTGTCCTATAACCACCACCCCGTACTAGCCCAAGAGCATGGATAAAAAGACTGAGGTCCCAGACTCCTAGGCAAAAGGAAAGGGGTTCTGGGCAGTGTTAAGACTGGAAGCAGGACTTCCTTCCATTGAGGGGCTGAGGCTGGGCCAGTGACTATACCTGCCCCCACCTGCCTGAGCAAGTATACTCAGGCCCACAGTGGTATACTGGAGCCCCCAGACTCCATGTGCGCTTGGGCTTGCGTGCACCACTTGTGATCACGTGCACACCAGCCTTTCATGCCATGTGCCACAGGCCCTATTCTCAGGAAGAGAGGAAGGCCTGCTGTCCTCGGAGAAGATACCCTTACTGCAAAACAAAGGAGATCACCTGAGACTCCCTGTCAGGAGGCACTCCTCTTTCACCCTCTGGTCAGGTGTCTGGGACTGAAGTGGGCATTGTCAGTGGCTAAAGATAGATCAGAGGGTGGAAGATGGCCTGAACCTTGTCAGGAGCCCCTCCCAGATGTCAATGCACCACTAGCTCCCCTCAGAAAAGGTGTCAGATGACCCCTAATCCAGTCTTGGCCGGGCTCTAGTGAGTCCTTGCCTGGGGCCGCGTCAGAGGGCACCTCTGTTCTTCAGACTTCTGCACAGGGCCGAACGGGTTTGGAGCAGTCACCGCGGCCACCACCTCCAGGCAGTCCTCCTTGGTACCCAATCTGCTCCGCCCCCAGACTTTGTGGGGAAATGGGGTCTCAGGGGTCAAGGGTCGGTAGGGCGGGCTGGGTCCCGGAAGCGGAAGCGCAGTGCACTTCCGGCGCGCAGCGGGCGGCCATGTTGGAGCAGCGGAGGCGGCGCAGAGGCGCGTCTTGGGTCCCCGCGGCGGCGCCGGTAGGTTGGAGCCGCGGGCCTAGCCGCGCCGCGGAGGGGCGGCCCGCGAGGCGGCAGGGCGGACGGGCAAGCGGCCAACTCTTCCCGGACCCGCGTCCTCCGCCGGCCTGGCCGAGACCCCCCACCCCACCCCCACCCCGCGCCCAGCGACCCCACCCTGGGGCTGTGCGGTCCCGGTAGGGCTAGCACCGTTCACCCTGTACATTTCGCTGCCTCAGTGACCCCCGCCTCACGGCTTGGGCCCTAAGGACGTGCATTCCCAGCCTGAGGGCCCCGATCTGCCCCCTCCCCCGGTCTGCCTGTGTGGCGCCTCTCTCACGCCCTATCTTCCGTCAACTTCTCCTGCCTTCCCCGGGGGCACGTGTGAAGGGAAGTCGGAGGCCGGGCAGGAGCCTCTGTTTCCGAAGCTTCTCGAAAGCCCAGAAAACCCCTCCCAAGAGCCCAGCCTAACCTGGGTGGAAGAGCCCCCAGGTCACCCCAAATATTTGCGCTGGGGCGCGTGTGAGGGTGGGAAATAGGTCCCTCTCTCTTCTACAGTTCACAGCTCTGGGAACTACATCCCTTCAAAAAACATTAATAAAGAACTAAAGTCATGTGCAAGGATTGTGCTTGGAGAACGGTCTCTGGGGAGGGGAAGTGCCCAAGACACCTGAGGATCCAAGAATGTTTCCAAACAAAGAGCCCTAGGGCATTTCCTCCAGGGTATTCTGAAGACTTCATCTGCTGCATTAGAGCGGTGGGAAGAAACTACACAGACGGGCCTCATGGCCCGAGGGACCTGCCTGATCCTGGCTGATCTTTTAATGCTCTGGTGCAGCTGGGGAGCTGCCTCTTGCTTCTGGGAACCCTCAGTGTTGGGTTGGGTATTAGATGTTAGTTATGATTGATGTCCACAGCTTCTTTAAAGAAGTCTGGGAGTAGTTAGGTGTTCTCAGTCACCTCCATCTGGGCTGTACTGAGGTCTGTGGCCCTCCAAGTCTTAGGTAGGACAGTGCATACCGCTAATGTCCCCTTGACTCACCATCCTACTTGCAGCCTTTGGCTCCCATTGTCCTTAAACTTTGGGATCTTGGTCTGGCTTCCTGGTCCCTGGTCTGCCTGGTTGCCTAGAGAGATGTCATTGGCACCTGCTACTCATCAGCTTTTTAGTTTCTGTTGAAGAAAAGTCCGACTCTTGATTAGGTCTCCATGCCTCTGGAGCTAGAAAATGGGTTGCTGAGTACCCTGTCTAGAGACTGAAAACAGAACTTCTGGTGGGCAGGGAGATTCCCCCACCCCACTCCAGCTCCACACATGAACAGCAGCAGCTGGAGAAACAGATGGGCATGGACAGTGGGTGTAAGTCTGGGCCCTTTGGCTAACATTCAGGGTTCTTTGTTGCTCTATCCTCGCCTGTTTTTTCACCTAGATCCCAGATCCCACACCAAGTATGCCTTAACCCTTTCTCACTTTGGAGCCATTGCATTAGCTATTCCCCTTTTTGTTCCATTTCCATCTAATCATTTTTCATTCATCACTCATATCCTAGCTAGGTGTTGTCTCTCCCAGGAATCCTTTCCTGACCCATTGGCAAACTGAGCTGAATGCCAGCATTCACTCCCAAGAATCTTAACAGTGTCTTTTTCTGGCCTTCTAACCTAGGTTCCTTGAGGACAGGGATATTGCCTGTATTCCCAGAGCTGAGTAATTCTAGGTTTCTGGCTTCAGAAAATACAGAGTTGAATTAAAATGTACCAGGCTCAAATCTTTTCAGGGACCCGGCAGCAGGTTGGATGGCTCTGAGGTATTTCTGAGCATGTATCTTGAAGAAACTCCCTGATCCTTAGCCTCTCCTCCCACCCCAGCATGGTAGAGGGTCAGGAGACCAGGGTTTTACACCAGGAAGTGTCTCACTCTGGCCAGATTCCTCAGTGTCATGGAGATTGGGGCACTGATTGACTTGTCTATGTGTTCTGGCCCCTTGTCTTAGTGCCATTCTTATTGACTCTTTTCCTCTTGTCTTGGAGGTGCCAAGCGCTGGTTTGCGGATACCCAGGCAGATCTGCAGTGCCTAATGCCATGAGTGTGGTGGTTCAGCATGTGGAGGAAAAAGCTGTGCACTCCTGGTCGCGCATCTCCACGGCAGGGAAGAAGGCCCTGGAAGAGGCACTGCTTGTCTTTAACCCAATGAGCCAGGATCTCAGTGCCACAGAGGCCCAGCTTGTGGCCTTCCTGCAGGGCCTGCGAGATGATGGCTTCCAACCTACCATCCTGCGCAGTGGTGATGTCTATGGCTATAGTTCATGCACAGCTAATCCCCCAAGCCAGACGAAACTGCAAGCTCGTGCCCCTAACCCAACTGCCACATCACCTCCAGCCAGTGCTCCCCGAACTGCCATGCGGTTGCCTGCAGGTCGGGCCACACTGCTTCCCATGCCGCTATCTGGCAGACTGGCCAAAGCATCCACACCAGCCCTTGCCAAGCATGCTACCACCAACCTGCTGCTGAGCTCTCTGAAGCAATCAAGTGCCAGCCATGCCCGGGGTGCAGCAGTGGGCTTCCCCACCCACCTTTATCCAGGTGTCTACCCTGCCATGCGGCTCTCTGTTGTCCTTGAGGCCCTGGTTCCACTTAAGACTCCCATGCCCTGCTTGGGTGCCAAGCACAAGGCACAGTCACTGCAGCTCTCACTTGCAGACTCTCCTCTGAAACTGCGGAAAAGTTCAGGGAAGGGTCCGGGGAACCCTCGGCCCAAAGCTCCCAGAAAAACCACAAGCAAGGGCCCCAAGTGTCTGACTCGCAAAGGCCCTGGGGCTGGACCCCGACGAGGCTCTGGGCACCAGAGCAAAACCAACAGAGCCACTGGGTCCCCCAGTGTCCGGCGAATGAAAGGGGGCTCTGCCCTGGGCACCAAAACAGCCCAGGCCAAGGTAGCTCGAACACTGGCCAAAGCTGCTCGTGCCCAAGCCAAGGTGGCTCGAACACAGGCCAAGGCTGCTAAGGCCCGGGCCAAGGCCAAGGCAGCACAGGTCAAGGCTAAGGCCAAAGCTAAGGCAGCACAGGTCAAGGCCAAGGCCAAAGTCATGGCAGCATGGGCCAAGGCCAAGGCTAAAGCCAAGGCAGTACGGGCCAAGGCCAAGGTGGCTCGGACCCAGCCCAGGGGCAGAGGCAGGCCAAAGGGATCTGCTAAGGCCAGAACTACAAGGAAGGGCCAGAAAAACCGCCCTGAGACTGTTGGGCAGAAGAGGAAAAGGGCTGAGGAGGCAAAAGATCTTCCTCCCAAGAAGAGAACACGGCTTGGGCCCCGATCTCCTAAGGCATGGCTAGGGCCTGGAACAGC
Source organism: Homo sapiens (assembly GCF_000001405.40). NCBI lineage: Eukaryota > Metazoa > Chordata > Mammalia > Primates > Hominidae > Homo > Homo sapiens. The sequence goes on along the minus strand of NC_000003.12, from coordinate 49,162,946 downwards.
AAAGCTGCTGAAGTTCCGTGCCATAAAGGTAGATAGGCGGTCCTCGGATGATGAGGTGCGGCAGCGGGCTCAGCGGATCCTCCGCGTGAACCTGTCACCTGTAATACGGCTCCAGCCATTGCTGCCATATTCAGCAGTCTGATTCCTTCACACGGCAATGTTTGGGGAAACTAAGCCCAGCTGTCTGTGTGGCTAGTGGCACAGTGTGCTATGTCCGTGGACTCCACAATCTTGAGGACTCCCGGTGCCTCTCTAGGGCCCTGGTGACCACCAGCCTCCTTTCAGAAACCAGAGTGGGTGGGGTACGGTGGGGTGGGTGGGCGGGAGGGGTGTTTTCATGGCGCGATGCACTGTGACTTGTTATTCAAGTTGTATGTCTACTGTTCCATCTATCACGTTTTATACCTTTCCACCTTCCAGTCTCCCTGCCCACCCTCCATGGTCTTCTGTGTGTGTGTGGCTGCTGGCAGGCCAGCTTGAAGATATAGGGAAAGTGGTCCCAGAAATAGGCCTGCCTATTTCCGGGGGTTGTGGGAGGAGGCAGCTCCTGGGCCCCTTTGGAGAGATGAGGGGAAATTGGCTTCTGTGGTTGTCTGAGAGGCATCCCCTGAATGCAGAAGCAGAGCCACTGTGAAGTAAGACACTTCCCTTTGAGGCTGCTCTGGTTTGTGATCCAGACAGGCCCCATTCAGGACAGTAGGCCCCATGCAGGACAGTAGGTTCCATGGGGAACCTTGCAGCTAGTGGGTTTTTAGGTCCTGGAATGGAGCCTTTGTGGTACTTCCCTAGGGACCAAACAGACAGCCTGGCTAAAATCTTGGGGCTTAGCCTGGGCTTTTCTGGTGTGGGTCCAGGCCCAAAGGGGTTGAGGTGCTTCTCCCCACTCTGCTCTCGTGGCAGAGAGTAACTATCCTCAACTTCGATTGGTGGCAAGGTACTGGTGGTTGAGTCAGGACCACAGAGCTTGCCCTCAGTGACCAAATAATTTTCTCCTTGGTTGGGTGAGGTTTTCCATGACTGCCTCATCAGCAGTGCTTTCTGTATGAATCTTAAGTGCTCTCTCTACTCCCAGGTCCAGCCTCATCATGCCCTCCAACATGGTCCATATGTTAAAATACATTGTCACCCTTCCTGCTTTAGAGAGGGGGCTGGGCCCTGGGACCTGAAGGAGGTAACTGTCCTGCCCATCTGTAGTCCATCACTGGCTGCCCAGGCTGAATGGCAGTGCCTGGGGTTGGCAGGGAGGGGCACACATTCCCCCTCCCTGGGGTAGGGGCATCATTTCAGTGAGAATCAGATGTTTTCTGTTTCTGGGTTTGGGCCCCACAAGCTGCCAGCTGCCCTGGGTGGTGGACCTGTGGAGAAGCTCTGTGCTTCTTGGTGCCCTCCTGCCCCTTCTGCATCTTGTGGCATGCTTCCCCTGGGTGTGTCCTCCCTTGGTTTCCCAAGCTCTGGGACCTTGCTCCCAGCTGTGCTGTCGCCCCACTACCTTACATGCTACTTGCCTCTGACAACTCTTTCATTCATGATGTGAATATGGGGAATGACCTGAGAGCCACACTCAGCTCCTCAAGGGCAGCCCAGCTTGGGGCTCACGCCTGTAATCCCAGCACTTTGGGAGTCCAAGGCAGGTGGGTCAGTTGAGGTCAGGAGTTTGAGACCAGCCTGGCCAACATGGTGAAATCTCATCTGTACTAAAAATACAAAACAGCCAGGTGTGGTGGCACACACCTAAAGTCCCAGCTACTTGGGAGGTTGAGGCTGGAAGATCACTTGAACCTGGGAAGCAGAGTTTGCAGTGAGCCAAGATCTCGCCACTGCACTCCAGGCTGGGCGACAGAGTGAGACTCTGTCTCAAAAAAAAAAAAAAAAAAAAAAAAAAAGAAAAGAAAAAAAGAAATCAAGGTTCCCTGTGGGGTGGGGTGGAGAGGGGTGGGTATTCCTAGGATCTCTAGTCAGATGCTGCCCCTCCTAGTCCAGGCTCCTAGAACAGTTTCCCAGGGAGTGCCAGATATCCCTTCCCGATCTGGCTGCATCAGCATCCTGGTTGTTGGCTGGGGCCAGAGCCAGAGCCTTCGAACTTCATCCAGTAGGCCCTGAGCCCTACTTCATTGGCAGTCACCTGCAGGTGAGGGCTCTGGAGGCTGGTTTCTTTGGGTGTCCTGGGCTGGTTCAGCCCTGTTGGGGGTCTGGGTCATTGCTGGGAGCTAGAGGCATGTGCTGTGAAATTTTGGAGTAGAGATCTGATGATTAACCTCTCTAGTCAGTTTCCTTGAGTCCTAACCCAAAACTCAGAATTGCCCCTGTCTGGCCGGGCGCGGTGGCTCACGCCTGTAATCCCAGCACTTTGGGAGGCCGAGGCGGGCGGATCACGAGGTCAGGAGATCGAGACCATCCCGGCTAAAAAACGGTGAAACCCCGTCTCTACTAAAAATACAAAAAATTAGCCGGGCGTAGTGGCGGGCGCCTGTAGTCCCAGCTACTCGGGAGGCTGAGGCAGGAGAATGGCGTGAACCCGGGAGGCGGAGCTTGCAGTGAGCCGAGATCCCGCCACTGCACTCCAGCCTGGGCGACAGAGCGAGACTCCGTCTCAAAAAAAAAAAAAAAAAAAAAAAAAGAATTGCCCCTGTGACTCTTGCGACCAGGGAGGCCATGACATTAAGAACGTGATCTCCCAGAGTGGCCGTGGTGGCAACAAGACCTGGTAGGCAGAGAGTGGTGAGGGTGCAGTGTGCCTACGTGTGGAGGTACGGGGTCAGGGCCTAGTCACTCACTAGCCCTATGGCTGCAGGTGTTGAAAATGTCACCATCAGCCGGGCGCAATGGCTCATGCCTGTAATCCCAGCACTTTGGGAGGCTGAGGCGGGCGGATCACAAGGTCAGGAGATCGAGACCACCCTGGCTAACACGGTGAAACCCTGTCTCTACTAAAAATACAAAAAATTAGCTGGGCGTGGTGGCGGTCGCCTGTAGTCCCAGCTACTCAGGAGGCTGAGGCAGGAGAATGGCGTGAACCAGGGAGGCAGAGCTTGCAGTGAGCTGAGATGACACCACTGCACTCCAGCCTGGGCGACAGAGCAAGACTCCATCTCAAAAAAAAAAAAAGTTACCATCAAGGCCGGGCACAGTCGCTCATGCCTGTAATCCCAGCACTTTGGGAGGCCGAGGCGGGTGGATCACGAGGTCAGGAGATCGAGACCAACCTGGCTAATATGGTGAAACCCTGTCTCTACTAAAAATACAAAAAATTGTCCGGGTGTGGTGGCTCACACCTGTAATCTCAGCACTTTGGGAGGCCGAGGTGGGTGGATCACAAGGTCAGGAGGTCGAGACCATCCTGGCTAACACAGTGAAACTCTGTCTCTACTAAAAATACAAAAAATTAGCCAGGCATGGCGGCGTGCGCCTGCAGTCCCAGCTACTCAGGAGGCTGAGGCAGGAGGATGGCGTGAACCCGGGCTGCGGAGCTTGCAGTGAGCCAAGATTGCGCCACTGCACTCCACCCTGGGCGACAGAGCGAGACTCTGTCTCAAAAAAGAAAAATATAAAAAATTAGCCAGGCGTGCTGGCACATACCTGTAGTCCTAGCTACTTGGGAGGCTGAGGCAGGAGAATCGCTTGAACCTGGGAGGTGGAGGTTGCAGTGAACCGAGATCGTGCCACTGCACTCCAGCCTGGGCAACAGAGCAAGACTCCATCTCAAAAAAAAAAGAAAAAACATCACTATCCAGCTGGACCTAGAGGGTGCCTTCTACTTCACCCACCTCAAGACTTTCCCAGTGCCCCAGCCTGAAGGCTTGCTTAGCAAGTGCTGACCCTGTGCTTCCCTATTTGATGGCCACCAGTGATGCTTGTCCCTAGTGACTCCCCAGACATTCCACCTAGCAGCTGTGCTCCTTGAGCACTCAGTGGACCATGCCGCTCCTGGCACATGTACAGATACTTTGTTCACAACTGCCCAAGCCTCTTTCTTGGGATCCCTCCTACCCCTAGCCACAGAGTCAGTGACCTCGTCTGTGACCAGCATTACTCAGACATCAAGCCTTCCACTGAGGGCAAGGTCAGGCCCAGGGAAAGGGGGGTTGGGCCCTGAGGTGAAATAGGATGCTCAAACCTGCTTCTTTCTCCCAGGTGATTTTCAAAGTTCTGGACCCAGCCATTCCAGTAGAGGATCCAAACAACCCTGAGATTCAGGGTAATCATCCCCAGAGGCAATCCTGTACCATTTGTGTGTCAGGACAGAGCTTGTAGATACTGGGGGAAACAGGCCCTGCCCCGAGTGGGCACCGGTGGGACAGGGCAAGTAGGCAAGCTCAGTCTTCCAGGGCCGTTCCCCAGCCCTGCCCCATCATGGTCCTTTTTGTGGCCTCCCATTTATACCCCATCACTGTTCCCCATACTTGTACCCAGTGTATAGGGACTGGCATGGGGAACAATTTCAATAATGACTCTGCCCCATTATTGAATCCCTTTGTGAGGCCCCATCATAGTTCCTCATTTCCTCATACCTGTCCCCCGTCTCTACTATCACTGCCCCTCATAACTCTTCCCTTTGTGGGCCCCCATCACTGCCCCTGTCATAGTCTACCTGTCATTGCTCCTCCAACTCCATTCATGACCCTGACCTTTGCCCTTTGTCCCTGCAGCTGCCTCTAGGTGGCACCAGGGCATCTCTGGATGTAACACCTTCCTTGTAAAGAAGTCTTTGTTAAAGACTCCTAGTAGGAGAGCCCAGAATCAGGCCAGGAGGGTACCAGAGCAGGACAAACGCCAAACTAGTTTTTTCTCTACACCCAATGGGCACTCCTTGCCCCCCTTAACTGCAGTTATTACCAGCTGCTCACCTTGAGCCCTCATGGTAGGTCTGCAAGCTGCTGTTGTTTTTCACCTCAGATCAGAAAAGAGGAGAGGCCTGCAGAGGAAAGATACAGGAGGTAGCGGACCTCCTGTATCTTAGTAATGGACCTAAGATGTGGAGCAGGGAGAGGAGCCATGGACCCATTCCTTTACCTATGTATTCATATAACAAGCACCCATTGAGCTGTACACTCTGTCAGGCATCTTCTGGGCAGTGTTTGATGGGAAGCAGCAGAAAAGGTATCTGCCTTCTTGGAACGGACATCAAGTCAGAAAGACAGTTGATAAATAACCCATCTGTGACCATGCATTGTTTAATGATGGGGATACATTCTGAGAAATGTGTCATTACGCAGTTTCATCGTTGTGGAAACATCTAGAGTGTACTTGTATAGCCTACCACACTTCTAGACTATCTGGTATAGCCTATTACTCCTAGGCTACAAACCTGTACAGCATGTGACTGTACTGAAAACTGTAGGCAGTTTTAACACAATGGTATTTGTGTATCTAAACATAGAAAAGGGACAGTAAAAACATGGTATAAAAGATGATAAATGGTACACCTGTATAGGGCACTTACCATGAATGGCACTTGGAGTGAGTCAGTGAGGAGTGGTGAGTGAATGTGAAGGCCTAGGACATTACTGTACACTACTGTAGATTATAAACACTGTACACGGGCTATACTAAATGTATAAAAACAAATTTTTTCCTTCTTCAATAGTAACCTTAGCTTTCTGAACTTTTTTTACTTTACAGACTTTTAACTTTTTACAGCTTTTATAACACTTAGCTTAAAACACATGTAGAGCTGTACAAAAATATTTCCTTTCTATCCGTATTTGATAAGCTTTTCTCTGTTAAAAATTTTTTTTTTACATTTTAAACTTTTTTGTTAAAAACTAAGACACTGCCAGGCGCGGTGGCTCACTCCTGTAATCCCAGCACTTTGGGAGGCGGAGGTGGGCGGATCATGAGGTCAGGAGATTGAGACCATCCTGGCTAACACAGTGAAACTTCATCTCTACTAAAAATACAAAAAAATTAGCCAGGCATGGTGGCCTGCACCTGTTGTCCTAGCTGCTGGGGAGGCTGAGACAGGAGAATGGCGTGAACCCAGGAGGCGGAGCTTGCAGTGAGCCAAGATAGTGCCACTGCACTCCAGCCTGGGTGACAGAGCAAGACTCCGTCTCAAAAAAAATAAAATAAAAACTAAGACACAGACATACACATTAGCCTAGGCCTACATAGGGTGAGGATCATCAATATCACTGTCTTCCACCTCCAGATCTTGACCCACTGAAAAAGATCTTTAGGGGCAGTAATATGCATGGAGCTGTCATCTATGGTAACAATGCCTTCTTCTGGATACCTCCTGAAGGACCTGCCTGAGACTGTTTTACAATTAATTTTTTTTTGAGACAGGGTCTCACTAGGTTGCCCAGGCTGGGGTGCAGTGGCACCATCTCTGCCCACTGCAGCCTCTGCCTCCCAGGCTCAAGTGATCCTCCCACCTCAGCCTCCCGAGTAGCTGGGACCACAGGCCTGTGCCACCATGCCTGGCTAAGTTTTTTTCTTTTTTTCTTTTTTGAGATGGAGTTTTGCTCTTGTTGCCCAGGGTGGAGTGCAATGGCGAAATCTTGGCTCACTGCAACCTCTGCCTCCCGGGTTCAAGCAATTCTCCTGCCTCAGCCTCCTGAGTAGCTGGGATTACAGGCACCCGCCACCACGCCCAGCTAATTTTTTGTATTTTTAGTAGAGACGGGGTTTCACTGTGTTGGCCAGGCTGGTCTCGAACTCCTGACCTCAGGCGATCTGCCCGCCTCAGCCTCCCAGAGTGCTGGGATTACAGGCTTGAGCCACCGTGCCTGGGCTTTTTTTTTTTTTCTTTCTTTTTTTTTTTTTTTTTGATGGAGTCTCGCTCTGTTGCCCAGGCTGGAGTGCAGTGGCGCTGTCTCGGCTCACTGCAAGCTCTGCCTCCCGGGTTCACGCCATTCTCCTGCCTCAACCTCCCAAGTAGCTGGGACTACAGGCACTGGCTACCATGCCTGGCTAATTTTTTGTATTTTCAGTAGAGACGGGGTTTCACCATATTAGCCGGGATGGTCTCGATCTCCTGACCTCGTGATCCACCCGCCTTAGCCTCCCAAAATGCTGGGATTACAGGCATAAGCCACCGTGCCCAGCCTAATTTTTGTATTTTTTTGTGGAGACAGGGTTTCACCATGTTGTCCAGGCTGGTCTTGAATTCCTGAACTCAAGCTAGCGCCCACCTTGGCTCCCAAAGTTCTGGAATTATAGGCGTGAGCTACAGTGCTCGACCATGTTTTACAATTACTTTTTTTAAAAAGTAGAAGGAAAGCTGGGCATAGTGGTACATGCTTGTAGTCTCAGCTACTCAAGAGGCTGAGATGGGAGGATTGCTTGGGTCTGGGAATTCCAGTCCAGCCTGGGCAACATAGAACTTTTCTCTAAAAAAAAAATAAACATTGGCCGGGCACAGTGGCTGACACCTGTAATCCTAGCACTTTAGGAGGCCGAGCGGGCGGATCACCTGAGGTCATGAGTTCAAGACCAACCTGGCCAACATGGCGAAATCCCGTCTCTACTAAAAATATAAAAATTAGCCAGGCGTGGTGGTGCACACCTGTAATCCCAGCTACTCGGGAGATTGAAGCACGAGAATCACTTGAACCTGGGAGGTGGAGGTTGCAGTGAGCTGAGATCGCCCCTCTGCACTCCAGCCTGGGCGATGGAGCTACACTCCATCTGAAAAATGTTTTTAAAAAGATTAAAAAAAAAAAACTAGAAGACACACACTCTAAAATAATGATAAAAAGTATGGCATAGTAAATGCATAAACAAGTAGTAGTCATTTATTATCATGAAGTATTATACACTGAACATAATTTTTTTTTTTTTGAGACAGGGTCTCACTCTGTTGCCCAGGTTGGAGTGTAGTGGCATGATCTTGGCTCACTGCAACCTCCGTCCCCCAGGTTCAAGTGATTCCCCTGCCTCAGCCTCCAGAGTAGCTGGGATTACAGGCACCCGCCACCATGCCTGGCTGATTTTTTGTATTTGTTTAGTAGAGACGGGGTTTCGCCATGTTGGCTAGGCTAGTCTCGAACTCCTGACCTCAGGTGATCCACCTGCCTTGGTCTCCCAAAGTGCTAGGATTACAGCTGTGAGCCACTGTGCCCAGCCTACTGTACATAATTGTATGTGCTGTACTTTTATATGACTAGCAATGCAGTAGGTTTGTTTACACAGTATCATCACAAACGTGAGTAACGTATTGTGCTACATACAACATTATGACAGCCACCATGTCACTAGACAATATGAATTTTTCCTCTCCATTGTAATCTGATGGGTGCACGATTGTAGTACCTATGTGGTTTAGCTGAATGATAGTAGATTTTTAGTTTGGACTATGGGATGACAAGCAGAATCCTTTACTGCATTAGGGAAGCAGGTTTCAGATACCTGATGATACCATGGTGGGGTGTCCAGGAAGTAGTGGGATGTGCAGGTCTCAGTTCAGGAGTAAAATCAGGATTGGAGAAAGGGGATCCTCACTACAGAAGTGGAATTATCACCATGGGGAAGGCTGTGGTCATCTTAAGACAGCATTCCCAGGGAAGCAGGGATGACAGAACCCCATAGCATGAGGGCAGGAGGAGTGGATACAAGGATGTGGAGAGGGGAAAGACTCCCCCATTCCTTTCCCTCCTCCCTCGTCATAGAAAGTGAGGACCAAGGCACCCAAGGTCTGACCATCTGTGTCTCCAGAGCTCCTGCATGTGACTAACCTCTGTGTAAACTTCTCCAAACTGCACACCCTGGGTGACAGGCCCCTGGGAGGCCTCAAGGGACACCCCTTCTACTACTATGCCTTCTATGAGCTTGTAGCCAAAGGCAGTTGCCTGTGCCTTGGGCACACCTCTAAGTGCAGGTCTGCACCTGGAACCCCAGCCAATGTGGTGAGGACAATGGGAGGGGCATTCTGTTGCTGGTGGGGTGGGCAAGCTGGGACTCCAGAGCAGGCCTGCCTTGCCCTCCTCCCTATCAGGTACATGGGCTTTGCATCTGTCCCCACCAGTCGGTGCACACTGTGAGTGCTGCCAAGACCTGCACCAGGATCATCCATGACATGCAGCAGAGCCTGGGCACCCCCATGCCTGCTGGGATGAATGCCATGCTCTACTCTGCCTGGCCATACCTGCCACAGGTCCGCCCACCCCATATCTACCTTTCTGGTTCTGCCTCAGAATGTGAGTGCCATGGGCATGTCTACAGTTGTCACTTTGACACAGCTGTGTGTCTGGTTATGTGAGTGGAGGTGTGTGTGATGTGTGTCAGCACAACACAGCTGGGCGCCACTGTGAGTTCTGCTGGCCCTTCTTCTACTGTCATCCCTGAGAGGATCCCTGTTCCCCTCGGTCCTGCAGACATGAGTCCTTCAACCCCTAATCCCAACACTGACTCTTATCCTTCAGCTCCATGGTGACCTCTGACCTAATTCCATCCTTAACCTCTGACCTCTGATCTAGCCTGTGACTGTGACCCTGTGGGTGTCTGGAAGGGGATTTGTGTGATGCTCACATTAATGAGATCCATGGCCTCCTCTCTGGGCAGTGTTGCTGCAAAGTGTGTGTATGGGGTCAGCACTGTGACTCCTACTGGCCTGGTCACTATGGCCTGAGCTCCACCCAACCTCAGAGCTGCCAGTGTGAGTGACACTCAGGGTGGGCCCCCGCCTCCATGTCCTCCTGGCTCTGCCCCCAGTTACTGCCCTGATAACACACGCACCTACCCACCTCACTGCAGTTCCATTAGCAAGCTAAGAGCCCTAAGCCTTCGCCTGCAGGTGTGACCCCAGGGTTCAGGTCCCTGGTACTCATGTCTGTTATCCCTCCAGTGGTACCTGTCACTGCAAATGCTTTGTCTCTGGGCAGGACGGTAGCCATTGTCTGGTGAGGCTTGGCCCACCTTCTGATTTAACCTTGACCTTTGGCACTGAGCTTCTTGGAGCTATAGCCTTATAATGAGTATAAGGCTATAGTTATCATGACTGTGGACTGAGCCTTGTACTTGGGTGGGTGCCGCTCACTGACTTGGTCACCAGGGTCAGCATCACTTTGGCTAGCTGAACCTGTATATGCCCTCAGGTGGGAGTTTCGGAAACAAAAGGGAAATTGATTAAACTTGTATTATACACTGGATTTAAAGGCTTTTGTCTTTGTTTTTGTTTTTGAGACAGAGTCTTGTCTTGCTCTGTCACCCAGGCTGGAGTGCAGTGGTGCAACCTCGGCTCGCTGCAACCTCCACCTCCCGAGTTCAAGCGATTCTCATGCCTTAGCCTCCTGTGTAGCTGGAATTACAGGCACACACCACCACACCTGGCTAATTTTTGTATTTTTAGTAGAGGCGAAGTTTTACCATGTCAGCCACGCTGGTCTCCAACTCCTGACCTCAAATGATCTGCCCGCCTTGGTCTCCCAAAGTGCTGGGATTACTCGTGTGAGCCACCACACCCGGCCAAAGGTGTTTTTTTGTTTTGTTTTGTTTTGTTTTGTTTTTTTTCCAGCAAACTTGTTTAGAGGAAGACTTAGTCCAAGGAATAACTCCATCCTCTCTTTGCCTCGAATGTTACAAACTCTTTGCTTAACTTTTTTTTTTTTTTTGAGATGGAGTCTCACTCTGTCACCCAGGCTGGAGTGCAGTGGCGCAATCTCAGCTCACTGCAACCTCTGCCTCCTGGGTTCAAGTGATTCTCCTGCCTCAGCCTCTCGAGTAGCTGGGATTACAGGCAACCGCAACCACGCCCGGCTAATTTTTTTTTTTTTTTAAGTAGAGACGGGGTTTCACCATCTTGGCCAGGCTGGTCTCGAACTCCTGACCTCGTGATCCACCCACCTTAACCTCCCAAAACGCTAGGATTACAGGCGTGCGCCACTGTGCCCGGCCTCTTGGCTTAACTTTTATTTAACCCTGGTTGTGTCCTCATCTCCTTCTTATGTCTCTCTGTGAAGTTACTCAGGAGTGCACCATGATCTTCTCTCTCACTTTCAGATGCAGTCAGAGGAACATTCAGGCCCTTTCTCACCCCTTTTCCCACCATAGGCAGACCCAATATAAGACTTATCAGGCCCCTCCCCTCCTCTTCCTGTCCAGATCTTCTTGCCTTCCCCAACCCAACTACAGTCTCCTACAGCCTGAGTTCTAGGGTCTGGGCAGTGACCCCGCCCCCACCCAGGCTGCTGGCCCTGTGACTTTAACTTTGCAGATGCTACAGTAACAGGTACAGGGCGGGGCCTGGAATTCATGGTCAAATGGCAAGAATCAAGACTTCACCCTGACCCCTCCTCACCTCTGTGCTCCCTCAGGTATTCTGCAGTGGTGAGTCTCTGCATATCCCACCCCCACCTCTGTGGCTGCCACTGCCATGAGCACTAATCTGGGTATTTCTTTTTCTTTTTTTTTCTTTTTTTTTAATTTGAGACAGCGTCTTGCTGTGTCGCCCAGGCAGGGTGGCATGCAATGACACAAACTCAGCTCACTGCAACCTCCGCCTCCCGGGTTCAAGCGATTCTCCTGCCTCAGTCTCCCGAGTAGCTGAGATTACAAGCATGCACCACCACACCTGGCGAATTTTTGTATTTTTAGTAGAGACGAAGTTTCACCATATTGGCTAGGCTGGTCTCGAACTCCTGACCTCAGGTGATCCGCCCACCTTGGCCTCTCAAAGTGCTGGGATTATAGGCGTGCCACATGGCGCCTGGTCTAATCTGGGTATTTCTGTGCTGCCCTTGGCCACAGCTGAAGCCAAACTTGGCCAGGTTCTCCAGCAAGTATAAGTATCAGGAGGGTCAGAAGCAGAAAGAAATCAAAGCTCAGACACTGGGGCTCACTGGAAGAAGTGAACGTCCAGATAACTATTTGGAGGAAGAGTCTGAGCAGGGTTGGAAAGACTTGGAAATCCAGGTATGGGTGTCAGCATGGTCAAAAGTTCAGTGTCTTGGACAGAGGCCATATTATTCCCAGGACAGTATGGGAAAGGACTAGGACTCCCACTTCCTTCGAGGGAGCCCCCTGGCCTGCTCCTTTCCACTGTACAGAAGCCCCAGGGACTGCCTCTGACTGGCTTCAGCCCCGACTTCAGAGATAGCATCACGCTGTTTTTTGTTTTGTTTTGTTTGTTTGTTTGTTTGTTTTGAGATGGAATTTCACTCTTGTCGTCCAGGCTGGAGTGCAATGGCATGATCTTGGCTCATTGCAACCTGTGCCTCCTGGGTTCAAGCTATTTTCCTGCCTCAGCCTCCCAAATCACTGGGATTACAGGTGCCTGCCACCACACGTGACTAGTTTTTGTATTTTTAGTAGATACGGGGTTTCACCTTGTTGGCCAGGCTGGTCTCGAACTCCTGACCTCAGGTGATCTGCCCGCCTTGGCTTTCCAAAGTGCTGGGATTACAGGCATGAGCCACCACACCTGGATGATAGCATGACCCTTGATGTGCCCTCCACCCTGTCTGGCAAGACCATTACAGGCACCAGCTGCCCAAAGTGAGGAGTCTGGGGAACAAGATGAAGTCACAGGTCACTAGGATCTTAAGAGGGATAAGGGCCTGGGAATACAGATCCTTGGGTTCTTGAGGGAATGGGAGTCTAAGCCCTGAGGGTCGTAGGTCCTGGAATGGGAAGTCTGTGTCTCACATGCAGGCCCCAGAAAAGCCCTTTCCCCTGCATGGGCAGCTGGTCCTGTATTTTGGACTGGCTTGACTTTGCCCATGTGGTCAGTGAGGGTTGCCCTTCTCTCCTGGTGCCCATTGGTGCCTCATGCCCTGTAGTATGACATTGTCCTGCTCTATGAAACCTAGGTCAGTGGTGTGGATGTCAGGAGTGTGGATGGGTGGTGGTAGGGATGGATAGGAGTGGCTCTGTGACTGCTGACCCCTAACCCCAGGAACCTGAAGACTGTCAGGCATTAGTCAGTGTCTGTGCCCAATTCCTGCCCAGCAGCACCCACTGTGCCCATCTGCTGCCCTCAGAGCAGCTGTTTCAGGTGGCCCTGCTTCGTGCACACAGCTAGGCAAGACCCTGTGACCCCCAACCCTGTCACTCCCAATACCAGGACCCCATTATGCTGCCCACACATTTGAAACACACCAAACCGTCAGTATGGCATATCATCATGTCGTAAAACAAGCAAAACAGGTACTTAGTTTAACAATAAAGCAGGATTTAAGAAGTTGGTCTTTTTCCATTCATGATGAAATGTTGGGCTCACTAAGTGCACAATAGAAATGAGGCATCCCAGCTGGGCACAGTGGCTCATGCCTGTAATCTCAGCACTTTGGGAGGACAAGGTGGGCGGATCACCTGAGGTCAGAAGTTCCATACCAGCCTGGCCAACATGGTGAAACCCTGTTTCTTTTTTTTTTTTCTCTTTGAGACAGAGTTTCGCTCTTTTTGCCCAGGCTGGAGTGCAATGGCACGATCTTGGCTCACTGCAACCTCCGCATCCTGGGTTCAAGCAATTCTCCTGCCTCAGCCTCCCCAGTAGCTGGGATTACAGGTGCCCGCCACCACGCCCGGCTAATTTTTTGTATTTTTAGTAGAGACGGGGTTTCACCATGTTGGCCAGGATGGTCTCGATCTCCTGACCTCATGATCCGCCTGCCTCGACCTCCCAAAGTGCTGGGATTACAGGCGTGAGCCACCGCGCCCTGCTTTTTTTTTTTTTTTTTTTTTTGAGATAGAGTTTCTCTCTTGTTGCCCAGGCTGGAGTGCAATGGTGGGATCTCAGCTCACCGCAACCTCCGCCTCCCGGGTTCAAGCAGTTCTCCTGCGTTAGCCTCCTGAGTAGCTGGGATTACAGGTACGTGCCACCACACCCAGCTAATTTTGTATTTTTAGTAGAGATGGGGTTTCTCCCTGTTGGTCAGGTTGGTCTCCAACTCTCATCATCAGGTGATCTGCCCGCCTCAGCCTCCCAAAGTGCTGGGATTACAGGTGTGAGCCACAGCGCGTGGCTTTTTTTTTTTTTTTTTTTGAGACTTTGAGACGGAGTCTCACTTTGTCACCAGGCTGGAGTGCAGTGGCACGATCTCGGCTCATTGCAACCTCCACTTCCTGGGTTCAAGCGATTCTCCTGCCTCAGCCTACCAAGTAGGTGGGACTACAGGCGCGTACCACCATGCCCAGCTAATTTTTGTATTTTTAGTAGAGACGGGGTTTCACTATGTTGGCCAGGATGGTCTCGATCTCTTGACATTGTGATTGTCCCGCCTCAGCCTCCCAAAGTGCTGGGATTACAGGCATGAACCACCGCACCCGGCCGAAACCCCATTTCTACTAAAAATACAAAAATTAGCCTGGCGTGGTGGCACACACCTGTACTCCCAGCTACTCGGGAGGCTGAGGTGGGACTGAGCCGAGATCGCGCCACTGCACTCCAGACTGGACGACAGAGCGAGCCTCCATCAAAAAAAAAGAAGAAGAAAAAGGAAAGAAAGAAAGGACGGAGGGAGGGAGGAAGGAAGGAAGGAACGAAGGAAGGAAGGAAGGAAAGAAGGAAGGAAGGAAGGAAGCATGGAGGCATCTCTGGGACCACATGATCATTGCAGCATCACCTCACCTCTTCTCCTCTCCCCATTCACTGCAGGGTTGTGGTTCTATACAGACTTTCTGCTTTGATCCAGGAACATGCTGCTACTCCACGACACAGGCTATGGCAGACCAAGAGGGAGTGTGGAGGACTGAGGGAAGCTTCATCCATCTGCATTCAGTGATGTCCTAGGGGCTGCACCCTACATCTGGCAGAGACATAATTTTTTTTTTTTTTTTTTGAGAGGGAGTCTCGTTCTTGTCACCCAGGCTGGAGTGCAATGGAGCAATCTTAGCTCACTGCAACCTCCGCCTCCCAGGTTCAAGCAGTTCTGCCTCAGCTTCCTGAGTAGCTGGGATTACAGGTGCCCACTGCCACACCCGGCTAATTTTTTTTTTTTTTTTTTTTTGAGACGGAGTCTTACTCTTTTGCCCAGGCCTGAGTGCAGTGGCGCTGTCTCGGCTCACTGCAAGCTCCGCCTCCTGGGTTCACGCCATTCTCCTGCCTCAGCTTCCCGAGTGGCTGGGACTACAGGCGCCCGCCACCATGCCTGGCTAATTTTTTGTATTTTTAGTAGAGACGGGGTTTCACTGTGTTAGCCGGGATGGTCTCGATCTCCTGACCTCGTGATCCGCCCGCCTCGGCTTCCCAAAGTGCTAGGATTACAGGTGTGAGCCACTGCGCCTGGCCTTTTTAAAATTTTTTTATATATTTATTTATTTTTTGAGATGGAGTTTCTCTCTTGTTGCCCAGGCTGGAGTGCAGTGATGTGATCTCTGCTCACTGCAACCTCTGCCTCCCAGGTTCTAGCGATTCTCCTGCCTCAGCCTCCTGAGTAGCTGGGACTACAGGCGCATGCTACCATACCTGGCTAATTTTTTTTTTTTTTTTTTTTTTAGTAGAGGTGGGGTTTCACCATGTTAGCCAGGATGGTCTCAATCTCCTGACCTTGTGATCCGCCCAACTCGGCCTCCCAAAATGCTGGGATTACAGGCTTGAGCCACCGCACCTGGCTACCCGGCTAATTTTTGTATTTTTAGTAGAGTTGGGGTTTCACCATATTGGCCAGGCTGGTCACGAACTCCTGACCTCAGGTGATCTGACCACCTTGGCCTCCCAAAGTGCTGGGATTATAGGTGTGAGCCACTGCGCCTGGCTCAGAGACATAAATTTTATTTTATTTATTTTAATTTTTTTGAGATGGAGTCTCACTCTGTTGCCCAGGCTGGAGTGCAGTGGCGCAATCTTGGCTCACTGCAAGCTCCGCTTCCTGGGTTCATGCCATTCTCCTGCCTCAGCCTCCTGAGTAGTAGCTGGGACTACAGGCGCCCGCCACCATGCTTGGCTAATTTTTTTGTATTTTTAGTAGAGACGGGGTTTGACTGTGTTAGCCAGGATGATCTCCATCTCCTGATCTCATGGTCCGCCCACCTCGGCCTCCAAAAGTGCTGGGATTACAGGCATGAGCCACTGTGCCTGGCCAATTTTATTTTTTTATTTTATTTTATTTTATTATTATTATTATTTTTTGAGATGGAGTCTTGCTCTGTCACCCAGGCTGGAGTGCAGTGGCGCTATCTTGGCTCACTGCAAGCTCCGCCTCCCACGTTCACACCATTCTCCTTCCTCAGCCTCCCAAGTAGCTGGGACTACAGGTGCCTGCCACTGCGCCCAGCTAATTTTTTGTTTTTGTATTTTTAGTAGAGATGGGGTTTCACCGTGTTAGCCAGGATGGTCTCGATCTCCTGACCTCATGATCCACCCGCCTCGGCTTCCCAAAGTGCTGGGATTACAGGCGTGAGCCACCACGCCTGGCCTATTTTATTTTATTTTATTTTATTTTATTTTATTTTATTTTATTTTATTTTTTGAGATGGAGTTTTGCTCTTGTCACCCAGGTTGGAGTACAGTGGCACAATGTTGACTCACTGCAACCTCTGCCTCCCAGGTTCAAGCGATTCTCTTGCCTCAGCCTCCTCAGTAGCTGGGATCACAGGTGCTGGCCACCTTGTCTGGCTAGTTTTGTTTTATTTTATTTTATTTTATTTTTGTGTTTTTAGTAGAGAGAGGGTCTCACCACATTGGCCAGGCTGGTCTTGAACTCCTGACCTCAGGTGATCTGCACGCCTCGGCCTCCCAAAGTCCTGGGATTACAGGCATGAGCCACCTGCACCCGGCCTCTTTGTTTGTTTATTTACTTATTTATTTTGAGACAGAGTTTCGCTCTTGTTGCCCAGGCTGTAGTGCAATGGCACGATCTCGGCTCACTGCAACCTCTGCCTCCTGGGTTCAAGCGATTCTTCTGCTGCAGCCTTTGGAGTAGCCGGGATTATAGGCGCCTGCCACCATGCCCAGCTAATTTTTTTTTGTATTTTTAGTAGAGACGGGATTTCACCATGTTGGCCAGACTGGTGTTGAATTCCTGACCTCAGGTGATCCACCTGCCTCGCCCTCCCAAAGTGCTGAGATTACAGGCGTGAACCACTGCGCCCAGTCTCTGAGACATAAATTATAGCAAGACAGGATTGGTGCAGTGAGGCTGGGAGGCAGGGGATCATAGAGGCCTGGAGTTGCAGCAAGAGGATTAAGACCTACATAGATGGAGAGTGTAGGCAGAGGAGCCCAGGCAGGGGAAACAGCTCATGCAAAAGACAGAAGATAAGAATAGGCAAGTGCCAGATCTCATAGGACCTTTTGGGCCAGGAGAGGGGCTTAACCTTTATCCCAGGGGAAGTGGGGAACCATGGAAGAGATTTAAGCAGGGAAGAGATGTGGGGAGAATTTATTGTTTGGTGGAAGGCCCAGATGCAAGCTCCCGAAATGATTCTGAGTGAGAGATGGCATTCTCTCTACTAGATTGGGGCCACTGGAGATGGAGGAAAAATTGACTCAAAACAGATTAGGGGTTCAAGGGGCCGGGCATGGTGGCTCACGCCTGTAATCCCAGCACTTTGGGAGGCCGAGGTGGGATCACCTGAGGTCAAAAGTTTGAGAGAAGCCTGGTGAACATGGTGAAACCCCGTCTGTACTAAAAATACAAAAATTAGCTGGGCGTGGTGGCGGGTGTCTGTAATCCCAGCACTTTGGGAGGCCGAGTTGGGCGGATCACAAGGTCAGGAGATTGAGGCCATCCTGGCTAACATGGCGAAACCCCACCTCTACCAAAAAAAAAAAAAAAAAATTAGCCAGGTATGGTAGCATGCACCTGTAGTCCCAGATACTTGGGAGGCTGAGGCAGGAGAATTGCTTGAACCTGGGAGGTAGAGGTTACAGTGAGCCAAGATCACAGCATTACACTCCAGCCTGGACAACTAGAGCAAAACTCTGTCTCAAAAAAAAAAAAAAAAAAAAGAGAGAGATTAGGAAACAGAAGGGGGGCTGAGGGGTGGGGGTAGGGATGTCCCCCTTGGATGAGGGCCAATCCAAGAAAGGTGGCAAGTAAGTGTTAATGAGTGGGGCTGATTGCCTCTTGCTGGCTTCCCTTGACCCTCTTGCTAGCTTGTGCACCTGCCATGGGTGAACACGTTGCCTGGGCTGGGGTCTTTGTACCCTGGGGCCTCAGGCATTTACAGGAGTTCCACCAGGCAGGCTCATGGAGGCAGCAAGGCCAGGCCTCTCCAGCACGATGCCTGAAGCCTGTGCCTGCCTGTTCTGCAGCATCTCAGCTCTGCTCCATGGGGATGGGCCTCAGTGAGTGTATGTGCCAGGCTTGAAGTGGCTTCAGGGTAGGGGTTGCAGGAGCACCATGAGGTTCATCTAATCTTTCCCTTCCTCTGCCAGCATGTGTGCCATCTGCAAGGTTCACTGAGCACTGAGTGGGGCCTGCTATGTGGGCAGTATCCCTGCCATCTTCATATCATTGGTCATACTTGTGACCACTGTGTGCCTGGAAAGCAGGCTTTGGGCCTCTGGCTGCAGTGATGAGCCTTCAGGGCCTGTAGGCATGAGGTTGGGGGCCAGCTGTCTCCTGTCCTTGCATGGCTTGATTGCTTTGTCATTCTCCACAGAGTGCCACTGATATGCTGAAGGTACCACCAGTGCCATCTATAACCCTGTGTATGGGCAGTGCATGTTCCAGGAAGGACTTGCTGGTTGCTGCCGTGACTACTGCCTCCCTGGCTACTGAAGCTTTTGGCAGTGCCAGCCCTGTGCCTGCAATGGGCATGCTGAGTTGTGCCACCCCCTTATATGTATCTGCCAGGCCTGCCAGGCTGGCACTGTAAAAGGTGAGCACTGTCATTGGATGGGTTGAACAGGCCCCATACCATGTGCTACTGCCCCCAGGTGCTTGGATGGCTACTATGGAGACCCCACTCTAGGCTTGGGCCAGCGGTGCTGGCTCTGCCTTTGTCCTGGGCACCCCAATTCCAGCCTCTATCATGGGAGTTCCTGCCATGTGGACAGCATGAGTGGGCATATCCTAGTCTTCTGTTTACCTGGCTATGCAGGTGAGGCATGGTTGGCAGTGACAAAGCCACAGCCCTGGTCAATTGTTCACAATCCCATCAGGTCCACATGACAAATCTTCCCAATGCCACCTGTATGCTGAGCTGGGCACCATCTTCAAGGAGTTCCTGTTCTGAGGAAGGAGGGCTGAATGGGGGGAATTATAGGTATAGACCTTGAAAGCCAGGAAGATGGGCTATAATATACCTATTGTGTCCCTCCTGGCCAGACCTCAGACTTTCTGGCTGCATATCTGAGACCCACAGGCCCCCAGGGTACAGGAAGACACATATACCCCAGTCCTCTCCAGGCCTCAGCTGTGACCACTGCTTCTGTGGCTATTTTGGGCACCTGGCCAGGAGGATACCCCAGAAGAGTCCATACCGGTCTGCCAGTGTGGCAATATCAATCTCCATGATCCTGCTGCCTGTGACCCCCACAGTGGGCACTGCCAGCATTCTGTGCACCACAGCCATGTCCCTGCCTATGCCCACGGCAAGCCTGGCTTCCGCAGCAGTGACCTGTGTTGCGGGAAGTCAGGGACCCCAAATGGAGGGACCGGCTGAAGCCATGGCAGAAGAACGTGGATTGTGAAGATTTCATGGACATTTATTAGTTCCCCAAATTAATACTTTTATAATTTCTTATGCCTGTCTTTACTGCAATCTGTAAACATAAATTGTGAAGATTTCATGGACACTTATCACTTTCCCAATCAATACCCTTGTGATTTCCTATGCCTGTCTTTACTTTAATATCTTAATCCTGTCATCTCGTAAACTGAGGAGGATGTATGTCGCCTCAGGACCCTGTGATGATTGCATTAACTGCACAAATTGTAGAGCATGTGTGTTTGAACAATATGAAATCTGGGCACCTTGAAAAAAGAACAGGATAACAGCAATGTTCAGGGAACAAGAGAGATAACCTTAAACTCTGACCGCTGGTGAGCCAGGCGGAACAGAGCTGTATTTCTCTTCTTTCAAAAGCAAATGGGAGAAATATCGCTGAATTCTTTTTCTCAGCAAGGAACATCCCTGAGAAAGAGAATGCGCCTCTGAGAGTAGGCCTCTAAAATGGCCCCCTTGGGTGTGGCCATCTTCTGTGGTCGAAACTGTAGAGATGAAATAAGCCCCAGTCTCCCATAGCGCTCCCAGGCTTATTAGGATGAGGAAATTCCCGCCTAATAAATTTTGGTCAGACAGGTTGCTCTCAAACCCTGTCTCCTGATAAGATGTTATCAGTGACAATGGTGCCCGAAACTTCATTAGCAATTTTAATTTTGCCCCAGTCCTGTGGTCCTGTGATCTCGCCCTGCCTCCATTTGCCTTGTGATATTCTATCACCTTGTGAAGCATGTGATCTCTGTGACCCACACCCTATTCATACACTCCCTCCCCTTTTGAAAATCACTAATAAAAACTTGCTGGTTTCACGGCTCAGAGGGCATCATGGAACCTACCGACATGTGATGTCTCCCCCAGACGCCCAGTTTTAAAATTTATCTCTTTTGTACTCTGTCCCTTTATTTCTCAACCTGGCCGATGCTTAGGGAAAACAGAAAAGAACCTGTGTGACTATTGGGGGCAGGTTCCCCTATAGACCTGGGCTCAGAGGGCTGCCAGCATGAGTTTGTGGGTGGGGACATCCCAGGGTGACCGGGTAGGATTTTCACTCCCCAGATTGGCCAAGCCTTCCTCTCCCCAGGCTACAGTTGTGACCCTTGAGACAATGTCCTCATGTGGTGCCCATCTGAGGCTGAAGCCTGTGCTGCCCCCGCACTCTGGGGCAAGACTGCAGCCACTGTGCCCCCCTCTTCTGGAACCTGGGAGACCCCTGGGGCTGTGAACTCTGTGGCTTTCATGCTCAATACACTTTGCAATCAATGTGCCACCCAGTGAGTAAGCCCATATTGTACATAGCATGTGGTCATAGCCAGGTGTGAGTGAACTTGCACTTGCCTATGACACAATGTGACTTATGGCTGCTGTGAGTGAATGTGACCACCAGCACCAGTACTGGTACATGGGGCTGCAAACAGCTGTGTGAGTCTCTGCTCTCATGTGGCGTTAACTATAAGGTGGTGTCAGGGTGTGGGGGAGTATGGACACGAGGCTGCATGTCCCCAGTCCCACATGCAGCCATGCACTAATTTGTGAGTGAACCACTGTGAGTAGGTCATGGCAAGCAGAGTGAGCGTGATGAGGGGTGGAGACAAGAGTGGGGCTGGAAGGAGAAGGAGACTGAGGAGGTACAGGTGGAGGGTTAGGATTGAGATCTGGTGCAGGCAGAGAGAGATGGCCATGGGAAGCAAGCGTTTCTGGGAGGAAAGTGGTCAGAGACTGAATGAGATGAAGCTTGAAGTGTGTTCCTGTGTCCTTGGCAAGGAGAGGGGTGGGAGTCAGACTCAGGGAGTGAGTGAGGCATAGGAGGAGGGGCATGGAAACAGTGGGTATGCAACTCAGGACATGGGGAAACTAAGGGCAACAGATCAGGAGATGAGAACTAGTGGGTCCATGGGAAGCAAGGGCTGGCAATGTGGGAAGGTGCAGATTGGCCAAGGCAGCAGGCCAGAGTATCAAGGGAACCAACCCCCAATATTTCAACATAGATTCTTTCTATTTTCCCTAAGTGTCAGCAGGTCTAAGAAATAAAGAGAAAGAGTACAAAGAAAAATTTTACAGCTGGGCCTCCGGGAGTATCATCACACATTGGTAGGACCGTGATGGTGACCCCAAGCCACAAAACCAGCAAGTTTTTATTAGGGATTTTAAAAGGGGAGGGGGTGTACAAACAGGGAGTAGGTCACAAGGATCACATACTTCAAAGAACAATAAAGATCACAAGGCAAAGGCAAAATTAGAATTACTGATGAGGGTCTATGTCCCATTGTACACAGATTGTCTTGATAAACATCTTAACAGGAAACAAGGTTTGAGAGCAGACAACCGGTCTGACTAGAATTTACCAGGCTGGAATTTCCCAATCCTAGTAAGCCTGAGGGTACTGCAGGAGACCAGGGCATATTTCAGTCCTTATCTCAACCACATAAGACACAAACTCCCAGAGTGGCCGTCTATAGACCTTCCCCCAGGAATGCATTCCTTCCCTAGGGTATCAATTATTAATATTCCTTGCTGGGAAAATAATTCAGCGATATTTCTCCTACTCGCACATCCATTTATAGGCTCCCTGAAAGAAGAAAAATATGGCTCTATTCTGCCCGACCCTGCAGGCAGTCAGACCTTATGGTTATCTTCCCTTGTTCCCTGAAAATTGCTGATATTCTGTTCTTTTTCAGGGTGCACTGATTTCATATTGTTCGAACACACATATTTTACAATCAGATTTCATATTGTTCAAACACACAAGTTCTACAATCAATTTGTACAATAGTGGTCCTGAGGTGATGTATATTCTCGGCTTATGAAGATAACAGGATTAAGAGATTAAAGACAGGCATAAGAAATTATAAGAGTATTATTGGGGAAATAATAAATGTCCATGAAATCTTCACAATTTATGTTCAGAGATTGCAATAAAGACAGGCATAAGAAATTATAAAAGTATTAATTTGGGGAACTGATAAATGTCCATGAAATCTTCACAATTTATGTTCTTCTGCCTCGGCTCCAGCCGGTCCCTCCAGTCAGGGTCCCTGACTTCTCACAACACCAGAGAAAGCAGGAAGGGAGAGGCTCTCAGCCAAATGCAAGTGTGGGTGCTGCCTTGGGCAGGAACACAGCTGGGAGGAAATACAAGTATGTGTGTGCCATGCATGTCTAAGCACTCAAGTCCTTTTCCCTCTCCCAGAGAAGGGTCTTTGGCCCTGCTGACCAGGCTATGCTTTCTTCCTTCAGGTCACAGGTCAGTGCCCCTGCTGGGCAGCGTCTGGGAGCTGCAAATGCTCCCAGTTGCAGAATGGGTATTGGGGTGACCCTGAGCAGGAGTGCAGAGGTGAGAGGGGCACTTGCACATTCCACAGCCAGGGGTGAGGCTGCCCTGCAGGGGCTGCTCAATATGGAGTAGCAAGGGAGTGTTTGGGGTTTTCCTGAGGGAGAACACAGCACGTTTATTGCTGTTTCCCCAAAGAACTTAAAGAAATACTTGTGAAAACAGCTGAAGGGAAACAGCAAGGCTAGGCGAGGGATGCCTATAGAGAGGACACATCAGGTGGCTCTTTCCTCACCCTGCCTGCCAGCCCTTGACTCTGGTTGACCCCTGACAGGGCTGTAGAGCCCCTGGAACCCTGTGCTGTTTTCCTGCCCAAATACTGCCATGCAGTATGGCCTCTCTGTCCAGGGTAAATGCCAGTGCCCATGGCAGTTCTGAGCAGTGGCTTAGGCAAGGGTTGGTGTGCACCCTCACACCTACACAGGGCCATTCTCATCCTTCAGTATTTTTTTTTTTTTTTGAGACGGAGTCTCGCTCTGTCGCCCAGGTTGGAGTGCAGTGGTGAGATCTCAGCTCACTGCAAGCTCCGCCTCCCAGGTTCATGCCATTCTCCTGCCTCAGCCTCCTGAGTAGCTGGGACTACAGGTGCCCGCCACCACGCCCGGCTAATTTTGTTTTTGTATTTTTAATAGAGACGGGATTTCACCATGTTAGCCAGGATGGTCTCAATCTCCTAACCTCGTGATCTGCCCGCCTCAGCCTCCCAAAGTGCTGGGATTACAGGCGTGAGCCACCGTGCTCAGCCCCTTCAGACATTTTTTTTTGAGACGGGCTCTCACTCTGTCACCCAAGCTGGAGTGCAGTGGCACAATCTTGGCTCATTGCAGTCTCAACCTTCCAGGCTCAAGGGATCCTCCCGCCTTATCTCCTGAGGAGCTGGGACCACAGGTGTGCCCCACCATGTCCAGCTAATTTTTGTATTTTTTGTAGAGATGGGGTTTTTCCATGTTGCCCAGGCTGGTCTTGAACTCCTGAGCTCAAGTGATCCACCCACCTTAGCCTCCCACAGACCTATTATTTTTTCAGAAATAGGGTCTCATGGGTCAGGCACAGTGGCTCACGCCTGTAATCCCAACACTTTGGGAGGCCGAGGCGGGTAGATCATGAGGTCAGGAGTTTAAGACCAGCCTAGCCAATATGGTGAAACCCCGTCTCTACTAAAAATACAAAAAAAAAAAAATTAGCCAGGCATGTTGGCGGTTGCCTGTAGTCACAGCTGCTCAGGAGGCTGAGGCAGGAGAATTGCTTGAACCTGGGAGGTGAAGGTTGCAGTGAGACGAGATCGCACCACTACACTTACAGAGCGAGACTCTGTCTCACAAAAAAAAAAAAAGGAAAAGAAATAGGGTCTCACTCTGTCACCTGGGCTGGAGTACAGTGGCATGATCTTAGCTCACTACAGCCTCAACCTCCCAGGTTCAAGTGATCCTCCCACCTCATCCTGCTGAGTAGCTGAGACTACAGCACACGCCGCCACACCTGGCTAATTTTTAAATTTTTTTGTAGAGACAGGATCTCCCTATGTTGCTCAGGCTGGTCTCAAACTCCTGAGCTCAAGTGATCCTCCTGCCTCAGCCTCCCAAAGTGGTGGGGTTACAGGTGTGAGTCACTGCACCTGGCCCATCCTTCAGGTCTCTCGAAGGTAAGGCTAGAGCTAGTGTCATCTGCTCTCTACCCTGACCCTATCTCTCCTCTGCAGCCTGTGCCTGTGACCCACAGGGCTCCATCTTGCCCAGCTGTGATTCACACATGGGCACCTGCTTCTTCAGAGAGGGCATCTTAGGGCTGAGGTGCCAGGCATGTGCTCATGGCTCCAGAGGTGCCTTCCCACACTGCACCTCCTGTCCCACCTGCTTCACCTTCTGAGACCAACTCCTGGCTCTGCTCCCACTGCAGCTGGAAGCTGTGGCCCAAGAGGTGGCCACCCTATGCTAGGGGATGCCTGGTGGGGGTGTTAGGGGCCAGGGTGGACACCTGCAGGTCCTAGATTGGGTACTGTAGCAGGCACAGGCTGCTCCCTCCAACCTGGGACCCTGCCCACTGTTCAGTGGGCTCTTGTTGCCTTCCACAACTCCTCCCATAGCCTGGACATAGAGTCACAGCCTTGGAGCAGCATCAACAACAGGTACACAGCCAGGGGGACTGTGGGTGGGAGCCATGGGGGAGTCACAGGAAACCATGGCTTGGACATGGTGTTGTAGGCAACATATTCCACATCTGACCCACGCCCACCAGCTGCAGCAAATCCAGGCCATAGCAAGCTCCACAGGAATCCAGGCACAGGAGACATGGTATTGGGAAAGGGGACCTTGGGGCATGACTGCCATGACCCACATGCAAGCAGCCGTGCAGATCATCCAGCGCTTCCTCATGGGTACATATCTGCTTGTTGCATGTCTGTTCACAGCCAAGGGCAGGGTTAATAGGGTATGCAGGACACTATCATGATACTCCTTCCAGAATGAGGAATATTCATCAGGGCTGACCAGGGGTCAAGTGGGAACACTAGTGTGTGCGTAAATTTTTTTTTTTTTTTTGAGAGGGAGTCTTGCTCTGTCACCCAGGCTGGAGTGCAGTGGTGCAATCTCGGCTCACTGCAACCTGCGCCCCCCGGGTTCAAGCGATTCTCCCACCTCAGCCTCCCAAGTAGCTGGGATTACAGGCACACTGTAATTTTTTTTTGTATTTTTAGTAGAGACGGGGTTTCACCATCTTGGCCAGGCTGGTCTTGAACTCCTGACCTCATGATCCACCCGCCTTCGCCTCCCAAAGTGCTGGGATTACAGGCGTGAGCCACCGCATCTGGCCATGTGTGTAGATAAATTTTTAACAACTGGCTGTGAGTCAGGGGAAACTGATTTTTAGCATTTGTCAATATCCATGATGTAAGTAATGCTATCATGATTGATTTCAGTCCATACCATTTGACAACTTATTTGCAAAATTCCTGAAAATTTAACAATTGGCTCTTTTTATTTTAGTATTATTATTATTATTTTTGAGAGGGAGAGTCTCGCTCTGTCACCCAGGCTGGAGTGCAGTGGCGTGATCTCGGCTCACCACAACCGCCACCTCCTGGGTTCAAGCGATTCTCCTGCCTCAGCCTTCTGAGTAGCTGGGATTACAGGCACCCGCCACCACATCCAGCTAATTTTTGTTATTTTTAGTAGAGATGAGTTTTCACTACATTGGCCAGGCTGGTCTCAAACTCCTGACCTTGTAATCTGCCTGCCTTGGCCTCCCAAAGTGCTGGGATTACCCTTTTTTTATTATCATTTTATTTTTTATTTTTTTTAGAGACAGAGTCTCGCTCTGTCACCCAGGCTAGAGTGCAGTGGTGTGATCTTGGCTCACTGCAAGCTCCGCCTCCCGGGTTCAAGCAATTCTCCTGCCTCAGCCTCCTGAGTAGCTGGGAGTACAGGCACATGCCACCATGCCTGGCTAATTTTTTGTATTTTAGTAGAGATGGGTTTTCACCGTGTTGCTCAGGCTGGTCTCGAACTCCTGAGCTCAGGCAATCTGCCTGCTTCGGCCTCCCAAAGTGCTGGGATTACAGGCGTGAGCCACTGCGCCCGGCCAACAATTGCCTCTTGTAAGCCTCCAGCACACCACTGGATAGTTGTGTCTAAGGCAGGATCAGTGAGAGGCTAGGGTCAGGGTTTGTTGGCTCAGAGTTCAGGGTTCAGGCCTAAGATCCCTACCCTCTTCCCCACAGACAAAGGTGTGGACACCACAAGTGTGGAGCTGGCTGTCAGTGCCCCTTCCCCAAGGTGGGGGCAGTAGGCATTGCTCTTCTGCTGGGTCAGATCCAGGGTGCTCTCCCTGTACCGGATGCCATGGGCCAGAAGCTGCCCAAAGCTGAAGGCATCCTCCATCAGGCAGAGTGAACCAGGTGAAGGGCCAGGAGGCTGGAGGTGGAAGTCAGAGGGTGGCCAGAAAAGGGATGCCTAACTGAACACCTGTGTTCTTCAAGGAGGGTACAACCTGGGCCCAGCACCAAGCACTGGATGTTCAGGGGGTGCTGGCTGAGGGGGGAATGGAACTCATGCAGGGGCCGCAGAGCAAGGGCTACAGGAAGTGAAGCTGGCACTTGAAGGCCTGGAGGGCACTGTACAGGAGGTGATACCCTACTTGTACCCTCAGCTCCTTTACATCCCTTGTTCAATGACTGCTGTGATTTCCATTCTCCCTGAGATCCTTGACTCACTATGATACCACAGTGCTACCAAGTACCTTGACCGTGATAACACTCAGCCTAGTTGCTACTGTGCTGTGTCCTCTCTGTGACCCCCTAACCTTTGCCCCAGGTAGTAGGGCGCCTGGCCCAGATGGCACTGGCAGTTGAGGTGACCCCAGTCCCAGGGCGTCTGTCCAGTGTAGCTAAGGTGCTCAGGGCATGTTTTGTCCTGAGTCAGCAGCAGGCCCAGGAGGCAGAAGAATGGGCAGCATGAGTCGTAGGCAGGGCTGAGGGCCTGGGCAAGATGAAATGGGGAAGAGTGGGCACTGGGGTCTCAGGGACCCCTCTGGAACAGTGGAAAGTGGGGTTTGGGCTGGGGCTGGGCTATACTGGACTGAGGCGGGATCTCAGTTCTAAATTCTCCTTTTCTCCAGGAACCTTAGGCAGTAATATATTTGAGGCAATATATTCTGGGTGGGGTGGGGATTCAGGTCCAGCCCTGCCCTAGGAGTTGTAGGTGGCCCCTTTGGCTGTGGCCGAGCTGCAGGAGGACACATATGGCCTGGTAGCCACTGTGCAGGATGCAAAAGAATGGGTGCAGCAGGCTTGAGCTGAGGCCCAGGAGCTCCTGAAGAAGGCATAAAGCAGCTTCAGCTGCCTGCATGGTGCATGGCTGGCCTGCAATAGGGCAGGCACAGGGAACGGCTTAGGGTCAGATGGAAAGGTCAGGGCCAGAATAGGGATGTTGTGGAAGGGTTAAGGCTGGGTCCAGATCAGATCTTGACTCATGTAGGGATCAGGGCTAGGGTCAAGGTTTAGACCAGGGATCAAGTGTTGATTAGGTTCAGGGTTTATTTAAGGTTAGGGCTGGGTCAGGGTCAGGGTTGTGATAGAGACTGGGACCAGGATCAGAGGTTAGAGCCAGGGGTCAGAGCCTGGCTCAGATGACCTGACCCCAGGGTTGGAGTGCCGCCTGACACAGAATGCACAGGCACTGGGCAAGAAGGCAGCCACCCTGCAGGCCCTGGAGCAGCAGGCAGCTGAGCTGCTTGGGCACATGATGTGCTTTGCCACCAATAAGTATGCCACCTGCTAATTACTGTCTATGGAAGCCATTAAGAAGGACTGTGGGATCACCTGGGTAACTCAAAGTGGCCCTAGAGTGATCCAGGAATCTCCTGGCCTTGGGAGACCAAAGATCCTACTGAGTGCCCACTGACCCTGAGTGACCCCCCCATGTGGCCCCACGATGTCCCCCAGTGGCCCTCTGACCTTGAGAAAGCAGACAGATCATGTAACTCCCTGAGGCCATCTAGTGTCCCAGACCTTGATACACCTTTATCTCTGAGTGATCTAAAACTGTGAGACTACAGTGCTGGCATTCTCCACTCAAAATAAATAGATGGGGCCTGGCACTATTTACTGGCTCATGCCTGTAATCCCAGCGCTTTCGGAGGCAGAGGCGGGAGGATCACCTGAGATCAGGAGTTCAAGACCAGCCAAGCCAACATGGTGAAACCCCATGTCTACTAAAAATAGAAACATTAGCTGGGCGTGGTGGTGGGCGCCTGTAATCCTAGCTACTTGGGAAGCTGAGGCAGGAGAATCGCTTGAACCTGGGAGGCAGAGGTTGCAGTAAGCGGAGATCTCGCCACTGCACTCCAGCCTGGGTGACAGAGCGACACTCTGTCTCAAAAAAAAAAAAAAAATTAAAATTCTCAGTAATTTCTAGTATCCCTGATCCCCCAGGTTGACTACATGATCCTCAGGGTGACTGGAGACCTCTACTCCGGATATCCAGAATAACTCCCAGCGATGCCTAAAGTCCAACGGATTGACTGACCCCCACCCAACCCTCACCCAACCCCCACCCCCGCCGCCCCCATGCTCCTTTGTGAAGTGGGGTGATTCCCCTGAGGAACTATCATCAGCTTTCTTCCCTGGATGGCAGCTCAGGGCACTCCCTGCCGGGACTGTGGAGGCGGCAGGCCAGACCCAGCCCTAAAGACCGGAGGACCCCATGTTTCCCCCAGCTTCCCGTTCCCAGGGCCCTGGGTGGGGCGCGCCCCATATCCCCCACCCACTTTCCTCCTTCTCTCCCCCTCCACGCCGCCGCGCACATTCCAACCCCAGGCTCCTGCGATCCCGGCAGGCCAAAAAGTCTGGAGCGGATAAATAGCCACAAGATCCGGAGTCGCTCGCCGTAGCTCTGGTCCACCACCCAGAGCCTATTTCCATACAGGGAAACCCGCAGCACTTCTCGTGCCTACTTACCGTAGTGACTAGTGGGGGAGGCAGTGACCCCCCTGGAGCTGTGCTTCGGGCTGGGTGTGCACTTTCCCCATCTCTCCCCCAGCCCCATTCTGTCCAGTCCCTAGGACTACCCGAGAGCCCCCCACAGCCCTGAATAGGGGCATGTGTTGCTCCTGCTTGTGCCCTCCAGCCTCTCTGTTGATGCTGGAGCCCTGGGATCAAACGGCTGAGTTGATGGTAATTTCCACGGCGCCCATGACGCTGAGGGGAAAAGGCTACGGTCTCCTTGGTCCAGAGTTGGAGATCCCGAAGATCTCTCATTTGCTCCTGCCATGCCCCCAACTTCGTGAGCCCTCTTCCAAGGATAGTTTAAAGCACCAAACCCCTTACCTTCCCCTGGCCCTCGTATAGGTGTGGGCTTGGGGGCACAATAAAGATTTGTGGGTGAAGTGGTCTGTCTCTGGTTCCTGGGGCGAAGGCAGTTTCCGGAGGGAAGGGGTAGGGTTGGGGTGGGGGCGCTCTCCGCCCGGTGTTGCGCTCCTTCCCAGAATCCGCTCCGGCCTTTCCTTCCTGCCGCGATTCCCAACTTTGCTCAAAGTCGCTGGACTCTAAGCTGTCGGAGGGACCGCTGGACAGACCTGGGAACTGACAGAGGGCCTGGAGGGAAACAGGCCAAAGACCCACAGGCAGAGTTGACACGGAACCCCAAAGCAAGGAGGAGGGCTCGGGCCCGAGACCGTTCACCTCCCCTTATCCCTGTTCCCCTCTTCAGGATGGAGCTGACCTCAAGGGAAAGAGGGAGGGGACAGCCTCTGCCCTGGGAACTTCGACTGGGCCTACTGCTAAGCGGTGAGAGGGCCTGGTGGGGGCTGGGGGTTGTGGAATGTGATGGTAGGTCCTGGTAGTTGCCCTTGGGGCACATGAGGTGGAGCCACTGGATAGGAACTCAGCGGAACTGACTGAGCTACTGTCCCCAGTGCTGGCTGCCACACTGGCACAGGCCCCTGCCCCGGATGTGCCTGGCTGTTCCAGGGGAAGCTGCTACCCCGCCACGGGCGACCTGCTGGTGGGCCGAGCTGACAGACTGACTGCCTCATCCACTTGTGGCCTGAATGGCCCCCAGCCCTACTGCATCGTCAGTCACCTGCAGGTGTGGCTGGGGACAGGGTGTGACGCCGAGTCAGGGTGGGGCTGGCACTGCCTGAGGCACTGATTCTAATCCCCATCCAACCCAGGACGAAAAGAAGTGCTTCCTTTGTGACTCCCGGCGCCCCTTCTCTGCTAGAGACAACCCACACAGCCATCGCATCCAGAATGTAGTCACCAGCTTTGCACCACAGCGGCGGGCAGCCTGGTGGCAGTCAGAGAATGGTGAGGCCATGGGTGGGGCAAAAGTGAGCAGGGCTGCCCACCAGTAGCTTTGAGTCCTTGACTTCCGATTCCTGTCCCAGGTATCCCTGCGGTCACCATCCAGCTGGACCTGGAGGCTGAGTTTCATTTCACACACCTCATTATGACCTTCAAGGTGCCTGCATATCTGGGAGCCTGCCCGAATCACCCTGCTTGGCTCTCCATTGCCCCTGGACAGAGCCTCAGCTCCTTAACACAGCCTCCTTGAGCATGGATGCAGGAGGCTCCTTCATCCCTTCACACCTTCCATTTGCCTCCAGGCCTTTGCACATGCTCTTCTGCCTTTCCAATCCCAGGCTGGGTCAGGCGCTGTCTCCCTGAGCCCCATGAACCCTGAGTCTCCCCATTAGAGGTGGCTACCTTTGCTGGTCATTATCTGGCTTCCACCAGTCACCCCCACTCTCTGTGAGCTATTTGAGGGCAGTCTTGGGCTGAGCAGGGCTCTTGATGGCTCTGGGTTGGGCTTGGGTCCTGGTGCCTGCTGATCAGCTATGCCCCCCTACCCAGACATTTCGCCCTGCTGCCATGCTGGTGGAACGCTCAGCAGACTTTGGCCGCACCTGGCATGTGTACCGATATTTCTCCTATGACTGTGGGGCTGACTTCCCAGGAGTCCCACTAGCACCCCCACGGCACTGGGATGATGTAGTCTGTGAGTCCCGCTACTCAGAGATTGAGCCATCCACTGAAGGCGAGGTGAGGGCTGGCATCTGGGCTGGGGGCTGGAAGCTGGGGATGATGGGCCTGAGGCAAGGTCCAGTGTGACTATGAACTCCCTGCTTCTCCAGGTCATCTATCGTGTGCTGGACCCTGCCATCCCTATCCCAGACCCCTACAGCTCACGGATTCAGAGTGAGTGCTCCACCCTTTGAGTCTGGCACAGTCCGTGTCCGGCTAGGGACTATTTGGGGCCTCAGTAACTATTTTGGGTGCTTCCTAGGGCAGGTGCCAAGCCCAGTTTAGCTCGGGTGGCAGTGTATAGGAGGTCTTTCAAGGTGACCTTGGCAGCTGAGCCCCTGGGTGGACATGGGGCAGCAAGGGCCTGCCTGGTCAGTTGGCCCCCCTTCCCCCGCCTCAGACCTGTTGAAGATCACCAACCTACGGGTGAACCTGACTCGTCTACACACGTTGGGAGACAACCTACTCGACCCACGGAGGGAGATCCGAGAGAAGTACTACTATGCCCTCTATGAGCTGGTTGTACGTGGCAACTGCTTCTGCTACGGACACGCCTCAGAGTGTGCACCCGCCCCAGGGGCACCAGCCCATGCTGAGGGCATGGTAAGGGGCTTCAGACGGTTGGGATAGGGCTAGGGGCAGGGGCGGACATGGCTGAGCAGTGCTGACAACCTACCTGCCAACCTCTATAGGTGCACGGAGCTTGCATCTGCAAACACAACACACGTGGCCTCAACTGCGAGCAGTGTCAGGATTTCTATCGTGACCTGCCCTGGCGTCCGGCTGAGGACGGCCATAGTCATGCCTGTAGGAGTGAGTGAGATCTTGGCCTCCATAGCTCCAGCACTCTGCAGCCTGGCTGTGCCCTGGGTAGAACCTAGAGCTAGTTGGTCAAGCCCCTAAAACCCAGGCTGTATCCAAAGAGTATGCAGACCTTGATGCCCCTTGGGACCCCCTCAATCCTCCTCTGCAGTCTGCTCTGGGTAGGGAACCAGTATGATGCTGAGGCCTTGAAGTCCCTGAGCCCCTACCCACAAATTCTGGCCTGTGATAGGGATCTAAGGTGGCCTACTTCTTACCCTTGTGACCTGGTTCCTCATGTGGCCTTTGCCCTGCCCTTCCTCCCCTGCCAGAGTGTGAGTGCCATGGGCACACCCACAGCTGCCACTTCGACATGGCCGTATACCTGGCATCTGGCAATGTGAGTGGAGGTGTGTGTGATGGATGTCAGCATAACACAGCTGGGCGCCACTGTGAGCTCTGTCGGCCCTTCTTCTACCGTGACCCAACCAAGGACCTGCGGGATCCGGCTGTGTGCCGCTGTGAGGCTGGGATTGGGCACGGGGAGAGAAAGCTGAGCCTGGGGCAGGAACTAGAGAGCTGGACTGCTGTCTAAATTGCAGGAAATTGGGGTTAGGGGCTTGGGATAGAACTTGACCAGGGATCCAGGGTGGGATCCCTTAGGCTTAGGAGAGGACTGGCAGTGAGCTAGTTGAGATAGGGTGAGTGACCCTGTATCTCTTTTTGCCGTCAGCCTGTGATTGTGACCCCATGGGTTCTCAAGACGGTGGTCGCTGTGATTCCCATGATGACCCTGCACTGGGACTGGTCTCCGGCCAGTGTCGCTGCAAAGAACATGTGGTGGGCACTCGCTGCCAGCAATGCCGTGATGGCTTCTTTGGGCTCAGCATCAGTGACCGTCTGGGCTGCCGGCGTATGTGTCTCCTGCCCTAACTTCTATGCTGACCTTTAACCCCTGTCCTCTTACTCCTGACTCAGCTGAACATGAGCACTGCCACAGTTTCCCAAAGTGCTGATGGTTCTCCTTCCCTGCAGGATGTCAATGTAATGCACGGGGCACAGTGCCTGGGAGCACTCCTTGTGACCCCAACAGTGGATCCTGTTACTGCAAACGTCTAGTGACTGGACGTGGATGTGACCGCTGCCTGGTGCGACTGGAAGGGGCTGGAGTTCTAGGGGCATGATTTGTCCTTAGAGCACAGGGCTGGGGTGTCACATCTATGCCAGTGGGTGGGTGCTGAGAGCTTAGGATCCAGTCCTGGCTGAGAAGCCTCAGGTCTGGGAGGCCAAGGATGTGGGCCAGTGGTCTGGGGGGCATGTTTTCACTGAGGGGTGATTGAGGCTAAGACGTGTGGTTGGGATTTCCTGCTGGGTGGTGATGGGGTCTGGAGGTCTGTTTCTGGCCCCCAGCAACTCCTTTCGTGCAGCCTGGCCACTGGGGCCTGAGCCACGACCTGCTCGGCTGCCGCCCCTGTGACTGCGACGTGGGTGGTGCTTTGGATCCCCAGTAAGTGTTGTAAAGGGGGCCTGGGAAGGGATGGGGAAAGATCCTGAGCAGAAGAGAAGGTTCTTCTTGAGTAACCACAGAGTTCCCTCCAGGTGTGATGAGGGCACAGGTCAATGCCACTGCCGCCAGCACATGGTTGGGCGACGCTGTGAGCAGGTGCAACCTGGCTACTTCCGGCCCTTCCTGGACCACCTAATTTGGGAGGCTGAGGACACCCGAGGGCAGGTGTGGGGCCTCCCCCTAAGCAGAGGGCTGGATGTGGGTGGACACGTCTATGACTGGAGAGGTGGGGTTATGGGCAGTACCTTGTTGAGGGGATAGGGGTGATATCTAGCTTTGGCAGGAGAAATGGGGTTTGGGGCTGGCTGTGGCAGAAGAGGCAAAGCCTCACCTGAGCCTCCATCCCTGGCTGCATTATCTCCCAGGTGCTCGATGTGGTGGAGCGCCTGGTGACCCCCGGGGAAACTCCATCCTGGACTGGCTCAGGCTTCGTGCGGCTACAGGAAGGTCAGACCCTGGAGTTCCTGGTGGCCTCTGTGCCGAAGGCTATGGACTATGACCTGCTGCTGCGCTTAGAGCCCCAGGTTAGACCCTGTTATCTAATCTGGGGCTGAACCTCTGGGTGTGGGAGCATCTCCTCCATCATCCCGTTTTCCCAGGTCCCTGAGCAATGGGCAGAGTTGGAACTGATTGTGCAGCGTCCAGGGCCTGTGCCTGCCCACAGCCTGTGTGGGCATTTGGTGCCCAAGGATGATCGCATCCAAGGGACTCTGCAACCACATGCCAGGTGAGGGCACTGGTGGTAGCACTCACAATGGCAGGGGGTTGTGGGGCCAGCCCTAAGCTCCCTGCAGGGCACCTGGAAGACCCCACAGCTCATTCATCTGTTCCTTCTTTCAAATACCTCCAGAATGCTGGTTGCCAGGCCCTGTTGGGCATGGCTCTGTTCACAGAAAGGAAGTAGACAGATCAAGGCCTGCTCTCTCAGGGGTCTAAGGCCCAGAGGCCAAGGCAGGAATTAATGGGAAATCACCTGGTGTCACTATCAGGAGGGT
This sequence comes from Homo sapiens, assembly GCF_000001405.40. NCBI lineage: Eukaryota > Metazoa > Chordata > Mammalia > Primates > Hominidae > Homo > Homo sapiens. The sequence goes on along the minus strand of NC_000003.12, from coordinate 49,128,189 downwards.
CCACAGTGGTGGTGGTAGAGGGTGGTAGTGGTGGGGTTGTGGCATCAGAGCACTCTGAGCAGGGATGTGCCTGGTCTGATTAATGTTTTATTACATTTTGGGTAGTATTTGTTTCATGTTTCATGTTTCTTTTTTTTTTCTTTTCTTTTCTTTTTTTTTTTTTTTTTTTTTGAGACGGAGTCTCGCTCTGTCACCAGGCTGGAGTGCAGTGGTGCGATCTCGGCTCACTGTAATCTCCACCTCCCGGGTTCAAGCAATTCTCATGTGTCAGCATCCCGAGTAGCTGGGACTACAGGTGCACGCCACCACGCCCAGCTAGTTTTTTGTATTTTTAGTAGAGATGGGGTTTCACCATGTTGGCCAGGATGGCCTCGATCTTCTGACCTTGTGATCTGCCCGCCTTGGCCTCCCAAAGTGTTGGGATTACAGGTGTGAGCCACCGTGCCCAGCCCTGTTTCATTGTTTCATGTTTTGTTTGTTTGTTTGTTTGTTTTTGAGATGGAGTCTTGCTCTGTCGCCCAGGCTGGAGTGCACTGGCGCGATCTCGGCTCACTGCAAGCTCCACCTCCCAGGTTCACGCCATTCTCCTGCCTCAGCCTCCCAAGTAGCTGGGACCACAGGCACCCGCCACCATGCCTTGCTAATTTTTTGTATTTTTAGTAGAGACGGGGTTTCACCATGTTAGCCAGGATGGTCTCGATCTCCTGACCTTGTGATCCACCTTTCTCGGCCTCCCAAAGTGCTGGGATTACAGGCGTGAACCACTGCACTTGACCTATTGCTTTTAGTTTTTGACCATGTAAATATTCAAACAGAAGGAAAGAGAATAACATATTGAACCTGGCTGTGCCCATTATAGACATTTTGCCAACTGTGACTTGTGTTTAGAAAAAAAATTCCTCTAGACCAGGCATGGTGGCTCATGCCTGTAATCCCAGCACTTTGGGACACTGAGGCAGGAGGATCACTTGAGCCCAGGAATTCAAGACCAGCCTAGGCAACATGGCGAGACCCTGTCTCTACAAAAAATAAAATAATTAGCTAAGCATGGTGGTGTGTGCTTGTGGTTCCAGCTGCTTGGGAGGCTGAGGTGGGAGGATATCTTGAACCCAGGAGGTCAAGGCTGCAGTGAGCCAAGGTCACGCACTGTACTCCATCCATCCTGGGCAACAGAGACCGCATCTCAAATAAACAAATAAATAAATAAATCAGAAAATAAAAAGAAAAAAGATGAGGGATTGAAGAACAATTTTTGGGATGGGATAAAAGAACCCAAGTATGAGTTTGCAGCACAATGGGAAAGGAAAGCCTTGGAGACAAAGAGAGAGGGGGCGACATAGTGTTGATGAAGAGGAGCAGCCATTGTAGGTTGTAGGTCGGGGTCAGAGGAAGCGTGAGGTGGTTGTTGAGGAGAATTGGCAAGTTCTTGGGATTTCCAGGCTTTATGAGTATTTCCAGTGAGTCTGCACAGGTGGATGTATGATTCTAGAGGGCCACCTTTATGAGACTATTCTGTGCAGATTCTTTGTTGGGCTGCCCAGCTGTTTGTTGGCCTAGCGCAGCCCAACGCAACCCAGCCATAGTCTCTGCTTTGGCCAATGGCCTGGTTGCTGGGAGAAGGATGGGGGAGGCCCAGATGATTTGTACAGGGCCCCTAGATGACCCACTGCACCTGTCCCCACTCGCCCCCAGGTACTTGATATTTCCTAATCCTGTCTGCCTTGAGCCTGGTATCTCCTACAAGCTGCATCTGAAGCTGGTACGGACAGGGGGAAGTGCCCAGCCTGAGACTCCCTACTCTGGACCTGGCCTGCTCATTGACTCGGTGAATAATCTCCTCTTGCCCACACCAACCAAGATGGCAGGGCCCGTGGTGTGGGACTTGAGGGATAGCAGGGGTCTGTGGCAGAAGAGGCAGGCCCATGGTGGTGCCAGGGTGGGCAGGCTTGTGGCAGTGCTAAGGCAAGTGCTCTGGCAATGCCTACGTGGTCCCAGGTCTGAACTGCGATCTTCCTTGCTCACTCCTTCAGCTGGTGCTGCTGCCCCGTGTCCTGGTGCTAGAGATGTTTAGTGGGGGTGATGCTGCTGCCCTGGAGCGCCAGGCCACCTTTGAACGCTACCAATGCCATGAGGAGGGTCTGGTGCCCAGCAAGACTTCTCCCTCTGAGGCCTGCGCACCCCTCCTCATCAGCCTGTCCACCCTCATCTACAATGGTGCCCTGCGTGAGTGTCTGTGATGTGGGTTGATGGGGCAGAGGTGGGGACCCAGCCTGACTTGGCCCAACCCTCCTCCCCACAGCATGTCAGTGCAACCCTCAAGGTTCACTGAGTTCTGAGTGCAACCCTCATGGTGGTCAGTGCCTGTGCAAGCCTGGAGTGGTTGGGCGCCGCTGTGACCTCTGTGCCCCTGGCTACTATGGCTTTGGCCCCACAGGCTGTCAAGGTACTCTTCTGCCCCTTGTTCCCTCCTATGCTTCTCTCTCCTTCCCATTACTGTTCTCTCTCCTCCTTCTGGACCTGCTGCTGGTTTCCTCAAACTAAGTCTTGGACCCTCTACTCTCAACCTGGGTCAGTTGTAGTTCTCTTCCATTTCCTGACCTTCCCACCTAGACTCCCACTACTCACACTCCCCTGAGACCCTCCCCCACCCACACTCCCCTCAGACCCCCTCCCCTGGCTCTGGCTCAGCTCTGCCTTGCTCCTAGCCTGCCAGTGCAGCCACGAGGGGGCACTCAGCAGTCTCTGTGAAAAGACCAGTGGGCAATGTCTCTGTCGAACTGGTGCCTTTGGGCTTCGCTGTGACCGCTGCCAGCGTGGCCAGTGGGGATTCCCTAGCTGCCGGCCATGTGTCTGCAATGGGCATGCAGATGAGTGCAACACCCACACAGGCGCTTGCCTGGGCTGCCGTGATCACACAGGGGGTGAGCACTGTGAAAGGTGAGACTGGAGCAGCTATGAGTGGGTTGGTTGGTGGGCAGGCTTCCCAGGGATGACACATTTCTTCTTCCTCCTCCCTGCAGGTGCATTGCTGGTTTCCACGGGGACCCACGGCTGCCATATGGGGGCCAGTGCCGGCCCTGTCCCTGTCCTGAAGGCCCTGGGAGCCAACGGCACTTTGCTACTTCTTGCCACCAGGATGAATATTCCCAGCAGATTGTGTGCCACTGCCGGGCAGGCTATACGGGTGAGTGGATGGGGGCAGGCGTGGGATCAGGGTGAGTTGGCTGGGCTGAGCACTCACAGCTTCCTCTTAACCGTGGGCAGGGCTGCGATGTGAAGCTTGTGCCCCTGGGCACTTTGGGGACCCATCAAGGCCAGGTGGCCGGTGCCAACTGTGTGAGTGCAGTGGGAACATTGACCCAATGGATCCTGATGCCTGTGACCCCCACACGGGGCAATGCCTGCGCTGTTTACACCACACAGAGGGTCCACACTGTGCCCACTGCAAGCCTGGCTTCCATGGGCAGGCTGCCCGACAGAGCTGTCACCGTGAGTATGAGTGTGGGAGGGCATGGCTGAATTGGGGTTCTGCTTCTTGGCCTCCTCTTGACTACTGTGCTCATCTTGGTTGGCACAGGCTGCACATGCAACCTGCTGGGCACAAATCCGCAGCAGTGCCCATCTCCTGACCAGTGCCACTGTGATCCAAGCAGTGGGCAGTGCCCATGCCTCCCCAATGTCCAGGGCCCTAGCTGTGACCGCTGTGCCCCCAACTTCTGGAACCTCACCAGTGGCCATGGTTGCCAGCCTTGTGCCTGCCACCCAAGCCGGGCCAGAGGCCCCACCTGCAACGAGGTATGGGACCCTCCTGCAGATCCCTGGTTAGATGGGGCCAGGTGTCTGTCTTATCTCCAGGGCTTAGCCTCTTATAGAGGCTCTGACCCTGCCTTGTTCCCACCCCAGTTCACAGGGCAGTGCCACTGCCGTGCCGGCTTTGGAGGGCGGACTTGTTCTGAGTGCCAAGAGCTCCACTGGGGAGACCCTGGGTTGCAGTGCCATGGTGAGGGAGCCAGCGGGGCCAGGGTAGATGGAGGACTTCCCAGAATGCCCCACAGTGACCCTAACTCTGTGCTCTGCTCTTTCTTGCAGCCTGTGATTGTGACTCTCGTGGAATAGATACACCTCAGTGTCACCGCTTCACAGGTCACTGCAGCTGCCGCCCAGGGGTGTCTGGTGTGCGCTGTGACCAGTGTGCCCGTGGCTTCTCAGGAATCTTTCCTGCCTGCCATCCCTGCCATGCATGCTTCGGGGATTGGGACCGAGTGGTGCAGGACTTGGCAGCCCGTACACAGCGCCTAGAGCAGCGGGCGCAGGAGTTGCAACAGACGGGTGTGCTGGGTGCCTTTGAGAGCAGCTTCTGGCACATGCAGGAGAAGCTGGGCATTGTGCAGGGCATCGTAGGTGCCCGCAACACCTCAGCCGCCTCCACTGCACAGCTTGTGGAGGCCACAGAGGAGCTGCGGTGCGGAAGGGCCTAAGAATACATGGTGGGATGGGGCAGAGGCCCAGTGGACCAGGGCTGAAGCCTCTCTAAACACCCCCCTCTCCATCATTGCAGGCGTGAAATTGGGGAGGCCACTGAGCACCTGACTCAGCTCGAGGCAGACCTGACAGATGTGCAAGATGAGAACTTCAATGCCAACCATGCACTAAGTGGTCTGGAGCGAGATAGGCTTGCACTTAATCTCACACTGCGGCAGCTCGACCAGCATCTTGACTTGCTCAAACATTCAAACTTCCTGGGTGAGTTGTTAGCCAACTAGGCAGGTGGACCAGGGTCAGTCTTCAGCTGACTGTCTGCCTCTGCCCAATTTAGGTGCCTATGACAGCATCCGGCATGCCCATAGCCAGTCTGCAGAGGCAGAACGTCGTGCCAATACCTCAGCCCTGGCAGTACCTAGCCCTGTGAGCAACTCGGCAAGTGCTCGGCATCGGACAGAGGCACTGATGGATGCTCAGAAGGAGGACTTCAACAGCAAACACATGGCCAACCAGCGGGCACTTGGCAAGCTCTCTGCCCATACCCACACCCTGAGCCTGACAGACATAAATGAGCTGGTGAGGTTGAAGTGTTGGGTGGGGCAGGTGGGTGTAGATGTTCCTCTCACAGGGCCCTGACTTGTTCTGTGCCTGGCAGGTGTGTGGGGCACCAGGGGATGCACCCTGTGCTACAAGCCCTTGTGGGGGTGCCGGCTGTCGAGATGAGGATGGGCAGCCGCGCTGTGGGGGCCTCAGCTGCAATGGGGCAGCGGCTACAGCAGACCTAGCACTGGGCCGGGCCCGGCACACACAGGCAGAGCTGCAGCGGGCACTGGCAGAAGGTGGTAGCATCCTCAGCAGAGTGGCTGAGACTCGTCGGCAGGCAAGCGAGGCACAGCAGCGGGCCCAGGCAGCCCTGGACAAGGCTAATGCTTCCAGGGGACAGGTGGAACAGGCCAACCAGGAACTTCAAGAACTTATCCAGAGTGTGAAGGACTTCCTCAACCGTGAGCCTCCCACGTGTCCCAGGCCATGTGGTTGTCCCCTTTGGCAACTCCCGGTGTCTGTATCTCCCTTGGTTCATACTTGAGCCTCAGGGACTACACTGGATTAGTGTTTATGATCCCTTGACTGGCTCCTGAGTTATTGCCCATATGTGGTCCCAGGTCCATGTTCTTGAGTCTGAGCCCCTTGTATAGTCCCTGTCCTTGTGATTATATCCTTATGCCTGGTAACAAACCCCTATCCCATGTACATGTCCTGAGTCCATACCCCAAAACTGTATCCTCATGCCCATGCTGGAGAATCTATGTTCTTAAGTTCTTGCTGTGTCCCTATAGAGGAGGGGGCTGATCCTGATAGCATTGAAATGGTGGCCACACGGGTGCTAGAGCTCTCCATCCCAGCTTCAGCTGAGCAGATCCAGCACCTGGCGGGTGCGATTGCAGAGCGAGTCCGGAGCCTGGCAGATGTGGATGCGATCCTGGCACGTACTGTAGGAGATGTGCGTCGTGCCGAGCAGCTACTGCAGGATGCACGGCGGGCAAGGTCTGACCCCATCCCTGGCCCCTATCCCTGACACCTGGTTTTGATACCTCCAGGTTCTGATTCCCCCTTCTCCCCAGGAGCTGGGCTGAGGATGAGAAACAGAAGGCAGAGACAGTACAGGCAGCACTGGAGGAGGCCCAGCGGGCACAGGGTATTGCCCAGGGTGCCATCCGGGGGGCAGTGGCTGACACACGGGACACAGAGCAGACCCTGTACCAGGTGAGGTCTTCCTAGGACATCAGTGGGACAAGGTTATGGGCATGAACCGTAGATCTGTGTAACCTTTGGCTCACCCATGGCAGGTACAGGAGAGGATGGCAGGTGCAGAGCGGGCACTGAGCTCTGCAGGTGAAAGGGCTCGGCAGTTGGATGCTCTCCTGGAGGCTCTGAAATTGAAACGGGCAGGAAATAGTCTGGCAGCCTCTACAGCAGAAGAAACGGCAGGCAGTGCCCAGGGTCGTGCCCAGGAGGCTGAGCAGGTGGGTTGAGGCAGAGCCAGCTGGAGAAGGTAGGGGTGGAAGATGGGCCTCCACTGAGCTACCACGCTAACCTAACCCTCTACATCTGCAGCTGCTACGCGGTCCTCTGGGTGATCAGTACCAGACGGTGAAGGCCCTAGCTGAGCGCAAGGCCCAAGGTGTGCTGGCTGCACAGGCAAGGGCAGAACAACTGCGGGATGAGGCTCGGGACCTGTTGCAAGCCGCTCAGGACAAGCTGCAGCGGCTACAGGGTAAGAAATGGGGCACCAGAGACACAAGACTGCGGGAAACCCCCCCTAAACTGACACCTGCCCTTCCTAGAATTGGAAGGCACCTATGAGGAAAATGAGCGGGCACTGGAGAGTAAGGCAGCCCAGTTGGACGGGTTGGAGGCCAGGATGCGCAGCGTGCTTCAAGCCATCAACTTGCAGGTGCAGATCTACAACACCTGCCAGTGACCCCTGCCCAAGGCCTACCCCAGTTCCTAGCACTGCCCCACATGCATGTCTGCCTATGCACTGAAGAGCTCTTGGCCCGGCAGGGCCCCCAATAAACCAGTGTGAACCCCCACTGTGTTGTCTGGACTCTGATTTGGGGCGGGCGGGGGAGTCTCCAGGGGAACCTCGAGGTTGCCCCCAGCAGAACCCATGCACCGCTAAGCCACCCGAGCACCGCCTCCTTCCGCTCGGGCCCGCCCCGGAGCTGCGGGTCGCTCCGAGCCCATTCCCGCCGGAAGTGCGTCACCAGCTTGGCGCTCCGCCTCCCTCGGCCTTAGCTAGAAGTCGAAACAAAACAAGCCGCTAAGGCGGTGGCGGCGGCGCCGGGACGGGGGAGGGGCGCGCCGGAACCGGAACCGACCTGCGCCGGAACCGGAACGGAGAGCGGGTTGCCAGGGCCCGAAGAGGGCTGGCTGCGGCGGTCTCGCTCGGTGAGTGGAGCAGGCTGCAACTCGCTGGCTTGGCCGCAGCGGGGAGGCCGCAACGCGCGGCCGCGGCGGCCTGTTCAAGGTCACGGGCCGTGCCAGTCCCTACCCCTAGTGCCCCGCAGCGTGCCAGCCCACTGATGCCGGCAGGGCCGTTACGCTATGCCTGTGGCCAGCCTCCCACCTGGGAGAGGACTGGCGGCCAGCGAGGGCAACTTCGTGGGAGAGGTGGTGGCGGGCTCGGGGTTCAGAGGCTGAAGCTGGGTCGCAGCTCGACCGGGGCGCTGATCTGTGGTCAGTAACCCCGCGCTGCCATTTCAGGCCGGCTCGGGTCTCTAAACAGCCCCTTACCCGCCTCGACGTCCCTGGGGCATGGGGGAGGGACGCGACCTTCGGCTGGGGCCTGGGTGCAAGAAGGAGGCGCCGGTGGCAGGTGTCATTAAAGATCCAGCCCACCAGTACCACATCTGACCTGTAGAAGGGTATCCTGCCATCCCTCCTTCCTCCTTTACACACTTAGGGGAACACAGACTAGTCATTATCTGTCCTGCTACTGGTTCAGGCCAGGCTTGAGGCTGCCAGGAGTCCTGGATCTGTGGTCCTCCCCAGCCTCATCTCAGTATCTAGTTTCAAGACCTTCATTTTGGAGGAGGAAACAGTCCAGAATCCACTGGTGGGTCTGTGGGAAACTGTAGTGGTCCTTGTGGCTCAGAGCTCATGAGTGAAGGCATCTGGGAAGGAAGGTGATAATTTCTGTTCCAGTCTCAAACTGGATGCCCATCCTGCCTTAGTACTGGAGCAGGGTTGCTGCTGAAGAGGTAGCGTGACATCTAGATACACTTTTCAGTCCCTTTCTGCTTGGGACAGCAGCTGGGGAGAGGACTTTCTCTTGAAATGAAGAAGGACCAAGCAGTACATAGGAGCAGGTTCTTGCCAAGGGTGGGAGCTGGCAGGAGGCAGGTGGAGTGCCTTAGCCCCAGGACTTTTTCTGGGCAATGGTAGAACCTGGGTTGAGCCTGTTTACAGCCACAGAGCCTGGTTCTCCTGCGGCTTGTCTCCTGTCCTGCCTTCCTCCTCCACCTTCTATTTCTCCAGTGGTGACTAAGCAGCCAGTGAGAGTGAAGGAAAAGTGAGCACCCTGCTCGGAGTGCCAGCCCTGTGGGCTGGAGCCGTGGCTCCTCTCCAGATTGGTGGAGTAGCCTGGTCCCAGGCCATGACTTCCTTGACCTGGTGCCCCCTCAGTGAGGCTTTCACCTGTGTGGGACTGTTATGGTGGGTATCTATGAGGCTTGGCCAGAAGTGGTTGCTGCTACTTGCATTATTTATTACCTCTTCAGAATATCCTGAGAGTGTCCAGGGGTACTTAAGAGATGAGAAGATACAGCTCTGTAGCATTAGTGTCCTGTGTTGCTGAGCCCTGGGTGTAGCTAAAGAGCAAGTTGTTGGGTCTTGGCAGTGATCACTGGCTTCTTTCCATTAGGCTGTCCGTTCCTTGCTGGAGAATTTGGCCACAAAGAGTTGCCAAGATAGCTGGGCCAGGAAGAAAGCGCCGCAGCCCTGACCCAGACGCTGTTGCCGACCCCGGGGCACTCTGGCTGTCGACCAAGCGGCTCAAGATGTCTGGCGGGGCCAGTGCCACAGGCCCAAGGAGAGGGCCCCCAGGACTGGAGGACACCACTAGTAAGAAGAAGCAGAAGGATCGAGCAAACCAGGAGAGCAAGGATGGAGATCCTAGGAAAGGTGGGAGTGGCATTCCCAGAGTAATTGTGGCCTTCTCTGCCTCCCATCTTATTGGTATACAGATTGGGGTTTGGGAGATGACTTTCTTGTTCTTCTCTCTGTCCTGGTTTGATGATGAGAGAAGAAGGACCCATGATAACCTCAGTAGAGCCTCAGCTTTGAAGCCTGAGTACTTGGCTAAGATCCAGAAGATGGTGCTGTTGGGGGGCTTGCCTTCTTTCCTTTTTAAACTTTTTTCTTTTTTTTGAACCTGTTCTTTTTTTCCTTTTTTTTTTGAGATGGAGTCTCATTCTGTAGCCCAGGCTGGAGTGCAGTGGTGCAATATTGGCTCACTGCAACGTCCACCTCCTGGTTCAGGTGATTGTCCTGCCTCAGCCTCCCAAGTAGCTGGGATTACAGGTGCATGCCACCACGCAAGGCTAATTTTTTTTTTTTTTTTGAGACAATGTCTCACTCTGTCATCCAGGCTAGAGTGTAGTGGCGTCTTGGCTCACTGCGGGCTCTGCCTCCCGGGTTCAAGTGATTCTGCTGCCTCAGCCTCCCAAGTAGCCTCAGCCTCCCAAGTAGCTGGGATTACAGGTATGCACCACCACACTCAGCTAATTTTTGTATTTTTAGTAGAGACGGGGTTTCACCATGTTGGCCAGACTGGTCACAAACTCCTGACCTCAGGTGATCCACCCACCTCGGCCTCTCAAAGTGCTGGGATTGCAGGCGTGAACCACCGTGCCTGTCCCTTTTTTTTTTTTTTTTTTAAAGGCAGGGTCTCACTCTTGCACAGATTGGAGTGCAGTGCAGGTGTGATCGTAGCTTACTGCATCCTCAAAGTCCTGGGCTCAAGCAGTCCTCCTACCTCAGCCTCCTCACCATGCTTGACTAATTTTTCTTATTTTTTTTTTAGAGACAGGGTCTCGATATGTTGCCCAGGCTGGTCTTGAACCTCTGGCCTCAGGTGATCCTTCTGCCTCAGCCTCCCATGCAGCTGGGATCACAGGCTCACGCCACCGTACCCGGCTGTTCTTTCCTTCATCGTCAGGGTCAGCATCCACTCCTCAAGAGGAGCAGACCAAAGAGGGTCAGTAACGAATGGGCTTTTTGTTGCTAGGGAAGGGGAGGGGGCACTTGCAATTTGGCTCCCATCTGAAGCAGTTTCATTAGGCTGGGTCTCTGTTACCTGCTTATCACCATCAGGAGCTTGTGAAGACCCTCATGATCTCTTGGCTACTCCCACTCCAGAGTTGTTGCTCGATTGGAGGCAGAGTGCAGAAGAGGTGATTGTCAAGCTTCGTGTGGGAGTAGGTCCCCTGCAGCTGGAGGATGTAGATGCTGCTTTCACAGATACAGACTGTGTGGTGCGGTTTGCAGGTGTGTCCATCTGCCCTGAGCACAGTAGTATGTTTGAATCTTCTGATATCTCCTATCCTACCTCATGGACCCTGCTCTGTCCCCAGGTGGTCAGCAGTGGGGTGGTGTCTTCTATGCTGAGATAAAAAGCTCTTGTGCTAAAGTGCAAACCCGCAAGGGCAGTCTCCTGCACCTGACACTGCCCAAAAAGGTGCCTATGCTCACGTGGCCCTCCCTCCTGGTGAGTTCTAGTAGTACAGGGTTGGGTAGGGATACCAGTGTAGTCGACAGGGCCTGACTGCTGTATCTTTGGCAGAAGAAACCTCTAGGGACCCAGGAGCTGGTGCCGGGGCTGCGGTGCCAGGAGAATGGGCAGGAACTGTCTCCCATTGCCCTGGAGCCAGGCCCTGAGCCCCACCGGGCTAAGCAGGAGGCCCGGAACCAGAAGCGGGCCCAGGGCCGTGGTGAGGTAGGCGCAGGGGCTGGCCCCGGGGCCCAGGCAGGGCCCAGCGCCAAGAGGGCTGTGCATCTCTGCAGAGGGCCAGAGGGGGACGGGTCCAGGGATGACCCTGGACCCCGGGGTGATGCCCCACCCTTCGTGGCTGACCCAGCCACCCAGGTGAGAGCTGGGCACCTGTTTGGGTGTTAGGAGATGGGGGGAAAGGGTGTGCACTGGAGTGGGAGCCACCTGGCAGACCCAGGGCTGATTCTTTCCACAATCTTGCCATTAATAGGTTGAGGCTGATGAACAGCTTTGCATACCACCGCTGAACTCCCAAACCTGCCTCCTGGGCTCAGAGGAGAATTTAGCCCCTTTGGCAGGAGAGAAAGCAGTGCCTCCCGGGAATGACCCAGTCTCTCCAGCCATGGTCCGGAGCAGAAACCCTGGGAAAGATGACTGTGCCAAGGAGGAGATGGCAGTGGCAGCAGATGCTGCAACCTTGGTGGATGGTAAAGGTGGGGGTGGGCAGGCAGAGCCCTAGGTTGGGTTGCAAAGTTTGTAGGTGGATAGAGAGTAGCAATAGGCTGGAACCTGTCCTGGTTGGGGCTGAGCCATGGTCTCAATATAGAGCCCGAGTCGATGGTGAACCTGGCGTTTGTCAAGAATGACTCGTATGAGAAGGGCCCGGATTCAGTGGTGGTGCACGTGTACGTGAAGGAGATCTGCAGGGACACCTCAAGAGTACTTTTCCGTGAGCAGGACTTCACGCTCATCTTCCAGACCAGGTGGGTGGGTAGATGATGGGGCAAACAATGCCTCAGGTGGGACAGTATGTCTCATGCTCTTCCTCTTGTCCTTCCTCCTATCCTGCTGTGCCTCTGCAGGGATGGAAACTTCCTGAGGCTGCACCCGGGCTGTGGGCCCCACACCACCTTCCGTTGGCAGGTGAAGCTCAGGTGGGTGGTGCCCGGCCCCACCACTGTGCCTGTCCTACCCCGTGGGCTCCATCTCCCTGGCTCATCTATCCTGATGCTCATTCCTCCTAAGTCCCTGAGTTCAGCCTTTTCCCACAGGAATCTGATTGAGCCAGAGCAGTGCACCTTCTGTTTCACGGCTTCTCGCATCGACATCTGCCTTCGTAAGAGGCAGAGTCAGCGCTGGGGGGGCCTGGAGGCCCCGGCTGCACGAGGTCTGCACACGAGCTCCCTTCATTGCCCAGTTCCACGTGACCAGGACCCAAACCCCTGTCACATGCTGCTAACCACCAGCCCTCTCATTCCCCCTTTTTAAGGTGCAGTGGGTGGTGCAAAGGTTGCCGTGCCGACAGGTCCAACCCCTCTGGATTCAACCCCACCAGGAGGTGCTCCCCACCCCCTGACAGGCCAGGAGGAGGCCCGGGCTGTGGAGAAGGATAAATCCAAGGCACGATCTGAGGACACAGGGCTAGACAGTGTGGCAACCCGCACACCCATGGAGCATGTAACCCCAAAGCCAGAGACACACCTGGCCTCGGTGAGAATTCTGGGGTGGGAAGGACGAAGAATGGAGGCTGGAGAGTCTTGGGGCTGTTCTCTCATGTCGTCTTTGCTCCTGCAGCCCAAGCCTACATGCATGGTGCCTCCCATGCCCCACAGCCCAGTTAGTGGAGACAGCGTGGAGGAGGAGGAAGAGGAAGAGAAGAAGGTGTGTCTGCCAGGCTTCACTGGCCTTGTCAATTTAGGCAACACCTGCTTCATGAACAGCGTCATTCAGTCTCTGTCCAACACTCGGGAACTCCGGGACTTCTTCCATGGTGAGGGCAGGGCCTGGAGCCTGGGTTATGGGCAGAGAGAGTGCCTTTGTTCCTCACACCTTTGCTCGGCTACTATTCCTAGACCGCTCCTTTGAGGCTGAGATCAACTACAACAACCCACTAGGGACTGGTGGGCGTCTGGCCATTGGCTTTGCCGTGCTGCTTCGGGCGCTGTGGAAGGGCACCCACCATGCCTTCCAGCCTTCCAAGTTGAAGGTGATCTGTGACCACTGTCACCCTTGGCTGGAGGGGGCGGGGAGGGCCAGCCAGCTGGGTGTGCAGTGGGTGCTAGGGCTTCATGTTCACACCTTGGCTCCTGTATCCAGGCCATTGTGGCGAGTAAGGCCAGCCAGTTCACAGGCTATGCACAGCATGATGCCCAGGAGTTCATGGCTTTCCTGCTGGATGGGCTGCACGAGGACCTGAATCGCATTCAGAACAAGCCCTACACAGAGACCGTGGATTCAGATGGGCGGCCCGATGAGGTCAGGGTTAGGGACAGAGGGTGGGCATGTCTCATGAGCATCCCAGCCCCTGGTACTCTTTGGTTCTCACCACTCTGCCTCTCAGGTGGTAGCTGAGGAAGCATGGCAGCGGCACAAGATGAGGAATGACTCTTTCATCGTGGACCTATTTCAGGGGCAGTACAAGTCGAAGCTGGTGTGCCCTGTGTGTGCCAAGGTGTGATGGGCTCCCCTGGAAAGAGACCCCCTAGTTCAGCTCAGCTATTCTGGTCACATTAGGTTCAGAGGCATGTGCATCTTAAGGTGCTACAGGGCAAGGTTTGGGCAAAGAAGCTGGCAGGGAGGCCTTAGGATTCTATTTGGGCTGAAGAGCCCACTCAGGGTAGGCTTCCTGACTGAGGGAAAAGTGATGTTAGAGCTCAAAGGTGTTGTAGCAGGGTTGTGGGCACATGGGGTGCAAGTGTGAGGCCAATTCGTAAAGTGGCTAAGCTGAGTAGGGCTTTGAGTGCCAGAAAGAAGGATTGTTATTTCCTGGTGGTCCTCCTGCCCTGTCTAGTGTCCTGAAGCCTGAGAGTTTGCTGGTTGGCTGTGGGGGCCCTGAGAGCCATCAGAAGCCCCGGAATGGGCTCTCTGAGCATGAGCATCTTATCTCCCACTCTGTGTGCAGCTACCCAGTGCCACCTCTACATCCACAGGTCTCCATCACTTTTGACCCGTTTCTTTATCTGCCGGTGCCCTTGCCACAAAAGCAAAAGGTTCTCCCTGTCTTTTATTTTGCCCGAGAGCCCCACAGCAAGCCCATCAAGGTGAGGAGTAAGCCCCTACCCTCTGGGCTGTTCTAGAGAACGTGGCCCACCTCCCTCACTGACTGCCCTTTTTGCCACAGTTCCTGGTGAGCGTCAGCAAGGAGAACTCCACTGCGAGCGAAGTATTGGACTCCCTCTCTCAGAGTGTTCATGTGAAGCCTGAGAACCTGCGTTTGGCGGAGGTATCTTTGTCCTTCCTTGGGCTATCACATGTGTGGATGTGTGTGTGTACTCACCACAGACGTGTGTACAGTCATTGGCATCTACAGACATACACATGGGCTGGGCACAGTGGCTCATGCCTGTAGTCCCAGCACTTTGTGAGGCCGAGGTGGGCAGATCACTTGAGCCCAGGAGTTTGGGACCAGCCTGGGCAACTTGGTGAAACACTGTCTCTACAAGAAATAAAATTAGCTGGGCATGGTGGTACGTGTTATAGTCCCAGCTACTTGGGAGGCTGAGGCAAGAGGCTCACTTGAGCCCGGGATGTGGAGGTTGCAGTGAGCAGAGATTGCACCACAGCACTCCAGCCTGGGTGACAGAGTGAGACTCTGTCTCAAAAATAAATAAATAAATAGATAAAAAAATAAAAATAGGGCCAGGCGTGGTGGCTCATGCCTGTAATCCCAGCTCTTTGGGAGGCCAAGGCTGATGGATCACAAGGTCAGGAGATCCAGACCACCCTGGCTTACATGGTGAAACCCCACCTCTACTAAAAATACAGGAAAAGTTAGCCGGGCGTGGTGGCACATGTCTGTAGTCCCAGCTGCTCAGGAGGCTGAGGCAGGAGAATCGCTTGAACCTGGGAGGCAGAGGTTGCAGTGAGCCGAGATCGCGCCACTGCACTCCAGCCTGGGTGACAGAGTGAGACTCTGTCTCAAAAATAAAATAAAATAAAATAAAAATAGACATACACATGAGTATGCCTGTGACTGTACAAAAACAGGCGATGTGCTGTTATTTTTTCTGTGCAACAGAAGTGCCCTCAGTTCCTAGCCATTATCAGGGTTTATTCCCCTTTGTGGTGGTGGATCCCAACTGCATTTCCCTTTTTAGACAAGGAGCTTGAGCTGCAGGACTATCCCTATGTTCGCTCTGCCTCTCCCTCTATCCTGCTGCTCTCTCCTTTTATCCCAGTTGTGTGTGCTAGCTCTCCCCAGGGGTTCCTAGCCTTTAGCCTGACAGTGTTGGTTTTCTTAGGGGTAAGAGTGGGGAGGAGGCTCTTTGAATGTGGACCCTCCATGATAATATGTTACAGTCTTATAAGGCTATGCTAGTTATAGCAGGGCAGAGTCCCTCAGTGTGGAGAGCTGGTGTGGTTGATATCTGCCTCACACCTGGTCTTTCAGGCCCTCTGATGCACCAGGCTCCTTATGGCATTGGGCACTGAGACAGGTGCCAGCAGAGGCATAAGCCTATTTGGGCCTACAGACCTCACCACTGCCCACATAGACCCAAGGCAGGGCCAAGCCTTCTTAAACTCTGGGGCAGGGCTAGGGAAAGGGCTTATCCTCACGTGGGATCTGTGTGTTCTCTGTCCCCAGGTAATTAAGAATCGTTTTCATCGTGTGTTCCTACCCTCCCACTCACTGGACACTGTGTCCCCATCTGATACGCTCCTCTGCTTTGAGCTGCTATCCTCAGAGTTGGCTAAGGAGCGGGTAGTGGTGCTAGAGGTGCAACAGGTGAGTGGGGGCCAACCTGATGGCACAGCGCCCTGGTGGGTGGGGCACTTCTTCCTGGTCTTGCTGAGCCAGACGACCCACCCTAGCGCCCCCAGGTGCCCAGCGTCCCCATCTCCAAGTGTGCAGCCTGCCAGCGGAAGCAACAGTCGGAGGATGAAAAGCTGAAGCGCTGTACCCGGTGCTACCGTGTGGGCTACTGCAACCAGTGAGGACCCCCATGGTCTCCCCTACCCTTTCTTTCCACCTTCCATGTGCCACCCTGCTCCTTCCCTTCACACCAAGGCACATATGCTTAAGCTTTCTACTTGCCACCCTACTTTACCAGGCTCTGGGGGAGGCAGGGCTGGCGTACCCAGTTCCCAGGGACTATGACTAGCCCCCAGTATGGAGTCATAGGAGATGGGGCTAAGGGCCTATCCTTGTCTTCCTCTTCCCGTCAGGCTCTGCCAGAAAACCCACTGGCCTGACCACAAGGGCCTCTGCCGACCTGAGAACATTGGCTACCCCTTCCTGGTCAGTGTACCTGCCTCACGCCTCACTTATGCCCGCCTCGCTCAGTTGCTAGAGGGCTATGCCCGGTAAGTGCCCAGTGGTTGGACTAGAGTGGTGTAGGTGGGGGCAGAGGTGCTAGATGGGCTGGTCAGGAGTCTTACTTGCGTTGTTCTCTGTTGCCAGGTACTCTGTGAGTGTATTCCAGCCACCCTTTCAGCCAGGCCGCATGGCCTTGGAGTCTCAGAGCCCTGGCTGCACCACACTGCTCTCCACAGGTTCCCTGGAGGCTGGGGACAGCGAGAGAGACCCCATTCAGCCACCTGAGCTCCAGCTGGTGACCCCTATGGCTGAGGGGGACACAGGGCTTCCCCGGGTGTGGGCAGCCCCTGACCGGGGTCCTGTGCCCAGCACCAGTGGAATTTCTTCTGAGATGCTGGCCAGTGGGCCCATTGAGGTTGGCTCCTTGCCAGCTGGCGAGAGGGTGTCCCGACCCGAAGGTAAGATCCAGTGAAAGGCTCTAGAAGCTGGGGAGGAGGATAAGGGAGGATGGAGGGGGCTGTTGTTTAGGGCCTGGTGGGCCTGGTGAGGCCCTGATGGGCAGGGAAGCTTTGATTATCATGTTCTCACACAGCTGCTGTGCCTGGGTACCAGCATCCAAGTGAAGCTATGAATGCCCACACACCCCAGTTCTTCATCTATAAAATTGATTCATCCAACCGAGAGCAGCGGCTAGAGGACAAAGGTGTCTGAGGCTGTGGGTGGGAGCCATGGGGTGGGTTGAGCTGGCTGTTCTCCACAGCTGCATGACCTCTCTCCCTGCGAATCTCCAGGAGACACCCCACTGGAGCTGGGTGACGACTGTAGCCTGGCTCTCGTCTGGCGGAACAATGAGCGCTTGCAGGAGTTTGTGTTGGTAGCCTCCAAGGAGCTGGAATGTGCTGAGGATCCAGGCTCTGCCGGTGAGGCTGCCCGGGCCGGCCACTTCACCCTGGACCAGTGCCTCAACCTCTTCACACGGCCTGAGGTGCTGGCACCCGAGGAGGCCTGGTGAGAACAGAGCAGCAAGTAGATAAGGGGGCAGGATGGAGAAGAGAGAGACTTGCTGGTCCTGACCCAATCTCTGTCCCCACCAGGTACTGCCCACAGTGCAAACAGCACCGTGAGGCCTCCAAGCAGCTGTTGCTATGGCGCCTGCCAAATGTTCTCATCGTGCAGCTCAAGCGCTTCTCCTTTCGTAGTTTTATCTGGCGTGACAAGATCAATGACTTGGTGGAGTTCCCTGTTAGGTAAGCAGTGGACCTTGGTAACTGTGGGTGGGGTGTGAGGACCAGGATGGGCATCCTGAGCGCCTGTTGCCTGTCTCACCCCTCCCTGACTGGACCTGACCTGCAGGAACCTGGACCTGAGCAAGTTCTGCATTGGTCAGAAAGAGGAGCAGCTGCCCAGCTACGATCTATATGCTGTCATCAACCACTATGGAGGCATGATTGGTGGCCACTACACTGCCTGTGCACGCCTGCCCAATGATCGTAGCAGTCAGCGCAGTGACGTGGGTGAGGGCACACACAGCCAGCAGGATAGGTGGTAGGGGTGGTGGTGCAGACTTTGTTCACACTCTTCCCACCCTGCTGTAGGCTGGCGCTTGTTTGATGACAGCACAGTGACAACGGTAGACGAGAGCCAGGTTGTGACGCGTTATGCCTATGTACTCTTCTACCGCCGGCGGAACTCTCCTGTGGAGAGGCCCCCCAGGGCAGGTCACTCTGAGCACCACCCAGACCTAGGCCCTGCAGCTGAGGCTGCTGCCAGCCAGGTGAGGCATGTGGGAGGCTTTACAGAATACTGGGGGACAGTTCACAGACTGGGGCCGGGTTGGGGGATATAGCTTCCTCTCCTCCAGCCACAGGCCCATTGAGCCTTGGGATTCATGAGAATTGCAGAGTTCTCTTAACATCAAAGCTTTAGCCAGAGGCATCCCCATGCCTTGGGGACACTAACAAACATACAAGTACACTAACATGCTGCCACTGGCAAGCACATTGGCACCTACTTGGCACAGGTCAGGCAACTGCTCTGAACCTCACTGGGCACTATGCTGTGAATGAACTATACCTGACACTCTCCTAGATTTCCTCTGCACATTCCCCACATGCTGGCCCACACACCCTCACTTGTGATGTCCCTGAGTTCTAGTGTGCACTCAAGACAAGGCCTATTTGGGCTGGCCATGGCCTCTGGTGGCTGTTATACTCTTTGAGGTAAGCATCTGTCTTTGCTGAGCCTTCAGGATCTTCTCTTTAGTGACATGGTGTGCCATAGGCCCAGTTAGTGGGCGTAGGCACATCTCTTTTCTGGACTGGCCGTCTCCTTTCTGGCTCCATCCTCTCTTGAGCCTTCTCTGTCAAGCTTAGAGAAATCCTTGCAGAAGACTGGTCAGGATCTGGGTATGGGTGGGAAGGAGCAAGGAGATTGCTCTGGGATTGGCAGTCCTGTTCTCTATGAATCGGTGTCCTTTGGGGAGGCCTGGACTGAAATACTAACCAGATAACTCCCCTCCCACCTCCATGCGGAGCTGCATGTGGATTGAGAGCTGTTTAGGGTAGGCCAAAATGCTGTCAAGATTCTCTTACCCTTGTGCTCTTACTCTGGACAGCCCTGAGGTTGGCTGCCTGCCTTCCTCCTTGCTGTTTGATCTAGAATGCAGGGTGTTAGCCCCAGTCACCCCAGGTGGGACTGTCATGGCTAAGGGTCTCAGGGACACTGGGTCCTCCCCACCCCCGGGGTGCTGATGGCCGTTTCCACATACCCTAGGCTTCCCGGATTTGGCAGGAGCTGGAGGCTGAGGAGGAGCCGGTGCCTGAGGGGTCTGGGCCCCTGGGTCCCTGGGGGCCCCAAGACTGGGTGGGCCCCCTACCACGTGGCCCTACCACACCAGATGAGGGCTGCCTCCGGTACTTTGTCCTGGGCACCGTGGCGGCTTTGGTGGCCCTCGTGCTCAACGTGTTCTATCCTCTGGTATCCCAGAGTCGCTGGAGATGAGCTCGCCTGCAGGCAGCTGCTGTGAGCTGGCCTACCTGCCTGCCCCAGGCCATGCCTGCCTTTGTTGTGGGGAACACCTCTGGGCTTTGGGCCTCAGCTTATGCATCTGGTGGGAGAGGGTGGGGAGGTTGTGGCCCCTGCAGGGGCAGAGTATCCTAGGGTGTGTATCCATCTGGCTGTCTGTCCATTCATCCTGCTGCTCTGACCCTTGGCCTCAGGCTTGGCCCTGCCCAAGCTACTTCCTGTACTTAAAAGTGTTAATAAAACCAGACTATTCAGGCCCAATCTCGTCTCTCTGTCTCAACGCCGCTGCTGTCTGCGCCTGCCTTGGGACCCTCCCTTGGGTGCCAGGGCTCCAAGCCAGCACCCCCGGGATGCCAGGCGGCATGCTGGGCAGCCCCCAACCCCTGTCCTCGTATTCTGTTGCAGGGACTAGGCCCTGGCCAGGCCCCCGAGGTGGCCCCCACGCGGACAGCCCCTGAACGCTTCGCCCCCCCTGTGGATCGGCCAGCCCCCACCTACAGCAACATGGAGGAGGTGGATTAGCAGGTCCCTGGCTGATGGGGGGGACTGGGTTTGGGACACCCACACAGAGGGCCAGCTCCTTGCCGCTTCTCCTTCTCTAACCCAGAGGACACTGGCTCTGTCAATGGGAAGCTGAGGGGTATGATTTGGGTGTGGAGACCTCTCAGGTTGGGACTTCTTGTCAGCTTGGACCCCTGACCAGTGGGCTTTGGCTTCTCCAGCCGCCTCCAGTGCTGCGTGATTTGATTCTGTTGTACCTTCAATTCTTCTGACCCGCATTATAAACATTATAATTTTATTCTAAAAATTGTAATTTTTTTTGCATTTTGGAAGTGACTGCTGCTGTTTAAATATATTTTAAAAATAAATAATAAGTAAGTAGACTTAGTGACTGTGATCCACCACATGCTGGGGCCACCTCCCCTCCCCATCATTTGCGGTGTGTATGTGTGTGTATGTGTGTTTATATATGAGAGACCCTGAAAGTGCCCTAGTCTGAAGGGAGATGATGGGGTCCCAGCTCATGTCCTATGGGTCATGAAGCCCCCAGTGCTATCAGCTTTTTGGAGCCTACCTGCTGCTCTTTCATCCCACTGGTTCTGGATCCTACATAAGAGGCAGCTTGGTAGGCATCGTCAGGATCTCAATATAGCCAAGGGACAGAGGAGTATATGAAGCACTGGAGCTGACAGCGTGGAGTAAAAGGTGCATTCACCAGAGCAGCCTGGGGCTGACAAGTCAGGGAGGACTTGGGGGACAGAAGTACTGGGAGATCTTCCTCCTCCTCTCCTGTCCTCAGCTTTTTCTTTGCTGTAACTTGAACACTAACTGCATCCCTGCAGGTAACAGAGCAGGAGGAAAACTGCTGTGGGGCAGATCTTGCTGCCCTGAAAAGAGGACAAGCAGAGAGGACCAGAGTGAATCTTGTCTGACTTCTATTGGAGGGAGGGTGCTGGGGCCTGCCAGCCTGAAGAGTCTTCCCTTAAGAGTTCCTGAAGCCTTCCTTCTTTGGCCAGGCATGGTGGCTCACACTTGTAATCCCCGCACTTTGAGAGGCCGAGGCGAGTGGGTCATGAGGTCAGGAGTTCGAGACCAGCCTGGCCAAGATGGTGAAACCCCGTCTCTACTAAAAATACAAAAATTAGGTGCAGTGGCGGGCACCTGTAATCCCAGCTACTTGGGAGGCTGAGGCAGGAGAATCGCTTGAACCTGGGAGGCGGAGGTTGCAGGGAGCCGAGATCGCGCCACTGCACTCTAGCCTGGGCGACAGAGCAAGACTCCGTCTCAAAAAAAAAAAAAAAAAAAAAAGTTGCTGAAACTGGCCAAGTGTGGTGGCTTATGCCTGTAATCCCAGCACTTTGGGGCGAGGTGGGAGGATAGCTTGAGCCTAGGAGTTCAGGACCAGCCTGGGCAACATAGTGAGACCCTGTCTTTACCAAAAATATAAAAATTAGCTGGCTCTTATGGTATGCACTTGTAGTCCCAAATATTTCAGAGGCTGAGATGGGAGGATCGTTTGAGCCCAGGAGGTTGCTGGACCCTACCTCTGTCCATTCCACGACTGGGCCTTGCTGGCTGCTGCCTGGTTTTTCCACTTGGTCATCTTTGTCTTGACTTTTCCTGGAAGCAGTGCCAGGGGCTTATGCAGGCAAGCTAACCTCCAGACTGGGCCCATACAATTTAACATTTCTGCTTTGTGCAAGTCGTAGACATCTAGGGCACTAGCTGGATATCGACTGGTATGCTACCACTTGTGGCATTCTTGGTGACACTGGTGGGGCTACTGCCTCATTCTATGACTTGTAGCCATGGCGTCCACAGTGTACCATGAAGTAACCAGGGAAGGGAGTGCAGATCTTGATCTCATTGAGGGAGCCATCACTAGACCTGTAGGACTTGGTGATGGTGCTACAGTGAATCTATTGGCAGCATCAGGTACTGAGGAAATAGTGGCAGTGGCAGGCACTCTGCATGGCTTTGCTCACCATGGGCACCTTTATGGTGGGCTGGGTACTTGCAGCTTCAAATTTGGTGCACGGCTGGTGTGGCTATGGCTCTGCTTCTTGGTACCTGTCCTTAGCACCACTGGTCTGCATCCCCTGCTTAATTCCTGCACCTGGCCTTTCTCATGCAGTACACTGCAGGGCTAGGCATCTGGCTGGGGCCACGGGGCCATGGAGATGTGGGAAGCCCCAGGACAGCATTGGACCTGGATAGCGATACAGCATGTGGCCCTGGTCTGCACCTGGCATGTGATCATTAGGTGGTATCCAGATGTAGGCCCAGACTTGGAGGTTGGTCATTAATAATGGGATGTGGGCACAAAAGACACAGAATATAGATAAAGACTAGTCAGGATCCTGCCTATTCCTTGAAGGTCCAGAAGTATGAGCATCACCAATTCCTGCAAGAGCTCCAATCTCAAATGTGGGGATTTCCACCATCCCACCACCAGCTGCTCATTCTCTGCAACCCCCTACCTCAGTCCCTTACTACCTTAGTCCCTTTTCTCACACACACACAAAGTCTCTGTTCTGTTTCAGCCAGCAGGTCCTGGAAGTCCAGTGAGACTGTGGAAAGATCCCCAAGCACAACAGCTATAATCATGAAGCTATAACCATCTCATTTGTCCCACCCTCTCACAAGCTCAATAAAATATCCTCTCAAAGGCCTGCAGAGGGATTTCAAGGTCTAATTTGCTTGTGGTTTTCCTGATAATGCTTTGGCAAGAGGGTAAGTGTGGGATGAGATTTTTTTTTCTTTTCTTTTTTTTTTTTTGAGACAGTCTTACTCTGTTGACCAGGCTGGAGTGCAGTGGCACAATCTCGGCTCACTGCAACTTCCGCCTCCCAGGTTCAAGCGATTCTCCAGCCTCAGCCTCCTGAGTAGCTGGGATTACAGGCGTGCGCCATCACGCCCGGCTAATTTTTGTATTTTTAGTAGAGACAGGGTTTCACCATGTTGGCGAGGCTGATCTCGAACTCCTGGCCTCAAGTGATCCGCCCGCCTCGGCCTCCCAAAGTGCTGGGATTAAAGGCCTGAGCCACTGCGCCCGGCCAAGATTTTAAACCAAATCATCATAGAACTTATGTGAGGTCCCTCCTGGCCCAGACCCGTCCCTTCCCTTTCCTGGCCAGCTGTGTCCAAGTGGGCACCTGAAAACCGGCGGACTTATGGGGCCCCTGGATCGGTCATTCCACACATTCTCTACGATGGAGTCTGGATGAGGGATTTCCTGGGCTTCATTTGTTCAACTGTTTCCATGACAACTCCAAAGCTGTGGCGTCAAAAGCGTGACAGGGACTCGCATTTGCCCCCGAGGACAATTACTATATTGAGATGGAGTTACCAGGGCTGAAGTAGAAAAGTCAGAGCAAAACCACGCCTGTGTCTTCCTCCTGCCTCAGGGACGAACACCTTCCTTCCAGGTCCGTGGCAAATATCTCCAAAAGCCCTGCCGCCTGCCAACACCCCTTCAAGTTCCCAGTTCCACGGAGGCGGAAGCAAAGCCCCCGGAAAGGCCGGTTTGTCCGCCCTGTGTTGTTTAAAGGGGATAGACGACCTTGGAGCGCCCCGCCCCCTCCCGCCAAGGAAGGACCCCATTGGCTCTCCCCGGAGGCTTCACTCTCATTGGTCAGCGAGTGAATGCCGACCTGCAGACTGGGGCCTAAGTTTCTTTTAGTTTCCGGTGTCTCTGCAATGGCGGCTCTAGACTCCCTGTCGCTCTTCACTAGCCTCGGCCTGAGCGAGCAGAAGGCCCGCGAGACGCTCAAGAACTCGGCTCTGAGCGCGCAGCTGCGCGAGGCCGCTACTCAGGTGCGAGCCCCTCTGCCCCCGGCCTGGTTTGCAGACCATGCTGCAACGCAGCGCGGGGCGGGGTCCAGATCCCGACCTGCCCCGTTTGTCCCGCCCTTTCCTCTCACTGAGCGCGGGGCTTCTCTCTTGACCCCTCTGACCTCAGGCTCAGCAGACCCTGGGTTCCACCATTGACAAAGCTACCGGGATCCTGTTATATGGCTTGGCCTCCCGACTCAGGGATACCCGGCGTCTCTCCTTCCTTGTAAGCTACATAGCCAGTAAGAAGATCCACACTGAGCCCCAGCTAAGCGGTGAGACCCCTACCTGTCCTGCCAGTTCGCACCAATGCCTCCCTTCAGCCAAGACCCCTGTCTTCCCTTTTTGCCAAGTCCTCCAGTTTCTTTCTAGACACCTAGTTCTGCACAGGCACTGAGGCATGGAAGGGGTGGCCTATGGTGAGACTGACACGGGAACTGTCAGGGTCTGAGGGGGGATCCACTCTCGACACGTGCTTCTTTCTTCCCTGTGTTCTCTAGGGTGGTGGTGCCAGGGCTTAACTTTTCAGGAGGCCAGACTATCCTTGGAGTTTCATGAGATTAGGACCCTGTCTGTCCACTTCTTGGAGCAGAGATGCCACAAACTCACGGGCTCTTTCTTCTCAGCTGCCCTTGAGTATGTGCGGAGTCACCCCTTGGACCCCATCGACACTGTGGACTTCGAGCGGGAATGTGGCGTGGGTGTCATTGTGACCCCAGAGCAGATTGAGGAGGCTGTGAGTCTTTCCCCAGGCATCGTCTGCCTCCCCAGTCCTGGCCATGGAAAGGAGTGGCTCAGTTTCCCTCCTCAGGAAGACCCAGAGTGAGGGTGTGGGTTCCCAGAATATCTCTAAAGGTGGCTTTCCTGAACCACATGGTTTGGCTTTCTGCAGGTGGAGGCTGCTATTAACAGGCACCGGCCCCAGCTCCTGGTGGAACGTTACCATTTCAACATGGGGCTGCTGATGGGTGAGCAGGGCCTGGAACGGGGCTATATTGTTCTCTCTGGTCATGCCTTTTCTTCTGGGCACGAGTGAGAAGGAGGTGGGGGAAGGAACAGGAGTGACTTAAAGTGGTCTGGCTGGGCTCAGGCTCTGGTTCTGGTGGTCAGCCAGGACCTTTCCTTGGGAAAGAGGTGGGGGGAGTACTCTTTTTTGCCTTTCTGCAGCTCCTTGTGCCTATGCTTCTAGGAGAGGCTCGGGCTGTGCTGAAGTGGGCAGATGGCAAAATGATCAAGAATGAAGTGGACATGCAGGTGAGCGTGCTTCACTAAGCTGAAGCTGGCAAAGACTCTGGCATGAACAGAGCCTGGAATCCACTAAGGGATAAAAGGCAGGAAGAGGGCTGGGCATGGTGGCTCACGCTTCTGATCCCAGCACTTTGGGAGGCTGAGGCAGGAGGATTACTTGAGCCCAGGAGTTCAAGACCAGCCTGAGCAACATATTGAGAACTCCTCTCTACAGAAAATTTAAAAATTAGCCAGACATGGTGGTGTATACCTGTAGTCCCAGCAATTTGTGGGGCTGTGGTGGGAAGATTGCTTGAATCTAAGAGATCAAGGCTGCAGTAAGCTCTGATTGCACCACTGCACTCCATCCTGGAGTACAGAATGAGACCCTGTCTCAAAATCAACAACAATAAAAAAAGGTGGGAGGGGGCTGGGCATGGTGGCTCACACCTGTAATCCCAACACTATTGGGAGGCTGAGGTGGGCAGATCACCTGAGGTCAGGAGTTTGAGAACAGCCTGGCCAACATGGTGAAACCCCATCTCTACAAAAAGTACAAAAATTAGCTGGGTGTGGTGGCGGGCACATGCAGTCCCAGGTACTCAGAAGGGCTGAGGTAGGAAAATCGCTTGAATCCAGGAGGCGGAGGTTGCAGTGAGCGGAGACTGTGCCATTGCATTCCAGCCTGGGCAACATGAGCAAGACTCCAGTCTGGGCAACAAGAGCAAGAGCATTTTAAGCTAGCAGACCCACATGAGAAGAGATGGGATGGGCTAGGTAGGTTTTTTCAGTCAGTGCTGGTAGATAGGCCAGGAAGCCTTGGGTTGGTGGGTAGGATCAGTCAGGGGCTCCTTGAAAGAGGATACTCCTGCCTCTGCCTGATTCTGGTCTCTGCTCAGGTCCTCCACCTTCTGGGCCCCAAGTTGGAGGCTGATCTGGAGAAGAAGTTCAAGGTAGGGATGGGCATGGCCCTGAGTCCCTGAGGGTGAGGTGAGGTATGGTGAGACTTCAGGCTGGGGAAGGAAGTGTCTGACCACAGGGATCCCAAGACCCTATCCAAGAGAAAATTTGATGCCATTTTCTGAAGCACCTGGGGCTTCTTTCAGGTGGCAAAAGCTCGGCTAGAAGAAACAGACCGGAGGACGGCAAAGGATGTGGTGGAGAATGGTGAGAAGCTTGAGACTCCTGTCACAGCATTCAGCTCCCTGACTTCTGAACCTCCTCAGAAGAGTCCTTACAGGCTCCTCAGGCCCTTGGCTTACTCAGTACCCTGACTTCTGTCTCAAGACTGGGATTCCTGGTGTTTCTTTTGTTCCCTTTGCCCAGAGACTGGCATGAGAGGCCTCAGATGTCTGGCTCTAGATATCTTGTCTCTGGAATTGAGGGAATAGGGGTCTACTCAGTTCTGTTCTGGCTGTAGGATATGGTAAATGTATCTAGAGGACAAGTTTTCCTTGTTTTGTTCCCCACAGGCGAGACTGCTGACCAGACCCTGTCTCTGATGGAGCAGCTCCGGGGGGAGGCCCTTAAGTTCCACAAGCCTGGTTAGTGGGCATGTCAAAACCCTGGGGAGGGCTGGATCTTGGCAGCAGCTCCTATAGTCAGGCCCCTGGGGTCAGAGGCTTTGGCTGCAGCCTGGTCCTTAGGCTTATTCTGGTCCTGGCAGGTGAGAACTACAAGACCCCAGGCTATGTGGTCACTCCACACACCATGAATCTACTAAAGCAGCACCTGGAGATTACTGGTGGGCAGGTGTGTGGGGATGTGGCCATGTGAGCTTGTGCCATCAAACACCTGCCTGAGTGCCTGGGCTGCGTCCATACTGCCCCATCTCACCCATCACCATGGCCTTCCTGGGAGGGAACATCTGTTTCTTTAAGGTCATCTGAGCTCAGACTTTATTTCTCTTTTCCCATCCCCCTTATTTTAGGTACGTACCCGGTTCCCGCCAGAACCCAATGGAATCCTGCATATTGGACATGCCAAAGCCATCAATTTCAACTTTGGCTATGCCAAGGTAAGCATGTGTCTAGGGACCTGGCAAGCAAGATGACCACTTGCTGTTCCCATGAGTGGATACCATATCCCTGCCTTGCTGTCTGCTCCCAATAATGTACCCAGGTGGGCAGAGGCCATGGAAAGGAACCACATGTGTGACAGATACCTAGGAATCTATTGAGCTTATTGGAATAAATAGCTCCCTCCCTCTGAGGAGTCAGTGAGTTCAAATTTGGGGGAGTTGCCAGTGCAGTCCCTAGGCTTAGAAAGATGCTAGGTTAGATACAGGAAGGTGAGAGAAGCTCTTGAAGACATTTTTAATTCTGACATGAGTCCGGGTTGGGTGGCTCACGCCTGTAATCTCAACACTTCGGGAGGCTAAAGTGGGTGGATCACTTGAGGTCAGGAGTTCGAAACCAATCTGGCCAACATGGTGAAACCCCATCTCTACTAAAAATACAAAA